>NC_000008.11:44551617-44874137 GCF_000001405.40 Homo sapiens
AACCTTGGTTTGGACAGAGCACTTTTGAAACACTCTTTTTGTAGAATCTGCAGGTGGATATTTGGCTAGCTTTGAGGATTTCGTTGGAAACGGTAATGTCTTCAAAGAAAATCTAGACAGAAGCATTCTCAGAAACACCTTCGTGATGTTTGCAATCAAGTCACAGAGTTGAACCTTCCGTTTCATAGAGCAGGTTGGAAACACTCTTTTTGTAGTATCTGGAAGTGGACATTTGGAGGGCTTTGTAGCCTATCTGGAAAAAGGAAATATCTTCCCATGAATGCGAGATAGAAGTAATCTCAGAAACACGTTTATGCTGTATCTACTCAACTAACTGTGCTGAACATTTCTATTGATAGAGCAGTTTTGAGACACTCTTCTTTTGGAATCTGCAAGTGGATATTTGGATAGATTTGAGGATTTCGTTGGAAACGGGATTATATATAAAAAGTAGACAGCAGCATTCTCAGAAACTTCTTTGTGATGTTTGCATCCAGCTCTCAGAGTTGAACATTCCCTTTCATAGAGTAGGTTTGAAACCCTCTTTTTATAGTGTCTGGAAGCGGGCATTTGGAGCGCTTTCAGGCCTATGCTTAAAATAGGAAATATCTACCTACAGAAACTAGACAGAAGCATTCTGAGAATCACGTTTGTGATGTGGGTACTCAACTAACAGTGTTGATCTATTCTTTTGATACAGCAGTTTTGAACCACACTTTTTGTAGAATCTGCAAGAGGATATTTGGATAGCTGTGAGGATTTCGTTGGAAACGGGAATGTCTTCAAAGAAAATCTAGACAGAAGCATTCTCAGAAATACCTTCGTGATGTTTGCAATCAAGTCACAGAGTTGAACCTTCCGTTTCATAGAGCAGGTTGGAAACACTCTTATTGTAGTATCTGTAAGTGAACATTTGGAGCGCTTTCAGGCCTATGGTGAAAAAGGAAATATCTTCCCATAAAAACGATATAGAAGCTATCTCAGGAACTTGTTTATGATGCATCTAATCAACTAACAGTGTTGAACCTTTGTACTGACAGAGCAGTTTGAAACACTCTTTTTTTGGAATCTGCAAGTGGATATTTGGATCGCTTTGAGGATTTCGTTGGAAACGGGATGCAATATAAAACGTACACAGCAGCATACTCAGAAAATACTTTGCCATATTTCCATTCATGTCACAGAGTGGAACATTCCCATTCATAGAGCAGGTTGGAAACACTCTTTTTGGAGTATCTGGAAGTGGACATTTGGAGCGCTTTCTGAACTATGGTGAAAAAGGAAATATCTTCCAATGAAAACAAGACAGAAGCATTCTGAGAAACTTATTTGTGATGTGTGTCCTCAACAAACGGACTTGAACCTTTCGTTTCATGCAGTACTTCTGGAACACTCTTTTTGAAGATTCTGCATGCGGATATTTGGATAGCTTTGAGGATTTCGTTGGAAACGGGCTTACATGTAAAAATTAGACAGCAGCATTCTCAGAAACTTCTTTGTGGTGTCTGCATTCAAGTCACAGAATTGAACATCCCCTCACATAGAGCAGTTGTGCAGCACTCTATTTGTAGTATCTGGAAGTGGACATTTGGAGGGCTTTGTAGCCTATCTGGAAAAAGGAAATATCTTCCCATGAATGCGAGATAGAAGTAATCTCAGAAACATGTTTATGCTGTATCTACTCAACTAACTGTGCTGAACATTTCTATTGATAGAGCAGTTTTGAGACACTCTTCTTTTGGAATCTGCAAGTGGATATTTGGATAGATTTGAGGATTTCGTTGGAAACGGGATTATATATAAAAAGTAGACAGCAGCATTCTCAGAAACTTCTTTGTGATGTTTGCATCCAGCTCTCAGAGTTGAACATTCCCTTTCATAGAGTAGGTTTGAAACCCTCTTTTTATAGTGTCTGGAAGCGGGCATTTGGAGCGCTTTCAGGCCTATGCTTAAAATAGGAAATATCTACCTACAGAAACTAGACAGAAGCATTCTGAGAATCACGTTTGTGATGTGGGTACTCAACTAACAGTGTTGATCCATTCTTTTGATACAGCAGTTTTGAACCACACTTTTTGTAGAATCTGCAAGTGGATATTTGGATAGCTGTGAGGATTTCGTTGGAAACGGTAATGTCTTCAAAGAAAATCTAGACAGAAGCATTCTCAGAAACACCTTCGTGATGTTTGCAATCAAGTCACAGAGTTGAACCTTCCGTTTCGTAGAGCAGGTTGGAAACACTCTTATTGTAGTATCTGGAAGTGGACATTTGGAGCGCTTTCAGGCCTATGGTGAAAAAGGAAATATCTTCCCATAAAAACGACATAGAAGCTATCTCAGGAACTTGTTTCTGATGCATCTAATCAACTAACAGTGTTGAACCTTTGTACTGACAGAGCAGTTTGAAACACTCTTTTTTTGGAATCTGCAAGTGGATATTTGGATCGCTTTGAGGATTTCGTTGGAAACGGGATGCAATATAAAACGTACACAGCAGCATACTCAGAAAATACTTTGCCATATTTCCATTCAAGTCACAGAGTGGAACATTCCCATTCATAGAGCAGGTTGGAAACACTCTTTTTGGAGTATCTGGAAGTGGACATTTGGAGCGCTTTCTGAACTATGGTGAAAAAGGAAATATCTTCCAATGAAAACAAGACAGAAGCATTCTGAGAAACTTATTTGTGATGTGTGTCCTCAACAAACGGACTTGAACCTTTCGTTTCATGCAGTACTTCTGGAACACTCTTTTTGAAGATTCTGCATGCGGATATTTGGATAGCTTTGAGGATTTCGTTGGAAACGGGCTTACATGTAAAAATTAGACAGCAGCATTCTCAGAAACTTCTTTGTGGTGTCTGCATTCAAGTCACAGAATTGAACTTCCCCTCACATAGAGCAGTTGTGCAGCACTCTATTTGTAGTATCTGGAAGTGGACATTTGGAGGGCTTTGTAGCCTATCTGGAAAAAGGAAATATCTTCCCATGAATGCGAGATAGAAGTAATCTCAGAAACATGTTTATGCTGTATCTACTCAACTAACTGTGCTGAACATTTCTATTGATAGAGCAGTTTTGAGACACTCTTCTTTTGGAATCTGCAAGTGGATATTTGGATAGATTTGAGGATTTCGTTGGAAACGGGATTATATATAAAAAGTAGACAGCAGCATTCTCAGAAACATCTTTGTGATGTTTGCATCCAGCTCTCAGAGTTGAACATTCCCTTTCATAGAGTAGGTTTGAAACCCTCTTTTTATAGTGTCTGGAAGCGGGCATTTGGAGCGCTTTCAGGCCTATGCTTAAAATAGGAAATATCTACCTACAGAAACTAGACAGAAGCATTCTGAGAATCACGTTTGTGATGTGGGTACTCAACTAACAGTGTTGATCCATTCTTTTGATACAGCAGTTTTGAACCACACTTTTTGTAGAATCTGCAAGCGGATATTTGGATAGCTGTGAGGATTTCGTTGGAAACGGGAATGTCTTCAAAGAAAATCTAGACAGAAGCATTCTCAGAAACACCTTCGTGATGTTTGCAATCAAGTCACAGAGTTGAACCTTCCGTTTCATAGAGCAGGTTGGAAACACTCTTATTGTAGTATCTGGAAGTGGACATTTGGAGCGCTTTCAGGCCTATGGTGAAAAAGGAAATATCTTCCCATAAAAACGACATAGAAGCTATCTCAGGAACTTGTTTATGATGCATCTAATCAACTAACAGTGTTGAACCTTTGTACTGACAGAGCACTTTGAAACACTCTTTTTTTGGAATCTGCAAGTGGATATTTGGATCGCTTTGAGGATTTCGTTGGAAACGGGATGCAATATAAAACGTACACAGCAGCATACTCAGAAAATACTTTGCCATATTTCCATTCAAGTCACAGAGTGGAACATTCCCATTCATAGAGCAGGTTGGAAACACTCTTTTTGGAGTATCTGGAAGTGGACATTTGGAGCGCTTTCTGAACTATGGTGAAAAAGGAAATATCTTCCAATGAAAACAAGACAGAAGCATTCTGAGAAACTTATTTGTGATGTGTGTCCTCAACAAACGGACTTGAACCTTTCGTTTCATGCAGTACTTCTGGAACACTCTTTTTGAAGATTCTGCATGCGGATATTTGGATAGCTTTGAGGATTTCGTTGGAAACGGGCTTACATGTAAAAATTAGACAGCAGCATTCTCAGAAACTTCTTTGTGGTGTCTGCATTCAAGTCACAGAATTGAACTTCCCCTCACATAGAGCAGTTGTGCAGCACTCTATTTGTAGTATCTGGAAGTGGACATTTGGAGGGCTTTGTAGCCTATCTGGAAAAAGGAAATATCTTCCCATGAATGCGAGATAGAAGTAATCTCAGAAACATGTTTATGCTGTATCTACTCAACTAACTGTGCTGAACATTTCTATTGATAGAGCAGTTTTGAGACACTCTTCTTTTGGAATCTGCAAGTGGATATTTGGATAGATTTGAGGATTTCGTTGGAAACGGGATTATATATAAAAAGTAGACAGCAATATTCTAAGAAATTTCTTTGCGATGTTTGCATCCAGCTCTCAGAGTTGAACATTCCCTTTCATAAAGTAGTTTGGAAACCCTCTTTTTATAGTGTCTGGAAGCGGGCATTTGGAGCGCTTTCAGGCCTATGCTGAAAAAGGAAATATCTACCTATAGAAACTAGACAGAAACATTCTCAGAAACTACTTTGTGATGTTTGCATTCAACTCACAGAGGTAAATATTCCTTTCAATAGAGCAGTTTTGAACCACCCTTTTGTAGAATCTGCAAGTGGATATTTGGATAGCTGTGAGGATTTCATTGGAAACGGGAATGTCTTCATAGAAAATTTAGACAGAAGCATTCTCAGAACCTTGATTGTGATGTGTGTTCTCCACTAACAGAGTTGAACCTTTCTTTTGACAGAACTGTTTTGAAACATTCTTTTTATAGAATCTGGAAGTGGATATTTGGAAAGCTTTGAGGATTTCGTTGGAAACGGGAATATCTTCAAATAAAATCTAGCCAGAAGCATTCTAAGAAACATCTTAGGGATGTTTACATTCAAGTCACAGAGTTGAACATTCCCTTTCACAGAGCAGGTTTGAAACAATCTTCTCGTACTATCTGGCAGTGGACATTTTGAGCTGCTTGGGGCCTATGCTGAAACAGGAAATATCTTCCGACAAAAACTAGACAGAAGCATTCGCAGAATCACGTTTGTGATGTGTGCACTCAACTGTCAGAATTGAACCTTGGTTTGGACAGAGCACTTTTGAAACACTCTTTTTGTAGAATCTGCAGGTGGATATTTGGCTAGCTTTGAGGATTTCGTTGGAAACGGTAATGTCTTCAAAGAAAATCTACACAGAAGCATTCTCAGAAACACCTTCGTGATGTTTGCAATCAAGTCACAGAGTTGAACCTTCCGTTTCATAGAGCAGGTTGGAAACACTCTTTTTGTAGTATCTGGAAGTGGACATTTGGAGGGCTTTGTAGCCTTTCTGGAAAAAGGAAATATCTTCCCATGAATGCGAGATAGAAGTAATCTCAGAAACATGTTTATGCTGTATCTACTCAACTAACTGTGCTGAACATTTCTATTGATAGAGCAGTTTTGAGACACTCTTCTTTTGGAATCTGCAAGTGGATATTTGGATAGATTTGAGGATTTCGTTGGAAACGGGATTATATATAAAAAGTTGACAGCAGCATTCTCAGAAACTTCTTTGTGATGTTTGCATCCAGCTCTCAGAGTTGAACATTCCCTTTCATAGAGTAGGTTTGAAACCCTCTTTTTATAGTGTCTGGAAGCGGGCATTTGGAGCGCTTTCAGGCCTATGCTTAAAATAGGAAATATCTACCTACAGAAACTAGACAGAAGCATTCTGAGAATCACGTTTGTGATGTGGGTACTCAACTAACAGTGTTGATCCATTCTTTTGATACAGCAGTTTTGAACCACACTTTTTGTAGAATCTGCAAGAGGATATTTGGATAGCTGTGAGGATTTCGTTGGAAACGGGAATGTCTTCAAAGAAAATCTAGACAGAAGCATTCTCAGAAACACCTTCGTGATGTTTGCAATCAAGTCACAGAGTTGAACCTTCCGTTTCATAGAGCAGGTTGGAAACACTCTTATTGTAGTATCTGGAAGTGGACATTTGGAGCGCTTTCAGGCCTATGGTGAAAAAGGAAATATCTTCCCATAAAAACGACATAGAAGCTATCTCAGGAACTTGTTTATGATGCATCTAATCAACTAACAGTGTTGAACCTTTGTACTGACAGAGCAGTTTGAAACACTCTTTTTTTGGAATCTGCAAGTGGATATTTGGATCGCTTTGAGGATTTCGTTGGAAACGGGATGCAATATAAAACGTACACAGCAGCATACTCAGAAAATACTTTGCCATATTTCCATTCAAGTCACAGAGTGGAACATTCCCATTCATAGAGCAGGTTGGAAACACTCTTTTTGGAGTATCTGGAAGTGGACATTTGGAGCGCTTTCTGAACTATGGTGAAAAAGGAAATATCTTCCAATGAAAACAAGACAGAAGCATTCTGAGAAACTTATTTGTGATGTGTGTCCTCAACAAACGGACTTGAACCTTTCGTTTCATGCAGTACTTCTGGAACACTCTTTTTGAAGATTCTGCATGCGGATATTTGGATAGCTTTGAGGATTTCGTTGGAAACGGGCTTACATGTAAAAATTAGACAGCAGCATTCTCAGAAACTTCTTTGTGGTGTCTGCATTCAAGTCACAGAATTGAACTTCCCCTCACATAGAGCAGTTGTGCAGCACTCTATTTGTAGTATCTGGAAGTGGACATTTGGAGGGCTTTGTAGCCTATCTGGAAAAAGGAAATATCTTCCCATGAATGCGAGATAGAAGTAATCTCAGAAACATGTTTATGCTGTATCTACTCAACTAACTGTGCTGAACATTTCTATTGATAGAGCAGTTTTGAGACACTCTTCTTTTGGAATCTGCAAGTGGATATTTGGATAGATTTGAGGATTTCGTTGGAAACGGGATTATATATAAAAAGTAGACAGCAGCATTCTCAGAAACTTCTTTGTGATGTTTGCATCCAGCTCTCAGAGTTGAACATTCCCTTTCATAGAGTAGGTTTGAAACCCTCTTTTTATAGTGTCTGGAAGCGGGCATTTGGAGCGCTTTCAGGCCTATGCTGAAAAAGGAAATATCTACCTATAGAAACTAGACAGAAGCATTCTGAGAATCACGTTTGTGATGTGGGTACTCAACTAACAGTGTTGATCCATTCTTTTGATACAGCAGTTTTGAACCACACTTTTTGTAGAATCTGCAAGTGGATATTTGGATAGCTGTGAGGATTTCGTTGGAAACGGGAATGTCTTCATAGAAAATTTAGACAGAAGCATTCTCAGAACCTTGATAGTGATGTGTGTTCTCCACTAACAGAGTTGAACCTTTCTTTTGACAGAACTGTTCTGAAACATTCTTTTTATAGAATCTGGAAGTGGATATTTGGAAAGCTTTGAGGATTTCGTTGGAAACGGGAATATCTTCAAATCAAATCTAGCCAGAAGCATTCTAAGAAACATCTTAGGGATGTTTACATTCAAGTCACAGAGTTGAACATTCCCTTTCACAGAGCAGGTTTGAAACAATCTTCTCGTACTATCTGGCAGTGGACATTTTGAGCTCCTTGGGGCCTATGCTGAAAAAGGAAATATCTTCCGACAAAAACTAGACAGAAGCATTCGCAGAATCACGTTTGTGATGTGTGCACTCAACTGTCAGAATTGAACCTTGGTTTGGACAGAGCACTTTTGAAACACTCTTTTTGTAGAATCTGCAGGTGGATATTTGGCTAGCTTTGAGGATTTCGTTGGAAACGGTAATGTCTTCAAAGAAAATCTAGACAGAAGCATTCTCAGAAACACCTTCGTGATGTTTGCAATCAAGTCACAGAGTTGAACCTTCCGTTTCATAGAGCAGGTTGGAAACACTCTTTTTGTAGTATCTGGAAGTGGACATTTGGAGGGCTTTGTAGCCTATGTGGAAAAAGGAAATATCTTCCCATGAATGCGAGATAGAAGTAATCTCAGAAACATGTTTATGCTGTATCTACTCAACTAACTGTGCTGAACATTTCTATTGATAGAGCAGTTTTGAGACACTCTTCTTTTGGAATCTGCAAGTGGATATTTGGATAGATTTGAGGATTTCGTTGGAAACGGGATTATATATCAAAAGTAGACAGCAGCATTCTCAGAAACTTCTTTGTGATGTTTGCATCCAGCTCTCAGAGTTGAACATTCCCTTTCATACAGTAGGTTTGAAACCCTCTTTTTATAGTGTCTGGAAGCGGGCATTTGGAGCGCTTTCAGGCCTATGCTGAAAAAGGAAATATCTACCTATAGAAACTAGACAGAAGCATTCTGAGAATCACGTTTGTGATGTGGGTACTCAACTAACAGTGTTGATCCATTCTTTTGATACAGCAGTTTTGAACCACACCTTTTGTAGAATCTGCAAGTGGATATTTGGATAGCTGTGAGGATTTCGTTGGAAACGGGAATGTCTTCATAGAAAATTTAGACAGAAGCATTCTCAGAACCTTGATTGTGATGTGTGTTCTCCACTAACAGAGTTGAACCTTTCTTTTGACAGAACTGTTCTGAAACATTCTTTTTATAGAATCTGGAAGTGGATATTTGGAAAGCTTTGAGGATTTCGTTGGAAACGGGAATATCTTCAAATCAAATCTAGCCAGAAGCATTCTAAGAAACATCTTAGGGATGTTTACATTCAAGTCACAGAGTTGAACATTCCCTTTCACAGAGCAGGTTTGAAACAATCTTCTCGTACTATCTGGCAGTGGACATTTTGAGCTCCTTGGGGCCTATGCTGAAAAAGGAAATATCTTCCGACAAAAACTAGACAGAAGCATTCGCAGAATCACGTTTGTGATGTGTGCACTCAACTGTCAGAATTGAACCTTGGTTTGGACAGAGCACTTTTGAAACACTCTTTTTGTAGAATCTGCAGGTGGATATTTGGCTAGCTTTGAGGATTTCGTTGGAAACGGTAATGTCTTCAAAGAAAATCTAGACAGAAGCATTCTCAGAAACACCTTCGTGATGTTTGCAATCAAGTCACAGAGTTGAACCTTCCGTTTCATAGAGCAGGTTGGAAACACTCTTTTTGTAGTATCTGGAAGTGGACATTTGGAGGGCTTTGTAGCCTATCTGGAAAAAGGAAATATCTTCCCATGAATGCGAGATAGAAGTAATCTCAGAAACATGTTTATGCTGTATCTACTCAACTAACTGTGCTGAACATTTCTATTGATAGAGCAGTTTTGAGACACTCTTCTTTTGGAATCTGCAAGTGGATATTTGGATAGATTTGAGGATTTCGTTGGAAACGGGATTATATATCAAAAGTAGACAGCAGCATTCTCAGAAACTTCTTTGTGATGTTTGCATCCAGCTCTCAGAGTTGAACATTCCCTTTCATAGAGTAGGTTTGAAACCCTCTTTTTATAGTGTCTGGAAGCGGGCATTTGGAGCGCTTTCAGGCCTATGCTGAAAAAGGAAATATCTACCTATGGAAACTAGACAGAAGCATTCTGAGAATCACGTTTGTGATGTGGGTACTCAACTAACAGTGTTGATCCATTCTTTTGATACAGCAGTTTTGAACCACACTTTTTGTAGAACCTGCAAGTGGATATTTGGATAGCTGTGAGGATTTCGTTGGAAACGGGAATGGTCTTCATAGAAAATTTAGACAGAAGCATTCTCAGAACCTTGATTGTGATGTGTGTTCTCCACTAACAGAGTTGAACCTTTCTTTTGACAGAACTGTTCTGAAACATTCTTTTTATAGAATCTGGAAGTGGATATTTGGAAAGCTTTGAGGATTTCGTTGGAAACGGGAATATCTTCAAATAAAATCTAGCCAGAAGCATTCTAAGAAACATCTTAGGGATGTTTACATTCAAGTCACAGAGTTGAACATTCCCTTTCACAGAGCAGGTTTGAAACAATCTTCTCGTACTATCTGGCAGTGGACATTTTGAGCTCCTTGGGGCCTATGCTGAAAAAGGAAATATCTTCCGACAAAAACTAGACAGAAGCATTCGCAGAATCACGTTTGTGATGTGTGCACTCAACTGTCAGAATTGAACCTTGGTTTGGACAGAGCACTTTTGAAACACTCTTTTTGTAGAATCTGCAGGTGGATATTTGGCTAGCTTTGAGGATTTCGTTGGAAACGGTAATGTCTTCAAAGAAAATGCTAGACAGAAGCATTCTCAGAAACACCTTCGTGATGTTTGCAATCAAGTCACAGAGTTGAACCTTCCGTTTCATAGAGCAGGTTGGAAACACTCTTTTTGTAGTATCTGGAAGTGGACATTTGGAGGGCTTTGTAGCCTATCTGGAAAAAGGAAATATCTTCCCATGAATGCGAGATAGAAGTAATCTCAGAAACATGTTTATGCTGTATCTACTCAACTAACTGTGCTGAACATTTCTATTGATAGAGCAGTTTTGAGACACTCTTCTTTTGGAATCTGCAAGTGGATATTTGGATAGATTTGAGGATTTCGTTGGAAACGGGATTATATATAAAAAGTAGACAGCAGCATTCTCAGAAACTTCTTTGTGATGTTTGCATCCAGCTCTCAGAGTTGAACATTCCCTTTCATAGAGTAGGTTTGAAACCCTCTTTTTATAGTGTCTGGAAGCGGGCATTTGGAGCGCTTTCAGGCCTATGCTGAAAAAGGAAATATCTACCTATAGAAACTAGACAGAAGCATTCTGAGAATCACGTTTGTGATGTGGGTACTCAACTAACAGTGTTGATCCATTCTTTTGATACAGCAGTTTTGAACCACACTTTTTGTAGAATCTGCAAGTGGATATTTGGATAGCTGTGAGGATTTCGTTGGAAACGGGAATGTCTTCATAGAAAATTTAGACAGAAGCATTCTCAGAACCTTGATTGTGATGTGTGTTCTCCACTAACAGAGTTGAACCTTTCTTTTGACAGAACTGTTCTGAAACATTCTTTTTATAGAATCTGGAAGTGGATATTTGGAAAGCTTTGAGGATTTCGTTGGAAACGGGAATATCTTCAAATCAAATCTAGCCAGAAGCATTCTAAGAAACATCTTAGGGATGTTTACATTCAAGTCACAGAGTTGAACATTCCCTTTCACAGAGCAGGTTTGAAACAATCTTCTCGTACTATCTGGCAGTGGACATTTTGAGCTCCTTGGGGCCTATGCTGAAAAAGGAAATATCTTCCGACAAAAACTAGACAGAAGCATTCGCAGAATCACGTTTGTGATGTGTGCACTCAACTGTCAGAATTGAACCTTGGTTTGGACAGAGCACTTTTGAAACACTCTTTTTGTAGAATCTGCAGGTGGATATTTGGCTAGCTTTGAGGATTTCGTTGGAAACGGTAATGTCTTCAAAGAAAATCTAGACAGAAGCATTCTCAGAAACACCTTCGTGATGTTTGCAATCAAGTCACAGAGTTGAACCTTCCGTTTCATAGAGCAGGTTGGAAACACTCTTTCTGTAGTATCTGGAAGTGGACATTTGGAGGGCTTTGTAGCCTATCTGGAAAAAGGAAATATCTTCCCATGAATGCGAGATAGAAGTAATCTCAGAAACATGTTTATGCTGTATCTACTCAACTAACTGTGCTGAACATTTCTATTGATAGAGCAGTTTTGAGACACTCTTCTTTTGGAATCTGCAAGTGGATATTTGGATAGATTTGAGGATTTCGTTGGAAACGGGATTATATATAAAAAGTAGACAGCAGCATTCTCAGAAACTTCTTTGTGATGTTTGCATCCAGCTCTCAGAGTTGAACATTCCCTTTCATAGAGTAGGTTTGAAACCCTCTTTTTATAGTGTCTGCAAGCGGGCATTTGGAGCGCTTTCAGGCCTATGCTTAAAATAGGAAATATCTACCTACAGAAACTAGACAGAAGCATTCTGAGAATCACGTTTGTGATGTGGGTACTCAACTAACAGTGTTGATCCATTCTTTTGATACAGCAGTTTTGAACCACACTTTTTGTAGAATCTGCAAGAGGATATTTGGATAGCTGTGAGGATTTCGTTGGAAACGGGAATGTCTTCAAAGAAAATCTAGACAGAAGCATTCTCAGAAACACCTTCGTGATGTTTGCAATCAAGTCACAGAGTTGAACCTTCCGTTTCATAGAGCAGGTTGGAAACACTCTTATTGTAGTATCTGGAAGTGGACATTTGGAGCGCTTTCAGGCCTATGGTGAAAAAGGAAATATCTTCCCATAAAAACGACATAGAATCTATCTCAGGAACTTGTTTATGATGCATCTAATCAACTAACAGTGTTGAACCTTTGTACTGACAGAGCACTTTGAAACACTCTTTTTTTGGAATCTGCAAGTGGATATTTGGATCGCTTTGAGGATTTCGTTGGAAACGGGATGCAATATAAAACGTACACAGCAGCATACTCAGAAAATACTTTGCCATATTTCCATTCAAGTCACAGAGTGGAACATTCCCATTCATAGAGCAGGTTGGAAACACTCTTTTTGGAGTATCTGGAAGTGGACATTTGGAGCGCTTTCTGAACTATGGTGAAAAAGGAAATATCTTCCAATGAAAACAAGACAGAAGCATTCTGAGAAACTTATTTGTGATGTGTGTCCTCAACAAACGGACTTGAACCTTTCGTTTCATGCAGTACTTCTGGAACACTCTTTTTGAAGATTCTGCATGCGGATATTTGGATAGCTTTGAGGATTTCGTTGGAAACGGGCTTACATGTAAAAATTAGACAGCAGCATTCTCAGAAACTTCTTTGTGGTGTCTGCATTCAAGTCACAGAATTGAACTTCCCCTCACATAGAGCAGTTGTGCAGCACTCTATTTGTAGTATCTGGAAGTGGACATTTGGAGGGCTTTGTAGCCTATCTGGAAAAAGGAAATATCTTCCCATGAATGCGAGATAGAAGTAATCTCAGAAACATGTTTATGCTGTATCTACTCAACTAACTGTGCTGAACATTTCTATTGATAGAGCAGTTTTGAGACACTCTTCTTTTGGAATCTGCAAGTGGATATTTGGATAGATTTGAGGATTTCGTTGGAAACGGGATTATATATCAAAAGTAGACAGCAGCATTCTCAGAAACTTCTTTGTGATGTTTGCATCCAGCTCTCAGAGTTGAACATTCCCTTTCATAGAGTAGGTTTGAAACCCTCTTTTTATAGTGTCTGGAAGCGGGCATTTGGAGCGCTTTCACGCCTATGCTGAAAAAGGAAATATCTACCTACAGAAACTAGTCAGAAGCATTCTGAGAATCACGTTTGTGATGTGGGTACTCAACTAACAGTGTTGATCCATTCTTTTGATACAGCAGTTTTGAACCACACTTTTTGTAGAATCTGCAAGTGGATATTTGGATAGCTGTGAGGATTTCATTGGAAACGGGAATGTCTTCGTAGAAAATTTAGACAGAAGCATTCTCAGAACCTTGATTGTGATGTGTGTTCTCCACTAACAGAGTTGAACCTTTCTTTTGACAGAAGTGTTCTGAAACATTCCTTTTATAGTATCTGGAAGTGGATATTTGGAAAGCTTTGAGGATTTCGTTGGAAACGGGAATATCTTCTAATAAAATCTAGCCAGAAGCATTCTAAGAAACATCTTAGGGATGTTTACCTTCAAGTAACAGAGTGGAACATTCCCTTTCGCAGAGCAGGTTTGAAACAATCTTCTCGTACTATCTGGAAGTGGACATCTTGAGCTCCTTGGGGCCTATGCTGAAAAAGGAAATATCTTCCGACAAAAACTAGACAGAAGCATTCGCAGAATCACGTTTGTGATGTGTGCACTCAACTGTCAGCATTGAACCTTGGTTTGGACAGAGCACTTTTGAAACACACTTTTTGAAGGATCTGCAGGTGGATATTTGGCTAGCTTTGAGGATTTCGTTGGAAACGGTAATGTCTTCAAAGAAAATCTAGACAGAAACATTCTCAGAAACACCTTCGTGATGTTTGCAATCAAGTCACAGAGTTGAACCTTCCGTTTCATAGAGCAGGTTGGAAACACTCTTTTTGTAGTATCTGGAAGTGGACATTTGGAGTGCTTTCAGGCCTCTGGTGAAAAAGGAAATATCTTCCCATAAAAACGACATAGAAGCTATCTCAGGAACTTGTTTATGATGCATCTAATCAACTAACAGTGTTGAACCTTTGAACTGACAGAGCAGTTTGAAACACTGTTTTTTTGGAATCTGCAAGTGGATATTTGGATCGCTTTGTGGATTTCGTTGGAAACGGGATGCAATATAAAACGTGCACAGCAGCATATTCAGAAAATACTTTGCCATATTTCCATTCAAGTCACTCAGTGGAACATTCCCATTCATAGAGCAGGTTTGAAACAGTCTTTTTGGAGTATCTGGAAGTGGACATTTGGAGCGCTTTCTGAACTATGGTGAAAAAGGAAATATCTTCCAATGAAAACAAGACAGAAGCATTCTGAGAAACTTATTTGTGATGTGTGTCCTCAACAAACGGACTTGAACCTTTCGTTTCATGCAGTACTTCTGGAACACTCTTTTTGAAGATTCTGCATGCGGATATTTGGATAGCTTTGAGGATTTCGTTGGAAACGGGCTTACATGTAAAAATTAGACAGCAGCATTCTCAGAAACTTCTTTGTGGTGTCTGCATTCAAGTCACAGAATTGAACATCCCCTCACATAGAGCAGTTGTGCAGCACTCTATTTGTAGTATCTGGAAGTGGACATTTGGAGGGCTTTGTAGCCTATGTGGAAAAAGGAAATATCTTCCCATGAATGCGAGATAGAAGTAATCTCAGAAACATGTTTATGCTGTATCTACTCAACTAACTGTGCTGAACATTTCTATTGATAGAGCAGTTTTGAGACACTCTTCTTTTGGAATCTGCAAGTGGATATTTGGAGAGATTTGAGGATTTCGTTGGAAACGGGATTATATATAAAAAGTAGACAGCAGCATTCTCAGAAACTTCTTTGTGATGTTTGCATCCAGCTCTCAGAGTTGAACATTCCCTTTCATAGAGTAGGTTTGAAACCCTCTTTTTATAGTGTCTGGAAGCGGGCATTTGGAGCGCTTTCAGGCCTATGCTTAAAATAGGAAATATCTACCTACAGAAACTAGACAGAAGCATTCTGAGAATCACGTTTGTGATGTGGGTACTCAACTAACAGTGTTGATCCATTCTTTTGATACAGCAGTTTTGAACCACACTTTTTGTAGAATCTGCAAGAGGATATTTGGATAGCTGTGAGGATTTCGTTGGAAACGGGAATGTCTTCAAAGAAAATCTAGACAGAAGCATTCTCAGAAACACCTTCGTGATGTTTGCAATCAAGTCACAGAGTTGAACCTTCCGTTTCATAGAGCAGGTTGGAAACACTCTTATTGTAGTATCTGGAAGTGGACATTTGGAGCGCTTTCAGGCCTATGGTGAAAAAGGAAATATCTTCCCATAAAAACGACATAGAATCTATATCAGGAACTTGTTTATGATGCATCTAATCAACTAACAGTGTTGAACCTTTGTACTGACAGAGCAGTTTGAAACACTCTTTTTTTGGAATCTGCAAGTGGATATTTGGATCGCTTTGAGGATTTCGTTGGAAACGGGATGCAATATAAAACGTACACAGCAGCATACTCAGAAAATACTTTGCCATATTTCCATTCAAGTCACAGAGTGGAACATTCCCATTCATAGAGCAGGTTGGAAACACTCTTTTTGGAGTATCTGGAAGTGGACATTTGGAGCGCTTTCTGAACTATGGTGAAAAAGGAAATATCTTCCAATGAAAACAAGACAGAAGCATTCTGAGAAACTTATTTGTGATGTGTGTCCTCAACAAACGGACTTGAACCTTTCGTTTCATGCAGTACTTCTGGAACACTCTTTTTGAAGATTCTGCATGCGGATATTTGGATAGCTTTGAGGATTTCGTTGGAAACGGGCTTACATGTAAAAATTAGACAGCAGCATTCTCAGAAACTTCTTTGTGGTGTCTGCATTCAAGTCACAGAATTGAACTTCCCCTCACATAGAGCAGTTGTGCAGCACTCTATTTGTAGTATCTGGAAGTGGACATTTGGAGGGCTTTGTAGCCTATCTGGAAAAAGGAAATATCTTCCCATGAATGCGAGATAGAAGTAATCTCAGAAACATGTTTATGCTGTATCTACTCAACTAACTGTGCTGAACATTTCTATTGATAGAGCAGTTTTGAGACACTCTTCTTTTGGAATCTGCAAGTGGATATTTGGATAGATTTGAGGATTTCGTTGGAAACGGGATTATATATCAAAAGTAGACAGCAGCATTCTCAGAAACTTCTTTGTGATGTTTGCATCCAGCTCTCAGAGTTGAACATTCCCTTTCATAGAGTAGGTTTGAAACCCTCTTTTTATAGTGTCTGGAAGCGGGCATTTGGAGCGCTTTCACGCCTATGCTGAAAAAGGAAATATCTACCTACAGAAACTAGTCAGAAGCATTCTGAGAATCACGTTTGTGATGTGGGTACTCAACTAACAGTGTTGATCCATTCTTTTGATACAGCAGTTTTGAACCACACTTTTTGTAGAATCTGCAAGTGGATATTTGGATAGCTGTGAGGATTTCGTTGGAAACGGGAATGTCTTCATAGAAAATTAGACAGAAGCATTCTCAGAACCTTGATTGTGATGTGTGTTCTCCACTAACAGAGTTGAACCTTTCTTTTGACAGAACTGTTCTGAAACATTCTTTTTATAGAATCTGGAAGTGGATATTTGGAAAGCTTTGAGGATTTCGTTGGAAACGGGAATATCTTCAAATAAAATCTAGACAGAAGCATTCTAAGAAACATCTTAGGGATGTTTACATTCAAGTCACAGAGTTGAACATTCCCTTTCACAGAGCAGGTTTGAAACAATCTTCTCGTACTATCTGGCAGTGGACATTTTGAGCTCCTTGGGGCCTATGCTGAAAAAGGAAATATCTTCCGACAAAAACTAGACAGAAGCATTCGCAGAATCACGTTTGTGATGTGTGCACTCAACTGTCAGAATTGAACCTTGGTTTGGACAGAGCACTTTTGAAACACTCTTTTTGTAGAATCTGCAGGTGGATATTTGGCTAGCTTTGAGGATTTCGTTGGAAACGGTAATGTCTTCAAAGAAAATCTAGACAGAAGCATTCTCAGAAACACCTTCGTGATGTTTGCAATCAAGTCACAGAGTTGAACCTTCCGTTTCATAGAGCATGTTGGAAACACACTTTTTGTAGTATCTGGAACTGGACATTTGGAGGGCTTTGTAGCCTATCTGGAAAAAGGAAATATCTTCCCATGAATGCGAGATAGAAGCTATCTCAGAACTTGTTTATGATGCATCTAATCAACTAACAGTGTTGAACCTTTGTACTGACAGAGCAGTTTGAAACACTTTTTTTGGAATCTGCAAGTGGATATTTGGATCGCTTTGAGGATTTCGTTGGAAACGGGATGCAATATAAAACGTACACAGCAGCATACTCAGAAAATACTTTGCCATATTTCCATTCAAGTCACAGAGTGGAACATTCCCATTCATAGAGCAGGTTTGAAACACTCTTTTTGGAGTATCTGGAAGTGGACTTTTGGAGCGCTTTCCGAACTATGGTGAAAAAGGAAGTATCTTCCAATGAAAACAAGACAGAAGCATTCTGAGAAACTTATTTGTGATGTGTGTCCTCAACAAACGGACTTGAACCTTTCGTTTCATGCAGTACTTCTGGAACACTCTTTTTGAAGATTCTGCATGCGGATATTTGGATAGCTTTGAGGATTTCGTTGGAAACGGGCTTACATGTAAAAATTAGACAGCAGCATTCTCAGAAACTTCTTTGTGGTGTCTGCATTCAAGTCACAGAATTGAACTTCCCCTCACATAGAGCAGTTGTGCAGCACTCTATTTGTAGTATCTGGAAGTGGACATTTGGAGGGCTTTGTAGCCTATCTGGAAAAAGGAAATATCTTCCCATGAATGCGAGATAGAAGTAATCTCAGAAACATGTTTATGCTGTATCTACTCAACTAACTGTGCTGAACATTTCTATTGATAGAGTAGTTTTGAGACACTCTTCTTTTGGAATCTGCAAGTGGATATTTGGATAGATTTGAGGATTTCGTTGGAAACTCGATTATATATAAAAAGTAGACAGCAGCATTCTCAGAAACTTCTTTGTGATGTTTGCATCCAGCTCTCAGAGTTGAACATTCCCTTTCATAGAGTAGATTTGAAACCCCCTTTTTATAGTGTCTGGAAGCGGGCATTTGGAGCGCTTTCAGGCCTATGCTGAAAAAGGAAATATCTACCTACAGAAACTAGACAGAAGCATTCTGAGAATCACGTTTGTGATGTGGGTACTCAACTAACAGTGTTGATCCATTCTTTTGATACAGCAGTTTTGAACCACCCTTTTTGTAGAATCTGCAATGGATATTTGGATAGCTGTGAGGATTCGTTGGGAACGGGAATTTCTTCATAGAAAATTTAGACAGAAGCATTCTCAGAAACACCTTCGTGATGTTTGCAATCAAGTCACAGAGTTGAACCTTCCGTTTCATAGAGCAGGTTGGAAACACTCTTATTGTAGTATCTGGAAGTGGACATTTGGAGCGCTTTCAGGCCTATGGTGAAAAAGGAAATATCTTCCCATAAAAACGACATAGAAGCTATCTCAGGAACTTTTTTATGATGCATCTAATCAACTAACAGTGTTGAACCTTTGTACTGACAGAGCAGTTTGAAACACTCTTTTTTTGGAATCTGCAAGTGGATATTTGGATCGCTTTGAGGATTTCGTTGGAAACGGGATGCAATATAAAACGTACACAGCAGCATACTCAGAAAATACTTTGCCATATTTCCATTCAAGTCACAGAGTGGAACATTCCCATTCATAGAGCAGGTTGGAAACACTCTTTTTGGAGTATCTGGAAGTGGACATTTGGAGCGCTTTCTGAACTATGGTGAAAAAGGAAATATCTTCCAATGAAAACAAGACAGAAGCATTCTGAGAAACTTATTTGTGATGTGTGTCCTCAACAAACGGACTTGAACCTTTCGTTTCATGCAGTACTTCTGGAACACTCTTTTTGAAGATTCTGCATGCGGATATTTGGATAGCTTTGAGGATTTCGTTGGAAACGGGCTTACATGTAAAAATTAGACAGCAGCATTCTCAGAAACTTCTTTGTGGTGTCTGCATTCAAGTCACAGAATTGAACTTCCCCTCACATAGAGCAGTTGTGCAGCACTCTATTTGTAGTATCTGGAAGTGGACATTTGGAGGGCTTTGTAGCCTATCTGGAAAAAGGAAATATCTTCCCATGAATGCGAGATAGAAGTAATCTCAGAAACATGTTTATGCTGTATCTACTCAACTAACTGTGCTGAACATTTCTATTGATAGAGCAGTTTTGAGACACTCTTCTTTTGGAATCTGCAAGTGGATATTTGGATAGATTTGAGGATTTCGTTGGAAACGGGATTATATATAAAAAGTAGACAGGAGCATTCTCAGAAACTTCTTTGTGATGTTTGCATCCAGCTCTCAGAGTTGAACATTCCCTTTCATAGAGTAGGTTTGAAACCCTCTTTTTATAGTGTCTGGAAGCGGGCATTTGGAGCGCTTTCAGGCCTATGCTTAAAATAGGAAATATCTACCTATAGAAACTAGACAGAAGCATTCTGAGAATCACGTTTGTGATGTGGGTACTCAACTAACAGTGTTGATCCATTCTTTTGATACAGCAGTTTTGAACCACACTTTTTGTAGAATCTGCAAGAGGATATTTGGATAGCTGTGAGGATTTCGTTGGAAACGGGAATGTCTTCAAAGAAAATCTAGACAGAAGCATTCTCAGAAACACCTTCGTGATGTTTGCAATCAAGTCACAGAGTTGAACCTTCCGTTTCATAGAGCAGGTTGGAAACACTCTTATTGTAGTATCTGGAAGGGGACATTTGGAGCGCTTTCAGGCCTATGGTGAAAAAGGAAATATCTTCCCATAAAAACGACATAGAAGCTGTCTCAGGAACTTGTTTATGATGCATCTAATCAACTAACAGTGTTGAACCTTTGTACTGACAGAGCAGTTTGAAACACTCTTTTTTTGGAATCTGCAAGTGGATATTTGGATCGCTTTGAGGATTTCGTTGGAAACGGGATGCAATATAAAACGTACACAGCAGCATACTCAGAAAATACTTTGCCATATTTCCATTCAAGTCACAGAGTGGAACATTCCCATTCATAGAGCAGGTTTGAAACACTCTTTTTGGAGTATCTGGAAGTGGACATTTGGAGCGCTTTCTGAACTATGGTGAAAAAGGAAATATCTTCCAATGAAAACAAGACAGAAGCATTCTGAGAAACTTATTTGTGATGTGTGTCCTCAACAAACGGACTTGAACCTTTCGTTTCATGCAGTACTTCTGGAACACTCTTTTTGAAGATTCTGCATGCGGATATTTGGATAGCTTTGAGGATTTCGTTGGAAACGGGCTTACATGTAAAAATTAGACAGCAGCATTCTCAGAAACTTCTTTGTGGTGTCTGCATTCAAGTCACAGAATTGAACATCCCCTCACATAGAGCAGTTGTGCAGCACTCTATTTGTAGTATCTGGAAGTGGACATTTGGAGGGCTTTGTAGCCTATCTGGAAAAAGGAAATATCTTCCCATGAATGCGAGATAGAAGTAATCTCAGAAACATGTTTATGCTGTATCTACTCAACTAACTGTGCTGAACATTTCTATTGATAGAGCAGTTTTGAGACACTCTTCTTTTGGAATCTGCAAGTGGATATTTGGATAGATTTGAGGATTTCGTTGGAAACGGGATTATATATAAAAAGTAGACAGCAGCATTCTCAGAAACTTCTTTGTGATGTTTGCATCCAGCTCTCAGAGTTGAACATTCTCTTTCATAGAGTAGGTTTGAAACCCTCTTTTTATAGTGTCTGGAAGCGGGCATTTGGAGCGCTTTCAGGCCTATGCTGAAAAAGGAAATATCTACCTATAGAAACTAGACAGAAGCATTCTGAGAATCACGTTTGTGATGTGGGTACTCAACTAACAGTGTTGATCCATTCTTTTGATACAGCAGTTTTGAACCACACTTTTTGTAGAATCTGCAAGTGGATATTTGGATAGCTGTGAGGATTTCGTTGGAAACGGGAATGTCTTCATAGAAAATTTAGACAGAAAAAGGGCATTCTCAGAACCTTGATTGTGATGTGTGTTCTCCACTAACAGAGCTGAACCTTTCTTTTGACAGAACTGTTCTGAAACATTCTTTTTATAGAATCTGGAAGTGGATATTTGGAAAGCTTTGAGGATTTCGTTGGAAACGGGAATATCTTCAAATCAAATCTAGCCAGAAGCATTCTAAGAAACATCTTAGGGATGTTTACATTCAAGTCACAGAGTTGAACATTCCCTTTCACAGAGCAGGTTTGAAACAATCTTCTCGTACTATCTGGCAGTGGACATTTTGAGCTCCTTGGGGCCTATGCTGAAAAAGGAAATATCTTCCGACAAAAACTAGACAGAAGCATTCGCAGAATCACGTTTGTGATGTGTGCACTCAACTGTCAGAATTGAACCTTGGTTTGGACAGAGCACTTTTGAAACACTCTTTTTGTAGAATCTGCAGGTGGATATTTGGCTAGCTTTGAGGATTTCGTTGGAAACGGTAATGTCTTCAAAGAAAATCTAGACAGAAGCATTCTCAGAAACACCTTCGTGATGTTTGCAATCAAGTCACAGAGTTGAACCTTCCGTTTCATAGAGCAGGTTGGAAACACTCTTTTTGTAGTATCTGGAAGTGGACATTTGGAGGGCTTTGTAGCCTATCTGGAAAAAGGAAATATCTTCCCATGAATGCGAGATAGAAGTAATCTCAGAAACATGTTTATGCTGTATCTACTCAACTAACTGTGCTGAACATTTCTATTGATAGAGCAGTTTTGAGACACTCTTCTTTTGGAATCTGCAAGTGGATATTTGGATAGATTTGAGGATTTCGTTGGAAACGGGATTATATATAAAAAGTAGACAGCAGCATTCTCAGAAACTTCTTTGTGATGTTTGCATCCAGCTCTCAGAGTTGAACATTCCCTTTCATAGAGTAGGTTTGAAACCCTCTTTTTATAGTGTCTGGAAGCGGGCATTTGGAGCGCTTTCAGGCCTATGCTGAAAAAGGAAATATCTACCTATAGAAACTAGACAGAAGCATTCTGAGAATCACGTTTGTGATGTGGGTACTCAACTAACAGTGTTGATCCATTCTTTTGATACAGCAGTTTTGAACCACACTTTTTGTAGAATCTGCAAGTGGATATTTGGATAGCTGTGAAGATTTCGTTGGAAACGGGAATGTCTTCATAGAAAATTTAGACAGAAGCATTCTCAGAACCTTGATTGTGATGTGTGTTCTCCACTAACAGAGTTGAACCTTTCTTTTGACAGAACTGTTCTGAAACATTCTTTTTATAGAATCTGGAAGTGGATATTTGGAAAGCTTTGAGGATTTCGTTGGAAACGGGAATATCTTCAAATCAAATCTAGCCAGAAGCATTCTAAGAAACAACTTAGGGATGTTTACATTCAAGTCACAGAGTTGAACATTCCCTTTCACAGAGCAGGTTTGAAACAATCTTCTCGTACTATCTGGAAGTGGACATTTTGAGCTCCTTGGGGCCTATGCTGAAAAAGGAAATATCTTCCGACAAAAACTAGACAGAAGCATTCGCAGAATCACGTTTGTGATGTGTGCACTCAACTGTCAGAATTGAACCTTGGTTTGGACAGAGCACTTTTGAAACACTCTTTTTGTAGAATCTGCAGGTGGATATTTGGCTAGCTTTGAGGATTTCGTTGGAAACGGTAATGTCTTCAAAGAAAATCTAGACAGAAGCATTCTCAGAAACACCTTCGTGATGTTTGCAATCAAGTCACAGAGTTGAACCTTCCGTTTCATAGAGCAGGTTGGAAACACTCTTTTTGTAGTATCTGGAAGTGGACATTTGGAGGGCTTTGTAGCCTATCTGGAAAAAGGAAATATCTTCCCATGAATGCGAGATAGAAGTAATCTCAGAAACATGTTTATGCTGTATCTACTCAACTAACTGTGCTGAACATTTCTATTGATAGAGCAGTTTTGAGACACTCTTCTTTTGGAATCTGCAAGTGGATATTTGGATAGATTTGAGGATTTCGTTGGAAACGGGATTATATATAAAAAGTAGACAGCAGCATTCTCAGAAACTTCTTTGTGATGTTTGCATCCAGCTCTCAGAGTTGAACATTCCCTTTCATAGAGTAGGTTTGAAACCCTCTTTTTATAGTGTCTGGAAGCGGGCATTTGGAGCGCTTTCAGGCCTATGCTTAAAATAGGAAATATCTACCTACAGAAACTAGACAGAAGCATTCTGAGAATCACGTTTGTGATGTGGGTACTCAACTAACAGTGTTGATCCATTCTTTTGATACAGCAGTTTTGAACCACACTTTTTGTAGAATCTGCAAGAGGATATTTGGATAGCTGTGAGGATTTCGTTGGAAACGGGAATGTCTTCAAAGAAAATCTAGACAGAAGCATTCTCAGAAACACCTTCGTGATGTTTGCAATCAAGTCACAGAGTTGAACCTTCCGTTTCATAGAGCAGGTTGGAAACACTCTTATTGTAGTATCTGGAAGTGGACATTTGGAGCGCTTTCAGGCCTATGGTGAAAAAGGAAATATCTTCCCATAAAAACGACATAGAAGCTATCTCAGGAACTTGTTTATGATGCATCTAATCAACTAACAGTGTTGAACCTTTGTACTGACAGAGCAGTTTGAAACACTCTTTTTTTGGAATCTGCAAGTGGATATTTGGATCGCTTTGAGGATTTCGTTGGAAACGGGATGCAATATAAAACGTACACAGCAGCATACTCAGAAAATACTTTGCCATATTTCCATTCAAGTCACAGAGTGGAACATTCCCATTCATAGCGCAGGTTGGAAACACTCTTTTTGGAGTATCTGGAAGTGGACATTTGGAGCGCTTTCTGAACTATGGTGAAAAAGGAAATATCTTCCAATGAAAACAAGACAGAAGCATTCTGAGAAACTTATTTGTGATGTGTGTCCTCAACAAACGGACTTGAACCTTTCGTTTCATGCAGTACTTCTGGAACACTCTTTTTGAAGATTCTGCATGCGGATATTTGGATAGCTTTGAGGATTTCGTTGGAAACGGGCTTACATGTAAAAATTAGACAGCAGCATTCTCAGAAACTTCTTTGTGGTGTCTGCATTCAAGTCACAGAATTGAACTTCCCCTCACATAGAGCAGTTGTGCAGCACTCTATTTGTAGTATCTGGAAGTGGACATTTGGAGGGCTTTGTAGCCTATCTGGAAAAAGGAAATATCTTCCCATGAATGCGAGATAGAAGTAATCTCAGAAACATGTTTATGCTGTATCTACTCAACTAACTGTGCTGAACATTTCTATTGATAGAGCAGTTTTGAGACACTCTTCTTTTGGAATCTGCAAGTGGATATTTGGATAGATTTGAGGATTTCGTTGGAAACGGGATTATATATAAAAAGTAGACAGCAGCATTCTCAGAAACTTCTTTGTGATGTTTGCATCCAGCTCTCAGAGTTGAACATTCCCTTTCATAGAGTAGGTTTGAAACCCTCTTTTTATAGTGTCTAGAAGCGGGCATTTGGAGCGCTTTCAGGCCTATGCTTAAAATAGGAAATATCTACCTACAGAAACTAGACAGAAGCATTCTGAGAATCACGTTTGTGATGTGGGTACTCAACTAACAGTGTTGATCCATTCTTTTGATACAGCAGTTTTGAACCACACTTTTTGTAGAATCTGCAAGAGGATATTTGGATAGCTGTGAGGATTTCGTTGGAAACGGGAATGTCTTCAAAGAAAATCTAGACAGAAGCATTCTCAGAAACACCTTCGTGATGTTTGCAATCAAGTCACAGAGTTGAACCTTCCGTTTCATAGAGCAGGTTGGAAACACTCTTATTGTAGTATCTGGAAGTGGACATTTGGAGCGCTTTCAGGCCTATGGTGAAAAAGGAAATATCTTCCCATAAAAACGACATAGAAGCTATCTCAGGAACTTGTTTATGATGCATCTAATCAACTAACAGTGTTGAACCTTTGTACTGACAGAGCAGTTTGAAACACTCTTTTTTTGGAATCTGCAAGTGGATATTTGGATCGCTTTGAGGATTTCGTTGGAAACGGGATGCAATATAAAACGTACACAGCAGCATACTCAGAAAATACTTTGCCATATTTCCATTCAAGTCACAGAGTGGAACATTCCCATTCATAGAGCAGGTTTGAAACACTCTTTTTGGAGTATCTGGAAGTGGACATTTGGAGCGCTTTCTGAACTATGGTGAAAAAGGAAATATCTTCCAATGAAAACAAGACAGAAGCATTCTGAGAAACTTATTTGTGATGTGTGTCCTCAACAAACGGACTTGAACCTTTCGTTTCATGCAGTACTTCTGGAACACTCTTTTTGAAGATATTGCATGCGGATATTTGGATAGCTTTGAGGATTTCGTTGGAAACGGGCTTACATGTAAAAATTAGACAGCAGCATTCTCAGAAACTTCTTTGTGGTGTCTGCATTCAAGTCACAGAATTGAACATCCCCTCACATAGAGCAGTTGTGCAGCACTCTATTTGTAGTATCTGGAAGTGGACATTTGGAGGGCTTTGTAGCCTATGTGGAAAAAGGAAATATCTTCCCATGAATGCGAGATAGAAGTAATCTCAGAAACATGTTTATGCTGTACCTACTCAACTAACTGTGCTGAACATTTCTATTGATAGAGCAGTTTTGAGACACTCTTCTTTTGGAATCTGCAAGTGGATATTTGGATAGATTTGAGGATTTCGTTGGAAACGGGATTATATATAAAAAGTAGACAGCAGCATTCTCAGAAACTTCTTTGTGATGTTTGCATCCAGCTCTCAGAGTTGAACATTCCCTTTCATAGAGTAGGTTTGAAACCCTCTTTTTATAGTGTCTGGAAGCGGGCATTTGGAGCGCTTTCAGGCCTATGCTGAAAAAGGAAATATCTACCTATAGAAACTAGACAGAAGCATTCTGAGAATCACGTTTGTGATGTGGGTACTCAACTAACAGTGTTGATCCATTCTTTTGATACAGCAGTTTTGAACCACACTTTTTGTAGAATCTGCAAGTGGATATTTGGATAGCTGTGAGGATTTCGTTGGAAACGGGAATGTCTTCATAGAAAATTTAGACAGAAGCATTCTCAGAACCTTGATTGTGATGTGTGTTCTCCACTAACAGAGTTGAACCTTTCTTTTGACAGAACTGTTCTGAAACATTCTTTTTATAGAATCTGGAAGTGGATATTTGGAAAGCTTTGAGGATTTCGTTGGAAACGGGAATATCTTCAAATCAAATCTAGCCAGAAGCATTCTAAGAAACATCTTAGGGATGTTTACATTCAAGTCACAGAGTTGAACATTCCCTTTCACAGAGCAGGTTTGAAACAATCTTCTCGTACTATCTGGCAGTGGACATTTTGAGCTCCTTGGGGCCTATGCTGAAAAAGGAAATATCTTCCGACAAAAACTAGACAGAAGCATTCGCAGAATCACGTTTGTGATGTGTGCACTCAACTGTCAGAATTGAACCTTGGTTTGGACAGAGCACTTTTGAAACACTCTTTTTGTAGAATCTGCAGGTGGATATTTGGCTAACTTTGAGGATTTCGTTGGAAACGGTAATGTCTTCAAAGAAAATCTAGACAGAAGCATTCTCAGAAACACCTTCGTGATGTTTGCAATCAAGTCACAGAGTTGAACCTTCCGTTTCATAGAGCAGGTTGGAAACACTCTTTTTGTAGTATCTGGAAGTGGACATTTGGAGGGCTTTGTAGCCTATGTGGAAAAAGGAAATATCTTCCCATGAATGCGAGATAGAAGTAATCTCAGAAACATGTTTATGCTGTATCTACTCAACTAACTGTGCTGAACATTTCTATTGATAGAGCAGTTTTGAGACACTCTTCTTTTGGAATCTGCAAGTGGATATTTGGATAGATTTGAGGATTTCGTTGGAAACGGGATTATATATCAAAAGTAGACAGCAGCATTCTCAGAAACTTCTTTGTGATGTTTGCATCCAGCTCTCAGAGTTGAACATTCCCTTTCATAGAGTAGGTTTGAAACCCTCTTTTTATAGTGTCTGGAAGCGGGCATTTGGAGCGCTTTCAGGCCTATGCTGAAAAAGGAAATATCTACCTATGGAAACTAGACAGAAGCATTCTGAGAATCACGTTTGTGATGTGGGTACTCAACTAACAGTGTTGATCCATTCTTTTGATACAGCAGTTTTGAACCACACTTTTTGTAGAATCTGCAAGTGGATATTTGGATAGCTGTGAGGATTTCGTTGGAAACGGGAATGTCTTCATAGAAAATTTAGACAGAAGCATTCTCAGAACCTTGATTGTGAAGTGTGTTCCCCACTAACAGAGTTGAACCTTTCTTTTGACAGAACTGTTCTGAAACATTCTTGTTATAGAATCTGGAAGTGGATATTTGGAAAGCTTTGAGGATTTCGTTGGAAACGGGAATATCTTCAAATCAAATCTAGCCGGAAGCATTCTAAGAAACATCTTAGGGATGTTTACATTCAAGTCACAGAGTTGAACATTCCCTTTCACAGAGCAGGTTTGAAACAATCTTCTCGTACTATCTGGCAGTGGACATTTTGAGCTCCTTGGGGCCTATGCTGAAAAAGGAAATATCTTCCGACAAAAACTAGACAGAAGCATTCGCAGAATCACGTTTGTGATGTGTGCACTCAACTGTCAGAATTGAACCTTGGTTTGGACAGAGCACTTTTGAAACACTCTTTTTGTAGAATCTGCAGGTGGATATTTGGCTAGCTTTGAGGATTTCGTTGGAAACGGTAATGTCTTCAAAGAAAATCTAGACAGAAGCATTCTCAGAAACACCTTCGTGATGTTTGCAATCAAGTCACAGAGTTGAACCTTCCGTTTCATAGAGCAGGTTGGAAACACTCTTTTTGTAGTATCTGGAAGTGGACATTTGGAGGGCTTTGTAGCCTATGTGGAAAAAGGAAATATCTTCCCATGAATGCGAGATAGAAGTAATCTCAGAAACATGTTTATGCTGTATCTACTCAACTAACTGTGCTGAACATTTCTATTGATAGAGCAGTTTTGAGACACTCTTCTTTTGGAATCTGCAAGTGGATATTTGGATAGATTTGAGGATTTCGTTGGAAACGGGATTATATATCAAAAGTAGACAGCAGCATTCTCAGAAACTTCTTTGTGATGTTTGCATCCAGCTCTCAGAGTTGAACATTCCCTTTCATAGAGTAGGTTTGAAACCCTCTTTTTATAGTGTCTGGAAGCGGGCATTTGGAGCGCTTTCAGGCCTATGCTGAAAAAGGAAATATCTACCTATGGAAACTAGACAGAAGCATTCTGAGAATCACGTTTGTGATGTGGGTACTCAACTAACAGTGTTGATCCATTCTTTTGATACAGCAGTTTTGAACCACACTTTTTGTAGAATCTGCAAGTGGATATTTGGATAGCTGTGAGGATTTCGTTGGAAACGGGAATGTCTTCATAGAAAATTTAGACAGAAGCATTCTCAGAACCTTGATTGTGATGTGTGTTCTCCACTAACAGAGTTGAACCTTTCTTTTGACAGAACTGTTCTGAAACATTCTTTTTATAGAATCTGGAAGTGGATATTTGGAAAGCTTTGAGGATTTCGTTGGAAACGGGAATATCTTCAAATCAAATCTAGCCAGAAGCATTCTAAGAAACATCTTAGGGATGTTTACATTCAAGTCACAGAGTTGAACATTCCCTTTCACAGAGCAGGTTTGAAACAATCTTCTCGTACTATCTGGCAGTGGACATTTTGAGCTGCCTTGGGGCCTATGCTGAAAAAGGAAATATCTTCTGACAAAAACTAGACAGAAGCATTCGCAGAATCACGTTTGTGATGTGTGCACTCAACTGTCAGAATTGAACCTTGGTTTGGAGAGAGCACTTTTGAAACACTCTTTTTGTAGAATCTGCAGGTGGATATTTGGCTAGCTTTGAGGATTTCGTTGGAAACGGTAATGTCTTCAAAGAAAATCTAGACAGAAGCATTCTCAGAAACACCTTCGTGATGTTTGCAATCAAGTCACAGAGTTGAACCTTCCGTTTCATAGAGCAGGTTGGAAACACACTTTTTGTAGTATCTGGAAGTGGACATTTGGAGGGCTTTGTAGCCTATCTGGAAAAAGGAAATATCTTCCCATGAATGCGAGATAGAAGTAATCTCAGAAACATGTTTATGCTGTATCTACTCAACTAACTGTGCTGAACATTTCTATTGATAGAGCAGTTTTGAGACACTCTTCTTTTGGAATCTGCAAGTGGATATTTGGATAGATTTGAGGATTTCGTTGGAAACGGGATTATATATAAAAAGTAGACAGCAGCATTCTCAGAAACTTCTTTGTGATGTTTGCATCCAGCTCTCAGAGTTGAACATTCCCTTTCATAGAGTAGGTTTGAAACCCTCTTTTTATAGTGTCTGGAAGCGGGCATTTGGAGCGCTTTCAGGCCTATGCTTAAAATAGGAAATATCTACCTACAGAAACTAGACAGAAGCATTCTGAGAATCACGTTTGTGATGTGGGTACTCAACTAACAGTGTTGATCCATTCTTTTGATACAGCAGTTTTGAACCACACTTTTTGTAGAATCTGCAAGAGGATATTTGGATAGCTGTGAGGATTTCGTTGGAAACGGGAATGTCTTCAAAGAAAATCTAGACAGAAGCATTCTCAGAAACACCTTCGTGATGTTTGCAATCAAGTCACAGAGTTGAACCTTCCGTTTCATAGAGCAGGTTGGAAACACTCTTATTGTAGTATCTGGAAGTGGACATTTGGAGCGCTTTCAGGCCTATGGTGAAAAAGGAAATATCTTCCCATAAAAACGACATAGAAGCTATCTCAGGAACTTGTTTATGATGCATCTAATCAACTAACAGTGTTGAACCTTTGTACTGACAGAGCACTTTGAAACACTCTTTTTTTGGAATCTGCAAGTGGATATTTGGATCGCTTTGAGGATTTCGTTGGAAACGGGATGCAATATAAAACGTACACAGCAGCATACTCAGAAAATACTTTGCCATATTTCCATTCAAGTCACAGACTGGAACATTCCCATTCATAGAGCAGGTTGGAAACACTCTTTTTGGAGTATCTGGAAGTGGACATTTGGAGCGCTTTCTGAACTATGGTGAAAAAGGAAATATCTTCCAATGAAAACAAGACAGAAGCATTCTGAGAAACTTATTTGTGATGTGTGTCCTCAACAAACGGACTTGAACCTTTCGTTTCATGCAGTACTTCTGGAACACTCTTTTTGAAGATTCTGCATGCGGATATTTGGATAGCTTTGAGGATTTCGTTGGAAACGGGCTTACATGTAAAAATTAGACAGCAGCATTCTCAGAAACTTCTTTGTGGTGTCTGCATTCAAGTCACAGAATTGAACTTCCCCTCACATAGAGCAGTTGTGCAGCACTCTATTTGTAGTATCTGGAAGTGGACATTTGGAGGGCTTTGTAGCCTATCTGGAAAAAGGAAATATCTTCCCATGAATGCGAGATAGAAGTAATCTCAGAAACATGTTTATGCTGTATCTACTCAACTAACTGTGCTGAACATTTCTATTGATAGAGCAGTTTTGAGACACTCTTCTTTTGGAATCTGCAAGTGGATATTTGGATAGATTTGAGGATTTCGTTGGAAACGGGATTATATATCAAAAGTAGACAGCAGCATTCTCAGAAACTTCTTTGTGATGTTTGCATCCAGCTCTCAGAGTTGAACATTCCCTTTCATAGAGTAGGTTTGAAACCCTCTTTTTATAGTGTCTGGAAGCGGGCATTTGGAGCGCTTTCAGGCCTATGCTTAAAATAGGAAATATCTACCTATAGAAACTAGACAGAAGCATTCTGAGAATCACGTTTGTGATGTGGGTACTCAACTAACAGTGTTGATCCATTCTTTTGATACAGCAGTTTTGAACCACACTTTTTGTAGAATCTGCAAGTGGATATTTGGATAGCTGTGAGGATTTCGTTGGAAACGGGAATGTCTTCATAGAAAATTTAGACAGAAGCATTCTCAGAACCTTGATTGTGATGTGTGTTCTCCACTAACAGAGTTGAACCTTTCTTTTGACAGAACTGTTCTGAAACATTCTTTTTATAGAATCTGGAAGTGGATATTTGGAAAGCTTTGAGGATTTCGTTGGAAACGGGAATATCTTCAAATCAAATCTAGCCAGAAGCATTCTAAGAAACATCTTAGGGATGTTTACATTCAAGTCACAGAGTTGAACATTCCCTTTCACAGAGCAGGTTTGAAACAATCTTCTCGTACTATCTGGCAGTGGACATTTTGAGCTCCTTGGGGCCTATGCTGAAAAAGGAAATATCTTCCGACAAAAACTAGACAGAAGCATTCGCAGAATCACGTTTGTGATGTGTGCACTCAACTGTCAGAATTGAACCTTGGTTTGGACAGAGCACTTTTGAAACACTCTTTTTGTAGAATCTGCAGGTGGATATTTGGCTAGCTTTGAGGATTTCGTTGGAAACGGTAATGTCTTCAAAGAAAATCTAGACAGAAGCATTCTCAGAAACACCTTCGTGATGTTTGCAATCAAGTCACAGAGTTGAACCTTCCGTTTCATAGAGCAGGTTGGAAACACTCTTTTTGTAGTATCTGGAAGTGGACATTTGGAGGGCTTTGTAGCCTATCTGGAAAAAGGAAATATCTTCCCATGAATGCGAGATAGAAGTAATCTCAGAAACATGTTTATGCTGTATCTACTCAACTAACTGTGCTGAACATTTCTATTGATAGAGCAGTTTTGAGACACTCTTCTTTTGGAATCTGCAAGTGGATATTTGGATAGATTTGAGGATTTCGTTGGAAACGGGATTATATATCAAAAGTAGACAGCAAGCATTCTCAGAAACTTCTTTGTGATGTTTGCATCCAGCTCTCAGAGTTGAACATTCCCTTTCATAGAGTAGGTTTGAAACCCTCTTTTTATAGTGTCTGGAAGCGGTCATTTGGAGCGCTTTCAGGCCTATGCTGAAAAAGGAAATATCTACCTATAGAAACTAGACAGAAGCATTCTGAGAATCACGTTTGTGATGTGGGTACTCAACTAACAGTGTTGATCCATTCTTTTGATACAGCAGTTTTGAACCACACTTTTTGTAGAATCTGCAAGTGGATATTTGGATAGCTGTGAGGATTTCGTTGGAAACGGGAATGTCTTCATAGAAAATTTAGACAGAAGCATTCTCAGAACCTTGATTGTGATGTGTGTTCTCCACTAACAGAGTTGAACCTTTCTTTTGACAGAACTGTTCTGAAACATTCTTTTTATAGAATCTGGAAGTGGATATTTGGAAAGCTTTGAGGATTTCGTTGGAAACGGGAATATCTTCAAATAAAATCTAGCCAGAAGCATTCTAAGAAACATCTTAGGGATGTTTACATTCAAGTCACAGAGTTGAACATTCCCTTTCACAGAGCAGGTTTGAAACAATCTTCTCGTACTATCTGGCAGTGGACATTTTGAGCTCCTTGGGGCCTATGCTGAAAAAGGAAATATCTTCCGACAAAAACTAGACAGAAGCATTCGCAGAATCACGTTTGTGATGTGTGCACTCAACTGTCAGAATTGAACCTTGGTTTGGACAGAGCACTTTTGAAACACTCTTTTTGTAGAATCTGCAGGTGGATATTTGGCTACTTTGAGGATTTCGTTGGAAACGGTAATGTCTTCAAAGAAAATCTAGACAGAAGCATTCTCAGAAACACCTTCGTGATGTTTGCAATCAAGTCACAGAGTTGAACCTTCCGTTTCATAGAGCAGGTTGGAAACACTCTTTTTGTAGTATCTGGAAGTGGACATTTGGAGGGCTTTGTAGCCTATCTGGAAAAAGGAAATATCTTCCCATGAATGCGAGATAGAAGTAATCTCAGAAACATGTTTATGCTGTATCTACTCAACTAACTGTGCTGAACATTTCTATTGATAGAGCAGTTTTGAGACACTCTTCTTTTGGAATCTGCAAGTGGATATTTGGATAGATTTGAGGATTTCGTTGGAAACGGGATTATATATAAAAAGTAGACAGCAGCATTCTCAGAAACTTCTTTGTGATGTTTGCATCCAGCTCTCAGAGTTGAACATTCCCTTTCATAGAGTAGGTTTGAAACCCTCTTTTTATAGTGTCTGGAAGCGGGCATTTGGAGCGCTTTCAGGCCTATGCTTAAAATAGGAAATATCTACCTACAGAAACTAGACAGAAGCATTCTGAGAATCACGTTTGTGATGTGGGTACTCAACTAACAGTGTTGATCCATTCTTTTGATACAGCAGTTTTGAACCACACTTTTTGTAGAATCTGCAAGAGGATATTTGGATAGCTGTGAGGATTTCGTTGGAAACGGGAATGTCTTCAAAGAAAATCTAGACAGAAGCATTCTCAGAAACACCTTCGTGATGTTTGCAATCAAGTCACAGAGTTGAACCTTTCGTTTCATAGAGCAGGTTGGAAACACTCTTATTGTAGTATCTGGAAGTGGACATTTGGAGCGCTTTCAGGCCTATGGTGAAAAAGGAAATATCTTCCCATAAAAACGACATAGAAGCTATCTCAGGAACTTGTTTATGATGCATCTAATCAACTAACAGTGTTGAACCTTTGTACTGACAGAGCAGTTTGAAACACTCTTTTTTTGGAATCTGCAAGTGGATATTTGGATCGCTTTGAGGATTTCGTTGGAAACGGGATGCAATATAAAACGTACACAGCAGCATACTCAGAAAATACTTTGCCATATTTCCATTCAAGTCACAGAGTGGAACATTCCCATTCATAGAGCAGGTTTGAAACACTCTTTTTGGAGTATCTGGAAGTGGACATTTGGAGCGCTTTCTGAACTATGGTGAAAAAGGAAATATCTTCCAATGAAAACAAGACAGAAGCATTCTGAGAAACTTATTTGTGATGTGTGTCCTCAACAAACGGACTTGAACCTTTCGTTTCATGCAGTACTTCTGGAACACTCTTTTTGAAGATTCTGCATGCGGATATTTGGATAGCTTTGAGGATTTCGTTGGAAACGGGCTTACATGTAAAAATTAGACAGCAGAATTCTCAGAAACTTCTTTGTGGTGTCTGCATTCAAGTCACAGAATTGAACTTCCCCTCACATAGAGCAGTTGTGCAGCACTCTATTTGTAGTATCTGGAAGTGGACATTTGGAGGGCTTTGTAGCCTATCTGGAAAAAGGAAATATCTTCCCATGAATGCGAGATAGAAGTAATCTCAGAAACATGTTTATGCTGTATCTACTCAACTAACTGTGCTGAACATTTCTATTGATAGAGCAGTTTTGAGACACTCTTCTTTTGGAATCTGCAAGTGGATATTTGGATAGATTTGAGGATTTCGTTGGAAACGGGATTATATATAAAAAGTAGACAGCAGCATTCTCAGAAACTTCTTTGTGATGTTTGCATCCAGCTCTCAGAGTTGAACATTCCCTTTCATAGAGTAGGTTTGAAACCCTCTTTTTATAGTGTCTGGAAGCGGGCATTTGGAGCGCTTTCAGGTCTATGCTTAAAATAGGAAATATCTACCTACAGAAACTAGACAGAAGCATTCTGAGAATCACGTTTGTGATGTGGGTACTCAACTAACAGTGTTGATCCATTCTTTTGATACAGCAGTTTTGAACCACACTTTTTGTAGAATCTGCAAGAGGATATTTGGATAGCTGTGAGGATTTCGTTGGAAACGGGAATGTCTTCAAAGAAAATCTAGACAGAAGCATTCTCAGAAACACCTTCGTGATGTTTGCAATCAAGTCACAGAGTTGAACCTTCCGTTTCATAGAGCAGGTTGGAAACACTCTTATTGTAGTATCTGGAAGTGGACATTTGGAGCGCTTTCAGGCCTATGGTGAAAAAGGAAATATCTTCCCATAAAAACGACATAGAAGCTATCTCAGGAACTTGTTTATGATGCATCTAATCAACTAACAGTGTTGAACCTTTGTACTGACAGAGCAGTTTGAAACACTCTTTTTTTGGAATCTGCAAGTGGATATTTGGATCGCTTTGAGGATTTCGTTGGAAACGGGATGCAATATAAAACGTACACAGCAGCATACTCAGAAAATACTTTGCCATATTTCCATTCAAGTCACAGAGTGGAACATTCCCATTCATAGAGCAGGTTTGAAACACTCTTTTTGGAGTATCTGGAAGTGGACATTTGGAGCGCTTTCTGAACTATGGTGAAAAAGGAAATATCTTCCAATGAAAACAAGACAGAAGCATTCTGAGAAACTTATTTGTGATGTGTGTCCTCAACAAACGGACTTGAACCTTTCGTTTCATGCAGTACTTCTGGAACACTCTTTTTGAAGATTCTGCATGCGGATATTTGGATAGCTTTGAGGATTTCATTGGAAACGGGCTTACATGTAAAAATTAGACAGCAGCATTCTCAGAAACTTCTTTGTGGTGTCTGCATTCAAGTCACAGAATTGAACTTCCCCTCACATAGAGCAGTTGTGCAGCACTCTATTTGTAGTATCTCGAAGTGGACATTTGGAGGGCTTTGTAGCCTATCTGGAAAAAGGAAATATCTTCCCATGAATGCGAGATAGAAGTAATCTCAGAAACATGTTTATGCTGTATCTACTCAACTAACTGTGCTGAACATTTCTATTGATAGAGCAGTTTTGAGACACTCTTCTTTTGGAATCTGCAAGTGGATATTAGGATAGATTTGAGGATTTCGTTGGAAACGGGATTATATATCAAAAGTAGACAGCAGCATTCTCAGAAACTTCTTTGTGATGTTTGCATCCAGCTCTCAGAGTTGAACATTCCCTTTCATAGAGTAGGTTTGAAACCCTCTTTTTATAGTGTCTGGAAGCGGGCATTTGGAGCGCTTTCAGGCCTATGCTGAAAAAGGAAATATCTACCTATAGAAACTAGACAGAAGCATTCTGAGAATCACGTTTGTGATGTGGGTACTCAACTAACAGTGTTGATCCATTCTTTTGATACAGCAGTTTTGAACCACACTTTTTGTAGAATCTGCAAGTGGATATTTGGATAGCTGTGAGGATTTCCTTGGAAACGGGAATGTCTTCATAGAAAATTTAGACAGAAGCATTCTCAGAACCTTGATTGTGATGTGTGTTCTCCACTAACAGAGTTGAACCTTTCTTTTGACAGAACTGTTCTGAAACATTCTTTTTATAGAATCTGGAAGTGGATATTTGGAAAGCTTTGAGGATTTCGTTGGAAACGGGAATATCTTCAAATAAAATCTAGCCAGAAGCATTCTAAGAAACATCTTAGGGATGTTTACATTCAAGTCACAGAGTTGAACATTCCCTTTCACAGAGCAGGTTTGAAACAATCTTCTCGTACTATCTGGCAGTGGACATTTTGAGCTCCTTGGGGCCTATGCTGAAAAAGGAAATATCTTCCGACAAAAACTAGACAGAAGCATTCGCAGAATCACGTTTGTGATGTGTGCACTCAACTGTCAGAATTGAACCTTGGTTTGGACAGAGCACTTTTGAAACACTCTTTTTGTAGAATCTGCAGGTGGATATTTGGCTAGCTTTGAGGATTTCGTTGGAAACGGTAATGTCTTCAAAGAAAATCTAGACAGAAGCATTCTCAGAAACACCTTCGTGATGTTTGCAATCAAGTCACAGAGTTGAACCTTCCGTTTCATAGAGCAGGTTGGAAACACACTTTTTGTAGTATCTGGAAGTGGACATTTGGAGGGCTTTGTAGCCTATCTGGAAAAAGGAAATATCTTCCCATGAATGCGAGATAGAAGTAATCTCAGAAACATGTTTATGCTGTATCTACTCAACTAACTGTGCTGAACATTTCTATTGATAGAGCAGTTTTGAGACACTCTTCTTTTGGAATCTGCAAGTGGATATTTGGATAGATTTGAGGATTTCGTTGGAAACGGGATTATATATAAAAAGTAGACAGCAGCATTCTCAGAAACTTCTTTGTGATGTTTGCATCCAGCTCTCAGAGTTGAACATTCCCTTTCATAGAGTAGGTTTGAAACCCTCTTTTTATAGTGTCTGGAAGCGGGCATTTGGAGCGCTTTCAGGCCTATGCTTAAAATAGGAAATATCTACCTACAGAAACTAGACAGAAGCATTCTGAGAATCACGTTTGTGATGTGGGTACTCAACTAACAGTGTTGATCCATTCTTTTGATACAGCAGTTTTGAACCACACTTTTTGTAGAATCTGCAAGTGGATATTTGGATAGCTGTGAGGATTTCGTTGGAAACGGGAATGTCTTCATAGAAAATTTAGACAGAAGCATTCTCAGAACCTTGATTGTGATGTGTGTTCTCCACTAACAGAGTTGAACCTTTCTTTTGACAGAACTGTTCTGAAACATTCTTTTTATAGAATCTGGAAGTGGATATTTGGAAAGCTTTGAGGATTTCGTTGGAAACGGGAATATCTTCAAATCAAATCTAGCCAGAAGCATTCTAAGAAGCATCTTAGGGATGTTTACATTCAAGTCACAGAGTTGAACATTCCCTTTCACAGAGCAGGTTTGAAACAATCTTCTCGTACTATCTGGCAGTGGACATTTTGAGCTCCTTGGGGCCTATGCTGAAAAAGGAAATATCTTCCGACAAAAACTAGACAGAAGCATTCGCAGAATCACGTTTGTGATGTGTGCACTCAACTGTCAGAATTGAACCTTGGTTTGGACAGAGCACTTTTGAAACACTCTTTTTGTAGAATCTGCAGGTGGATATTTGGCTAGCTTTGAGGATTTCGTTGGAAACGGTAATGTCTTCAAAGAAAATCTAGACAGAAGCATTCTCAGAAACACCTTCGTGATGTTTGCAATCAAGTCACAGAGTTGAACCTTCCGTTTCATAGAGCAGGTTGGAAACACTCTTTTTGTAGTATCTGGAAGTGGACATTTGGAGGGCTTTGTAGCCTATCTGGAAAAAGGAAATATCTTCCCATGAATGCGAGATAGAAGTAATCTCAGAAACATGTTTATGCTGTATCTACTCAACTAACTGTGCTGAACATTTCTATTGATAGAGCAGTTTTGAGACACTCTTCTTTTGGAATCTGCAAGTGGATATTTGGATAGATTTGAGGATTTCGTTGGAAACGGGATTATATATCAAAAGTAGACAGCAGCATTCTCAGAAACTTCTTTGTGATGTTTGCATCCAGCTCTCAGAGTTGAACATTCCCTTTCATAGAGTAGGTTTGAAACCCTCTTTTTATAGTGTCTGGAAGCGGGCATTTGGAGCGCTTCAGGCCTATGCTGAAAAAGGAAATATCTACCTATAGAAACTAGACAGAAGCATTCTGAGAATCACGTTTGTGATGTGGGTACTCAACTAACAGTGTTGATCCATTCTTTTGATACAGCAGTTTTGAACCACACTTTTTGTAGAATCTGCAAGTGGATATTTGGATAGCTGTGAGGATTTCGTTGGAAACGGGAATGTCTTCATAGAAAATTTAGACAGAAGCATTCTCAGAACCTTGATTGTGATGTGTGTTCTCCACTAACAGAGTTGAACCTTTCTTTTGACAGAACTGTTCTGAAACATTCTTTTTATAGAATCTGGAAGTGGATATTTGGAAAGCTTTGAGGATTTCGTTGGAAACGGGAATATCTTCAAATAAAATCTAGCCAGAAGCATTCTAAGAAACATCTTAGGGATGTTTACATTCAAGTCACAGAGTTGAACATTCCCTTTCACAGAGCAGGTTTGAAACAATCTTCTCGTACTATCTGGCAGTGGACATTTTGAGCTCTTTGGGGCCTATGCTGAAAAAGGAAATATCTTCCGACAAAAACTAGTCAGAAGCATTCGCAGAATCACGTTTGTGATGTGTGCACTCAACTGTCAGAATTGAACCTTGGTTTGGAGGGAGCACTTTTGAAACACACTTTTTGTAGAATCTGCAGGTGGATATTTGGCTAGCTTTGAGGATTTCGTTGGAAACGGTAATGTCTTCAAAGAAAATCTAGACAGAAGCATTCTCAGAAACACCTTCGTGATGTTTGCAATCAAGTCACAGAGTTGAACCTTCCGTTTCATAGAGCAGGTTGGAAACACACTTTTTGTAGTATCTGGAAGTGGACATTTGGAGGGCTTTGTAGCCTATCTGGAAAAAGGAAATATCTTCCCATGAATGCGAGATAGATGTAATCTCAGAAACATGTTTATGCTGTATCTACTCAACTAAATGTGCTGAACATTTCTATTGATAGAGCAGTTTTGAGACACTCTTCTTTTGGAATCTGCAAGTGGATATTTGGATAGATTTGAGGATTTCGTTGGAAACGGGATTATATATAAAAAGTAGACAGCAGCATTCTCAGAAACTTCTTTGTGATGTTTGCATCCAGCTCTCAGAGTTGAACATTCCCTTTCATAGAGTAGGTTTGAAACCCTCTTTTTATAGTGTCTAGAAGCGGGCATTTGGAGCGCTTACAGGCCTATGCTTAAAATAGGAAATATCCACCTACAGAAACTAGACAGAAGCATTCTGAGAATCACGTTTGTGATGTGGGTACTCAACTAACAGTGTTGATCCATTCTTTTGATACAGCAGTTTTGAACCACACTTTTTGTAGAATCTGCAAGTGGATATTTGGATAGCTGTGAGGATTTCGTTGGAAACGGGAATGTCTTCATAGAAAATGTAGACAGAAGCATTCTCAGAACCTTAATTGTGATGTGTGTTCTCCACTAACAGAGTTGAACCTTTCTTTTGACAGAACTGTTCTGAAACATTCTTTTTATAGAATCTGGAAGTGGATATTTGGAAAGCTTTGAGGATTTCGTTGGAAACGGGAATATCTTCAAATAAAATCTAGCCAGAAGCATTCTAAGAAACATCTTAGGGATGTTTACATTCAAGTCACAGAGTTGAACATTCCCTTTCACAGAGCAGGTTTGAAACAATCTTCTCGTACTATCTGGCAGTGGACATTTTGAGCTCCTTGGGGCCTATGCTGAAAAAGGAAATATCTTCCGACAAAAACTAGACAGAAGCATTCGCAGAATCACGTTTGTGATGTGTGCACTCAACTGTCAGAATTGAACCTTGGTTTGGAGAGAGCACTTTTGAAACACTCTTTTTGTAGAATCTGCAGGTGGATATTTGGCTAGCTTTGAGGATTTCGTTGGAAACGGTAATGTCTTCAAAGAAAATCTAGACAGAAGCATTCTCAGAAACACCTTCGTGATGTTTGCAATCAAGTCACAGAGTTGAACCTTCCATTTCATAGAGCAGGTTGGAAACACTCTTTTTGTAGTATCTGGAAGTGGACATTTGGAGGGCTTTGTAGCCTATCTGGAAAAAGGAAATATCTTCCCATGAATGCGAGATAGAAGTAATCTCAGAAACATGTTTATGCTGTATCTACTCAACTAACTGTGCTGAACATTTCTATTGATAGAGCAGTTTTGAGACACTCTTCTTTTGGAATCTGCAAGTGGATATTTGGATAGATTTGAGGATTTCGTTGGAAACGGGATTATATATCAAAAGTAGACAGCAGCATTCTCAGAAACTTCTTTGTGATGTTTGCATCCAGCTCTCAGAGTTGAACATTCCCTTTCATAGAGTAGGTTTGAAACCCTCTTTTTATAGTGTCTGGAAGCGGGCATTTGGAGCGCTTTCGGGCCTATGCTGAAAAAGGAAATATCTACCTATAGAAACTAGACAGAAGCATTCTGAGAATCACGTTTGTGATGTGGGTACTCAACTAACAGTGTTGATCCATTCTTTTGATACAGCAGTTTTGAACCACACTTTTTGTAGAATCTGCAAGTGGATATTTGGATAGCTGTGAGGATTTCGTTGGAAACGGGAATGTCTTCATAGAAAATTTAGACGGAAGCATTCTCAGAACCTTGATTGTGATGTGTGTTCTCCACTAACAGAGTTGAACCTTTCTTTTGACAGAACTGTTCTGAAACATTCTTTTTATAGAATCTGGAAGTGGATATTTGGAAAGCTTTGAGGATTTCGTTGGAAACGGGAATATCTTCAAATCAAATCTAGCCAGAAGCATTCTAAGAAACATCTTAGGGATGTTTACATTCAAGTCACAGAGTTGAACATTCCCTTTCAGAGAGCAGGTTTGAAACAATCTTCTCGTACTATCTGGCAGTGGACATTTTGAGCTCCTTGGGGCCTATGCTGAAAAAGGAAATATCTTCCGACAAAAACTAGACAGAAGCATTCGCAGAATCACGTTTGTGATGTGTGCACTCAACTGTCAGAATTGAACCTTGGTTTGGACAGAGCACTTTTGAAACACTCTTTTTGTAGAATCTGCAGGTGGATATTTGGCTAGCTTTGAGGATTTCGTTGGAAACGGTAATGTCTTCAAAGAAAATCTAGACAGAAGCATTCTCAGAAACACCTTCGTGATGTTTGCAATCAAGTCACAGAGTTGAACCTTCCGTTTCATAGAGCAGGTTGGAAACACTCTTTTTGTAGTATCTGGAAGTGGACATTTGGAGGGCTTTGTAGCCTATGTGGAAAAAGGAAATATCTTCCCATGAATGCGAGATAGAAGTAATCTCAGAAACATGTTTATGCTGTATCTACTCAACTAACTGTGCTGAACATTTCTATTGATAGAGCAGTTTTGAGACACTCTTCTTTTGGAATCTGCAAGTGGATATTTGGATAGATTTGAGGATTTCGTTGGAAACGGGATTATATATCAAAAGTAGACAGCAGCATTCTCAGCAAACTTCTTTGTGATGTTTGCATCCAGCTCTCAGAGTTGAACATTCCCTTTCATAGAGTAGGTTTGAAACCCTCTTTTTATAGTGTCTGGAAGCGGGCATTTGGAGCGCTTTCAGGCCTATGCTGAAAAAGGAGATATCTACCTATAGAAACTAGACAGAAGCATTCTGAGAATCACGTTTGTGATGTGGGTACTCAACTAACAGTGTTGATCCATTCTTTTGATACAGCAGTTTTGAACCACACTTTTTGTAGAATCTGCAAGTGGATATTTGGATAGCTGTGAGGATTTCGTTGGAAACGGGAATGTCTTCATAGAAAATTTAGACAGAAGCATTCTCAGAACCTTGATTGTGATGTGTGTTCTCCACTAACAGAGTTGAACCTTTCTTTTGACAGAACTGTTCTGAAACATTCTTTTTATAGAATCTGGAAGTGGATATTTGGAAAGCTTTGAGGATTTCGTTGGAAACGGGAATATCTTCAAATAAAATCTAGCCAGAAGCATTCTAAGAAACATCTTAGGGATGTTTACATTCAAGTCACAGAGTTGAACATTCCCTTTCACAGCAGCAGGTTTGAAACAATCTTCTCGTACTATCTGGCAGTGGACATTTTGAGCTCCTTGGGGCCTATGCTGAAAAAGGAAATATCTTCCGACAAAAACTAGACAGAAGCATTCGCAGAATCACGTTTGTGATGTGTGCACTCAACTGTCAGAATTGAACCTTGGTTTGGACAGAGCACTTTTGAAACACTCTTTTTGTAGAATCTGCAGGTGGATATTTGGCTAGCTTTGAGGATTTCTTTGGAAACGGTAATGTCTTCAAAGAAAATCTAGACAGAAGCATTCTCAGAAACACCTTCGTGATGTTTGCAATCAAGTCACAGAGTTGAACCTTCCGTTTCATAGAGCAGGTTGGAAACACTCTTTTTGTAGTATCTGGAAGTGGACATTTGGAGGGCTTTGTAGCCTATCTGGAAAAAGGAAATATCTTCCCATGAATGCGAGATAGAAGTAATCTCAGAAACATGTTTATGCTGTATCTACTCAACTAACTGTGCTGAACATTTCTATTGATAGAGCAGTTTTGAGACACTCTTCTTTTGGAATCTGCAAGTGGATATTTGGATAGATTTGAGGATTTCGTTGGAAACGGTATTATATATAAAAAGTAGACAGCAGCATTCTCAGAAACTTCTTTGTGATGTTTGCATCCAGCTCCCAGAGTTGAACATTCCCTTTCATAGAGTAGGTTTGAAACCCTCTTTTTATAGTGTCTGGAAGCGGGCATTTGGAGCGCTTTCAGGCCTATGCTGAAAAAGGAAATATCTACCTATAGAAACTAGACAGAAGCATTCTGAGAATCACGTTTGTGATGTGGGTACTCAACTAACAGTGTCGATCCATTCTTTTGATACAGCAGTTTTGAACCACACTTTTTGTAGAATCTGCAAGTGGATATTTGGATAGCTGTGAGGATTTCGTTGGAAACGGGAATGTCTTCATAGAAAATTTAGACAGAAGCATTCTCAGAACCTTGATTGTGATGTGTGTTCTCCACTAACAGAGTTGAACCTTTCTTTTGACAGAACTGTTCTGAAACATTCTTTTTATAGAATCTGGAAGTGGATATTTGGAAAGCTTTGAGGATTTCGTTGGAAACGGGAATATCTTCAAATAAAATCTAGCCAGAAGCATTCTAAGAAACATCTTAGGGATGTTTACATTCAAGTCACAGAGTTGAACATTCCCTTTCACAGAGCAGGTTTGAAACAATCTTCTCGTACTATCTGGCAGTGGACATTTTGAGCTCCTTGGGGCCTATGCTGAAAAAGGAAATATCTTCCGACAAAAACTAGACAGAAGCATTCGCAGAATCACGTTTGTGATGTGTGCACTCAACTGTCAGAATTGAACCTTGGTTTGGACAGAGCACTTTTGAAACACTCTTTTTGTAGAATCTGCAGGTGGATATTTGGCTAGCTTTGAGGATTTCGTTGGAAACGGTAATGTCTTCAAAGAAAATCTAGACAGAAGCATTCTCAGAAACACCTTCGTGATGTTTGCAATCAAGTCACAGAGTTGAACCTTCCGTTTCATAGAGCAGGTTGGAAACACTCTTTTTGTAGTATCTGGAAGTGGACATTGGGAGGGCTTTGTAGCCTATCTGGAAAAAGGAAATATCTTCCCATGAATGCGAGATAGAAGTAATCTCAGAAACATGTTTATGCTGTATCTACTCAACTAACTGTGCTGAACATTTCTATTGATAGAGCAGTTTTGAGACACTCTTCTTTTGGAATCTGCAAGTGGATATTTGGATAGATTTGAGGATTTCGTTGGAAACGGGATTATATATAAAAAGTAGACAGCAGCATTCTCAGAAACTTCTTTGTGATGTTTGCATCCAGCTCTCAGAGTTGAACATTCCCTTTCATAGAGTAGGTTTGAAACCCTCTTTTTATAGTGTCTGGAAGCGGGCATTTGGAGCGCTTTCAGGCCTATGCTTAAAATAGGAAATATCTACCTACAGAAACTAGACAGAAGCATTCTGAGAATCTCGTTTGTGATGTGGGTACTCAACTAACAGTGTTGATCCATTCTTTTGATACAGCAGTTTTGAACCACACTTTTTGTAGAATCTGCAAGAGGATATTTGGATAGCTGTGAGGATTTCGTTGGAAACGGGAATGTCTTCAAAGAAAATCTAGACAGAAACATTCTCAGAAACACCTTCGTGATGTTTGCAATCAAGTCACAGAGTTGAACCTTCCGTTTCATAGAGCAGGTTGGAAACACTCTTATTGTAGTATCTGGAAGTGGACATTTGGAGCGCTTTCAGGCCTATGGTGAAAAAGAAATATCTTCCCATAAAAACGACATAGAAGCTATCTCAGGAACTTGTTTATGATGCATCTAATCAACTAACAGTGTTGAACCTTTGTACTGACAGAGCAGTTTGAAACACTCTTTTTTTGGAATCTGCAAGTGGATATTTGGATCGCTTTGAGGATTTCGTTGGAAACGGGATGCAATATAAAACGTACACAGCAGCATACTCAGAAAATACTTTGCCATATTTCCATTCAAGTCACAGAGTGGAACATTCCCATTCATAGAGCAGGTTGGAAACACTCTTTTTGGAGTATCTGGAAGTGGACATTTGGAGCGCTTTCTGAACTATGGTGAAAAAGGAAATATCTTCCAATGAAAACAACACAGAAGCATTCTGAGAAACTTATTTGTGATGTGTGTCCTCAACAAACGGACTTGAACCTTTCGTTTCATGCAGTACTTCTGGAACACTCTTTTTGAAGATTCTGCATTCGGATATTTGGATAGCTTTGAGGATTTCGTTGGAAACGGGCTTACATGTAAAAATTAGACAGCAGCATTCTCAGAAACTTCTTTGTGGTGTCTGCATTCAAGTCACAGAATTGAACTTCCCCTCACATAGAGCAGTTGTGCAGCACTCTATTTGTAGTATCTGGAAGTGGACATTTGGAGGGCTTTGTAGCCTATCTGGAAAAAGGAAATATCTTCCCATGAATGCGAGATAGAAGTAATCTCAGAAACATGTTTATGCTGTATCTACTCAACTAACTGTGCTGAACATTTCTATTGATAGAGCAGTTTTGAGACCCTCTTCTTTTGGAATCTGCAAGTGGATATTTGGATAGATTTGAGGATTTCGTTGGAAACGGGATTATATATAAAAAGTAGACAGCAGCATTCTCAGAAACTTCTTTGTGATGTTTGCATCCAGCTCTCAGAGTTGAACATTCCCTTTCATAGAGTAGGTTTGAAACCCTCTTTTTATAGTGTCTGGAAGCGGGCATTTGGAGCGCTTTCAGGCCTATGCTGAAAAAGGAAATATCTACCTATAGAAACTAGACAGAAGCATTCTGAGAATCAAGTTTGTGATGTGGGTACTCAACTAACAGTGTTGATCCATTCTTTTGATACAGCAGTTTTGAACCACACTTTTTGTAGAATCTGCAAGTGGATATTTGGATAGCTGTGAGGATTTCGTTGGAAACGGGAATGTCTTCATAGAAAATTTAGACAGAAGCATTCTCAGAACCTTGATTGTGATGTGTGTTCTCCACTAACAGAGTTGAACCTTTCTTTTGACAGAACTGTTCTGAAACATTCTTTTTATAGAATCTGGAAGTGGATATTTGGAAAGCTTTGAGGATTTCGTTGGAAACGGGAATATCTTCAAATAAAATCTAGCCAGAAGCATTCTAAGAAACATCTTAGGGATGTTTACATTCAAGTCACAGAGTTGAACATTCCCTTTCACAGAGCAGGTTTGAAACAATCTTCTCGTACTATCTGGCAGTGGACATTTTGAGCTCTTTGGGGCCTATGCTGAAAAAGGAAATATCTTCCGACAAAAACTAGTCAGAAGCATTCGCAGAATCCCGTTTGTGATGTGTGCACTCAACTGTCAGAATTGAACCTTGGTTTGGAGAGAGCACTTTTGAAACACACTTTTTGTAGAATCTGCAGGTGGATATTTGGCTAGCTTTGAGGATTTCGTTGGAAACGGTAATGTCTTCAAAGAAAATCTAGACAGAAGCATTCTCAGAAACACCTTCGTGATGTTTGCAATCAAGTCACAGAGTTGAACCTTCCGTTTCATAGAGCAGGTTGGAAACACACTTTTTGTAGTATCTGGAAGTGGACATTTGGAGGGCTTTGTAGCCTATCTGGAAAAAGGAAATATCTTCCCATGAATGCGAGATAGAAGTAATCTCAGAAACATGTTTATGCTGTATCTACTCAACTAACTGTGCTGAACATTTCTATTGATAGAGCAGTTTTGAGACACTCTTCTTTTGGAATCTGCAAGTGGATATTTGGATAGATTTGAGGATTTCGTTGGAAACGGGATTATATATAAAAAGTAGACAGCAGCATTCTCAGAAACTTCTTTGTGATGTTTGCATCCAGCTCTCAGAGTTGAACATTCCCTTTCATAGAGTAGGTTTGAAACCCTCTTTTTATAGTGTCTGGAAGCGGGCATTTGGAGCGCTTTCAGGCCTATGCTGAAAAAGGAAATATCTACCTATAGAAACTAGACAGAAGCATTCTGAGAATCACGTTTGTGATGTGGGTACTCAACTAACAGTGTTGATCCATTCTTTTGATACAGCAGTTTTGAACCACACTTTTTGTAGAATCTGCAAGTGGATATTTGGATAGCTGTGAGGATTTCGTTGGAAACGGGAATGTCTTCATAGAAAATTTAGACAGAAGCATTCTCAGAACCTTGATTGTGATGTGTGTTCTCCACTAACAGAGTTGAACCTTTCTTTTGACAGAACTGTTCTGAAACATTCTTTTTATAGAATCTGGAAGTGGATATTTGGAAAGCTTTGAGGATTTCGTTGGAAACGGGAATATCTTCAAATAAAATCTAGCCAGAAGCATTCCAAGAAACATCTTAGGGATGTTTACATTCAAGTCACAGAGTTGAACATTCCCTTTCACAGAGCAGGTTTGAAACAATCTTCTCGTACTATCTGGCAGTGGACATTTTGAGCTCCTTGGGGCCTATGCTGAAAAAGGAAATATCTTCCGACAAAAACTAGACAGAAGCATTCGCAGAATCACGTTTGTGATGTGTGCACTCAACTGTCAGAATTGAACCTTGGTTTGGACAGAGCACTTTTGAAACACTCTTTTTGTAGAATCTGCAGGTGGATATTTAGCTAGCTTTGAGGATTTCGTTGGAAACGGTAATGTCTTCAAAGAAAATCTAGACAGAAGCATTCTCAGAAACACCTTCGTGATGTTTGCAATCAAGTCACAGAGTTGAACCTTCCATTTCATAGAGCAGGTTGGAAACACTCTTTTTGTAGTATCTGGAAGTGGACATTTGGAGGGCTTTGTAGCCTATCTGGAAAAAGGAAATATCTTCCCATGAATGCGAGATAGAAGTAATCTCAGAAACATGTTTATGCTGTATCTACTCAACTAACTGTGCTGAACATTTCTATTGATAGAGCAGTTTTGAGACACTCTTCTTTTGGAATCTGCAAGTGGATATTTGGATAGATTTGAGGATTTCGTTGGAAACGGGATTATATATCAAAAGTAGACAGCAGCATTCTCAGAAACTTCTTTGTGATGTTTGCATCCAGCTCTCAGAGTTGAACATTCCCTTTCATAGAGTAGGTTTGAAACCCTCTTTTTATAGTGTCTGGAAGCGGGCATTTGGAGCGCTTTCAGGCCTATGCTGAAAAAGGAAATATCTACCTATAGAAACTAGACAGAAGCATTCTGAGAATCACGTTTGTGATGTGGGTACTCAACTAACAGTGTTGATCCATTCTTTTGATACAGCAGTTTTGAACCACACTTTTTGTAGAATCTGCAAGTGGATATTTGGATAGCTGTGAGGATTTCGTTGGAAACGGGAATGTCTTCATAGAAAATTTAGACAGAAGCATTCTCAGAACCTTGATTGTGATGTGTGTTCTCCACTAACAGAGTTGAACCTTTCTTTTGACAGAACTGTTCTGAAACATTCTTTTTATAGAATCTGGAAGTGGATATTTGGAAAGCTTTGAGGATTTCGTTGGAAACGGGAATATCTTCAAATCAAATCTAGCCAGAAGCATTCTAAGAAACATCTTAGGGATGTTTACATTCAAGTCACAGAGTTGAACATTCCCTTTCACAGAGCAGGTTTGAAACAATCTTCTCGTACTATCTGGCAGTGGACATTTTGAGCTCCTTGGGGCCTATGCTGAAAAAGGAAATATCTTCCGACAAAAACTAGACAGAAGCATTCGCAGAATCACGTTTGTGATGTGTGCACTCAACTGTCAGAATTGAACCTTGGTTTGGACAGAGCACTTTTGAAACACTCTTTTTGTAGAATCTGCAGGTGGATATTTGGCTAGCTTTGAGGATTTCGTTGGAAACGGTAATGTCTTCAAAGAAAATCTAGACAGAAGCATTCTCAGAAACACCTTCGTGATGTTTGCAATCAAGTCACAGAGTTGAACCTTCCGTTTCATAGAGCAGGTTGGAAACACTCTTTTTGTAGTATCTGGAAGTGGACATTTGGAGGGCTTTGTAGCCTATCTGGAAAAAGGAAATATCTTCCCATGAATGCGAGATAGAAGTAATCTCAGAAACATGTTTATGCTGTATCTACTCAACTAACTGTGCTGAACATTTCTATTGATAGAGCAGTTTTGAGACACTCTTCTTTTGGAATCTGCAAGTGGATATTTGGATAGATTTGAGGATTTCGTTGGAAACGGGATTATATATCAAAAGTAGACAGCAGCATTCTCAGAAACTTCTTTGTGATGTTTGCATCCAGCTCTCAGAGTTGAACATTCCCTTTCATAGAGTAGGTTTGAAACCCTCTTTTTATAGTGTCTGGAAGCGGGCATTTGGAGCGCTTTCAGGCCTATGCTGAAAAAGGAAATATCTACCTATAGAAACTAGACAGAAGCATTCTGAGAATCACGTTTGTGATGTGGGTACTCAACTAACAGTGTTGATCCATTCTTTTGATACAGCAGTTTTGAACCACACTTTTTGTAGAATCTGCAAGTGGATATTTGGATAGCTGTGAGGATTTCGTTGGAAACGGGAATGTCTTCATAGAAAATTTAGACAGAAGCATTCTCAGAACCTTGATTGTGATGTGTGTTCTCCACTAACAGAGTTGAACCTTTCTTTTGACAGAACTGTTCTGAAACATTCTTTTTATAGAATCTGGAAGTGGATATTTGGAAAGCTTTGAGGATTTCGTTGGAAACGGGAATATCTTCAAATCAAATCTAGCCAGAAGCATTCTAAGAAACATCTTAGGGATGTTTACATTCAAGTCACAGAGTTGAACATTCCCTTTCACAGAGCAGGTTTGAAACAATCTTCTCGTACTATCTGGCAGTGGACATTTTGAGCTCCTTGGGGCCTATGCTGAAAAAGGAAATATCTTCCGACAAAAACTAGACAGAAGCATTCGCAGAATCACGTTTGTGATGTGTGCACTCAACTGTCAGAATTGAACCTTGGTTTGGACAGAGCACTTTTGAAACACTCTTTTTGTAGAATCTGCAGGTGGATATTTGGCTAGCTTTGAGGATTTCGTTGGAAACGGTAATGTCTTCAAAGAAAATCTAGACAGAAGCATTCTCAGAAACACCTTCGTGATGTTTGCAATCAAGTCACAGAGTTGAACCTTCCGTTTCATAGAGCAGGTTGGAAACACTCTTTTTGTAGTATCTGGAAGTGGACATTTGGAGGGCTTTGTAGCCTATCTGGAAAAAGGAAATATCTTCCCATGAATGCGAGATAGAAGTAATCTCAGAAACATGCTTATGCTGTATCTACTCAACTAACTGTGCTGAACATTTCTATTGATAGAGCAGTTTTGAGACACTCTTCTTTTGGAATCTGCAAGTGGATATTTGGAGAGATTTGAGGATTTCGTTGGAAACGGGATTATATATAAAAAGTAGACAGCAGCATTCTCAGAAACTTCTTTGTGATGTTTGCATCCAGCTCTCAGAGTTGAACATTCCCTTTCATAGAGTAGGTTTGAAACCCTCTTTTTATAGTGTCTGGAAGCGGGCATTTGGAGCGCTTTCAGGCCTATGCTGAAAAAGGAAATATCTACCTATAGAAACTAGACAGAAGCATTCTGAGAATCACGTTTGTGATGTGGGTACTCAACTAACAGTGTTGATCCATTCTTTTGATACAGCAGTTTTGAACCACACTTTTTGTAGAATCTGCAAGTGGATATTTGGATAGCTGTGAGGATTTCGTTGGAAACGGGAATGTCTTCATAGAAAATTTAGACAGAAGCATTCTCAGAACCTTGATTGTGATGTGTGTTCTCCACTAACAGAGTTGAACCTTTCTTTTGACAGAACTGTTCTGAAACATTCTTTTTATAGAATCTGGAAGTGGATATTTGGAAAGCTTTGAGGATTTCGTTGGAAACGGGAATATCTTCAAATAAAATCTAGCCAGAAGCATTCTAAGAAACATCTTAGGGATGTTTACATTCAAGTCACAGAGTTGAACATTCCCTTTCACAGAGCAGGTTTGAAACAATCTTCTCGTACTATCTGGCAGTGGACATTTTGAGCTCCCTGGGGCCTATGCTGAAAAAGGAAATATCTTCCGACAAAAACTAGACAGAAGCATTCGCAGAATCACGTTTGTGATGTGTGCACTCAACTGTCAGAATTGAACCTTGGTTTGGACAGAGCACTTTTGAAACACTCTTTTTGTAGAATCTGCAGGTGGATATTTGGCTAGCTTTGAGGATTTCGTTGGAAACGGTAATGTCTTCAAAGAAAATCTAGACAGAAACATCCTCAGAAACACCTTCGTGATGTTTGCAATCAAGTCACAGAGTTGAACCTTCCGTTTCATAGAGCAGGTTGGAAACACTCATTTTGTAGTATCTGGAAGTGGACATTTGGAGCGCTTTCAGGCCTATGGTGTAAAAGGAAATATCTTCCCATAAAAGCAACATAGAAGCTATCTCAGGAACTTGTTTATGATGCATCTAATCAACTAACAGTGTTGAACCTTTGTACTGACAGAGCAGTTTGAAACACTCTTTTTTTGGAATCTGCAAGTGGATATTTGGATCGCTTTGAGGATTTCGTTGGAAACGGGATGCAATATAAAACGTACACAGCAGCATACTCAGAAAATACTTTGCCATATTTCCATTCAAGTCACAGAGTGGAACATTCCCATTCATAGAGCAGGTTGGAAACACTCTTTTTGGAGTATCTGGAAGTGGACATTTGGAGCGCTTTCTGAACTATGGTGAAAAAGGAAATATCTTCCAATGAAAACAAGACAGAAGCATTCTGAGAAACTTATTTGTGATGTGTGTCCTCAACAAACGGACTTGAACCTTTCGTTTCATGCAGTACTTCTGGAACACTCTTTTTGAAGATTCTGCATGCGGATATTTGGATAGCTTTGAGGATTTCGTTGGAAACGGGCTTACATGTAAAAATTAGACAGCAGCATTCTCAGAAACTTCTTTGTGGTGTCTGCATTCAAGTCACAGAATTGAACTTCCCCTCACATAGAGCAGTTGTGCAGCACTCTATTTGTAGTATCTGGAAGTGGACATTTGGAGGGCTTTGTAGCCTATCTGGAAAAAGGAAATATCTTCCCATGAATGCGAGATAGAAGTAATCTCAGAAACATGTTTATGCTGTATCTACTCAACTAACTGTGCTGAACATTTCTATTGATAGAGCAGTTTTGAGACACTCTTCTTTTGGAATCTGCAAGTGGATATTTGGATAGATTTGAGGATTTCGTTGGAAACGGGATTATATATCAAAAGTAGACAGCAGCATTCTCAGAAACTTCTTTGTGATGTTTGCATCCAGCTCTCAGAGTTGAACATTCCCTTTCATAGAGTAGGTTTGAAACCCTCTTTTTATAGTGTCTGGAAGCGGGCATTTGGAGCGCTTTCAGGCCTATGCTTAAAATAGGAAATATCTACCTATAGAAACTAGACAGAAGCATTCTGAGAATCACGTTTGTGATGTGGGTACTCAACTAACAGTGTTGATCCATTCTTTTGATACAGCAGTTTTGAACCACACTTTTTGTAGAATCTGCAAGAGGATATTTGGATAGCTGTGAGGATTTCGTTGGAAACGGGAATGTCTTCAAAGAAAATCTAGACAGAAGCATTCTCAGAAACACCTTCGTGATGTTTGCAATCAAGTCACAGAGTTGAACCTTCCGTTTCATAGAGCAGGTTGGAAACACTCTTATTGTAGTATCTGGAAGTGGACATTTGGAGCGCTTTCAGGCCTATGGTGAAAAAGGAAATATCTTCCCATAAAAACGACATAGAAGCTATCTCAGGAAATTGTTTATGATGCATCTAATCAACTAACAGTGTTGAACCTTTGTACTGACAGAGCACTTTGAAACACTCTTTTTTTGGAATCTGCAAGTGGATATTTGGATCGCTTTGAGGATTTCGTTGGAAACGGGATGCAATATAAAACGTACACAGCAGCATACTCAGAAAATACTTTGCCATATTTCCATTCAAGTCACAGAGTGGAACATTCCCATTCATAGAGCAGGTTGGAAACACTCTTTTTGGAGTATCTGGAAGTGGACATTTGGAGCGCTTTCTGAACTATGGTGAAAAAGGAAATATCTTCCAATGAAAACAAGACAGAAGCATTCTGAGAAACTTATTTGTGATGTGTGTCCTCAACAAACGGACTTGAACCTTTCGTTTCATGCAGTACTTCTGGAACACTCTTTTTGAAGATTCTGCATGCGGATATTTGGATAGCTTTGAGGATTTCGTTGGAAACGGGCTTACATGTAAAAATTAGACAGCAGCATTCTCAGAAACTTCTTTGTGGTGTCTGCATTCAAGTCACAGAATTGAACTTCCCCTCACATAGAGCAGTTGTGCAGCACTCTATTTGTAGTATCTGGAAGTGGACATTTGGAGGGCTTTGTAGCCTATCTGGAAAAAGGAAATATCTTCCCATGAATGCGAGATAGAAGTAATCTCAGAAACATGTTTATGCTGTATCTACTCAACTAACTGTGCTGAACATTTCTATTGATAGAGCAGTTTTCAGACACTCTTCTTTTGGAATCTGCAAGTGGATATTTGGATAGATTTGAGGATTTCGTTGGAAACGGGATTATATATAAAAAGTAGACAGCAGCATTCTCAGAAACTTCTTTGTGATGTTTGCATCCAGCTCTCAGAGTTGAACATTCCCTTTCATAGAGTAGGTTTGAAACCCTCTTTTTATAGTGTCTGGAAGCGGGCATTTGGAGCGCTTTCAGGCCTATGCTGAATAAGGAAATATCTACCTATAGAAACTAGACAGAAGCATTCTGAGAATCACGTTTGTGATGTGGGTACTCAACTAACAGTGTTGATCCATTCTTTTGATACAGCAGTTTTGAACCACACTTTTTGTAGAATCTGCAAGTGGATATTTGGATAGCTGTGAGGATTTCGTTGGAAACGGGAATGTCTTCATAGAAAATTTAGACAGAAGCATTCTCAGAACCTTGATTGTGATGTGTGTTCTCCACTAACAGAGTTGAACCTTTCTTTTGACAGAACTGTTCTGAAACATTCTTTTTATAGAATCTGGAAGTGGATATTTGGAAAGCTTTGAGGATTTCGTTGGAAACGGGAATATCTTCAAATCAAATCTAGCCAGAAGCATTCTAAGAAACATCTTAGGGATGTTTACATTCAAGTCACAGAGTTGAACATTCCCTTTCACAGAGCAGGTTTGAAACAATCTTCTCGTACTATCTGGAAGTGGACATTTTGAGCTCCTTGGGGCCTATGCTGAAAAAGGAAATATCTTCCGACAAAAACTAGACAGAAGCATTCGCAGAATCACGTTTGTGATGTGTGCACTCAACTGTCAGAATTGAACCTTGGTTTGGACAGAGCACTTTTGAAACACTCTTTTTGTAGAATCTGCAGGTGGATATTTGGCTAGCTTTGAGGATTTCGTTGGAAACGGTAATGTCTTCAAAGAAAATCTACACAGAAGCATTCTCAGAAACACCTTCGTGATGTTTGCAATCAAGTCACAGAGTTGAACCTTCCGTTTCATAGAGCAGGTTGGAAACACTCTTTTTGTAGTATCTGGAAGTGGACATTTGGAGGGCTTTGTAGCCTATGTGGAAAAAGGAAATATCTTCCCATGAATGCGAGATAGAAGTAATCTCAGAAACATGTTTATGCTGTATCTACTCAACTAACTGTGCTGAACATTTCTATTGATAGAGCAGTTTTGAGACACTCTTCTTTTGGAATCTGCAAGTGGATATTTGGATAGATTTGAGGATTTCGTTGGAAACGGGATTATATATAAAAAGTAGACAGCAGCATTCTCAGAAACTTCTTTGTGATGTTTGCATCCAGCTCTCAGAGTTGAACATTCCCTTTCATAGAGTAGGTTTGAAACCCTCTTTTTATAGTGTCTGGAAGCGGGCATTTGGAGCGCTTTCAGGCCTATGCTGAAAAAGGAAATATCTACCTATAGAAACTAGACAGAAGCATTCTGAGAATCACGTTTGTGATGTGGGTACTCAACTAACAGTGTTGATCCATTCTTTTGATACAGCAGTTTTGAACCACACTTTTTGTAGAATCTGCAAGTGGATATTTGGATAGCTGTGAGGATTTCGTTGGAAACGGGAATGTCTTCATAGAAAATTTAGACAGAAGCATTCTCAGAACCTTGATTGTGATGTGTGTTCTCCACTAACAGAGTTGAACCTTTCTTTTGACAGAACTGTTCTGAAACATTCTTTATATAGAATCTGGAAGTGGATATTTGGAAAGCTTTGAGGATTTCGTTGGAAACGGGAATATCTTCAAATCAAATCTAGCCAGAAGCATTCTAAGAAACATCTTAGGGATGTTTACATTCAAGTCACAGAGTTGAACATTCCCTTTCACAGAGCAGGTTTGAAACAATCTTCTCGTACTATCTGGCAGTGGACATTTTGAGCTCCTTGGGGCCTATGCTGAAAAAGGAAATATCTTCCGACAAAAACTAGACAGAAGCATTCGCAGAATCACGTTTGTGATGTGTGCACTCAACTGTCAGAATTGAACCTTGGTTTGGACAGAGCACTTTTGAAACACTCTTTTTGTAGAATCTGCAGGTGGATATTTGGCTAGCTTTGAGGATTTCGTTGGAAACGGTAATGTCTTCAAAGAAAATCTAGACAGAAGCATTCTCAGAAACACCTTCGTGATGTTTGCAATCAAGTCACAGAGTTGAACCTTCCGTTTCATAGAGCAGGTTGGAAACACTCTTTTTGTAGTATCTGGAAGTGGACATTTGGAGGGCTTTGTAGCCTATCTGGAAAAAGGAAATATCTTCCCATGAATGCGAGATAGAAGTAATCTCAGAAACATGTTTATGCTGTATCTACTCAACTAACTGTGCTGAACATTTCTATTGATAGAGCAGTTTTGAGACACTCTTCTTTTGGAATCTGCAAGTGGATATTTGGATAGATTTGAGGATTTCGTTGGAAACGGGATTATATATAAAAAGTAGACAGCAGCATTCTCAGAAACTTCTTTGTGATGTTTGCATCCAGCTCTCAGAGTTGAACATTCCCTTTCATAGAGTAGGTTTGAAACCCTCTTTTTATAGTGTCTGGAAGCGGGCATTTGGAGCGCTTTCAGGCCTATGCTTAAAATAGGAAATATCTACCTACAGAAACTAGACAGAAGCATTCTGAGAATCTCGTTTGTGATGTGGGTACTCAACTAACAGTGTTGATCCATTCTTTTGATACAGCAGTTTTGAACCACACTTTTTGTAGAATCTGCAAGAGGATATTTGGATAGCTGTGAGGATTTCGTTGGAAACGGGAATGTCTTCAAAGAAAATCTAGACAGAAACATTCTCAGAAACACCTTCGTGATGTTTGCAATCAAGTCACAGAGTTGAACCTTCCGTTTCATAGAGCAGGTTGGAAACACTCTTATTGTAGTATCTGGAAGTGGACATTTGGAGCGCTTTCAGGCCTATGGTGAAAAAGGAAATATCTTCCCATAAAAACGACATAGAAGCTATCTCAGGAACTTGTTTATGAGGCATCTAATCAACTAACAGTGTTGAACCTTTGTACTGACAGAGCAGTTTGAAACACTCTTTTTTTGGAATCTGCAAGTGGATATTTGGATCGCTTTGAGGATTTCGTTGGAAACGGGATGCAATATAAAACGTACACAGCAGCATACTCAGAAAATTCTTTGCCATATTTCCATTCAAGTCACAGAGTGGAACATTCCCATTCATAGAGCAGGTTGGAAACACTCTTTTTGGAGTATCTGGAAGTGGACATTTGGAGCGCTTTCTGAACTATGGTGAAAAAGGAAATATCTTCCAATGAAAACAAGACAGAAGCATTCTGAGAAACTTATTTGTGATGTGTGTCCTCAACAAACGGACTTGAACCTTTCGTTTCATGCAGTACTTCTGGAACACTCTTTTTGAAGATTCTGCATGCGGATATTTGGATAGCTTTGAGGATTTCGTTGGAAACGGGCTTACATGTAAAAATTAGACAGCAGCATTCTCAGAAACTTCTTTGTGGTGTCTGCATTCAAGTCACAGAATTGAACATCCCCTCACATAGAGCAGTTGTGCAGCACTCTATTTGTAGTATCTGGAAGTGGACATTTGGAGGGCTTTGTAGCCTATCTGGAAAAAGGAAATATCTTCCCATGAATGCGAGATAGAAGTAATCTCAGAAACATGTTTATGCTGTATGTACTCAACTAACTGTGCTGAACATTTCTATTGATAGAGCAGTTTTGAGACACTCTTCTTTTGGAATCTGCAAGTGGATATTTGGATAGATTTGAGGATTTCGTTGGAAACGGGATTATATATAAAAAGTAGACAGCAGCATTCTCAGAAACTTCTTTGTGATGTTTGCATCCAGCTCTCAGAGTTGAACATTCCCTTTCATAGAGTAGGTTTGAAACCCTCTTTTTATAGTGTCTGGAAGCGGGCATTTGGAGCGCTTTCAGGCCTATGCTGAAAAAGGAAATATCTACCTATAGAAACTAGACAGAAGCATTCTGAGAATCACGTTTGTGATGTGGGTACTCAACTAACAGTGTTGATCCATTCTTTTGATACAGCAGTTTTGAACCACACTTTTTGTAGAATCTGCAAGTGGATATTTGGATAGCTGTGAGGATTTCGTTGGAAACGGGAATGTCTTCATAGAAAATTTAGACAGAAGCATTCTCAGAACCTTGATTGTGATGTGTGTTCTCCACTAACAGAGTTGAACCTTTCTTTTGACAGAACTGTTCTGAAACATTCTTTTTATAGAATCTGGAAGTGGATATTTGGAAAGCTTTGAGGATTTCGTTGGAAACGGGAATATCTTCAAATAAAATCTAGCCAGAAGCATTCTAAGAAACATCTTAGGGATGTTTACATTCAAGTCACAGAGTTGAACATTCCCTTTCACAGAGCAGGTTTGAAACAATCTTCTCGTACTATCTGGCAGTGGACATTTTGAGCTCCTTGGGGCCTATGCTGAAAAAGGAAATATCTTCCGACAAAAACTAGACAGAAGCATTCGCAGAATCACGTTTGTGATGTGTGCACTCAACTGTCAGAATTGAACCTTGGTTTGGACAGAGCACTTTTGAAACACTCTTTTTGTAGAATCTGCAGGTGGATATTTGGCTAGCTTTGAGGATTTCGTTGGAAACGGGAATGTCTTCAAAGAAAATCTAGACAGAAGCATTCTCAGAAACACCTTCGTGATGTTTGCAATCAAGTCACAGAGTTGAACCTTCCGTTTCATAGAGCAGGTTGGAAACACTCTTATTGTAGTATCTGGCAGTGGACATTTGGAGCGCTTTCAGGCCTATGGTGAAAAAGGAAATATCTTCCCATAAAAACGACATAGAAGCTATCTCAGGAACTTGTTTATGATGCATCTAATCAACTAACAGTGTTGAACCTTTGTACTGACAGAGCAGTTTGAAACACTCTTTTTTTGGAATCTGCAAGTGGATATTTGGATCGCTTTGAGGATTTCGTTGGAAACGGGATGCAATATAAAACGTACACAGCAGCATACTCAGAAAATACTTTGCCATATTTCCATTCAAGTCACAGAGTGGAACATTCCCATTCATAGAGCGGGTTGGAAACACTCTTTTTGGAGTATCTGGAAGTGGACATTTGCAGCGCTTTCTGAACTATGGTGAAAAAGGAAATATCTTCCAATGAAAACAAGACAGAAGCATTCTGAGAAACTTATTTGTGATGTGTGTCCTCAACAAACGGTCTTGAACCTTTCGTTTCATGCAGTACTTCTGGAACACTCTTTTTGAAGATTCTGCATGCGGATATTTGGATAGCTTTGAGGATTTCGTTGGAAACGGGCTTACATGTAAAAATTAGACAGCAGCATTCTCAGAAACTTCTTTGTGGTGTCTGCATTCAAGTCACAGAATTGAACTTCCCCTCACATAGAGCAGTTGTGCAGCACTCTATTTGTAGTATCTGGAAGTGGACATTTGGAGGGCTTTGTAGCCTATCTGGAAAAAGGAAATATCTTCCCATGAATGCGAGATAGAAGTAATCTCAGAAACATGTTTATGCTGTATCTACTCAACTAACTGTGCTGAACATTTCTATTGATAGAGCAGTTTTGAGACACTCTTCTTTTGGAATCTGCAAGTGGATATTTGGATAGATTTGAGGATTTCGTTGGAAACGGGATTATATATCAAAAGTAGACAGCAGCATTCTCAGAAACTTCTTTGTGATGTTTGCATCCAGCTCTCAGAGTTGAACATTCCCTTTCATAGAGTAGGTTTGAAACCCTCTTTTTATAGTGTCTGCAAGCGGGCATTTGGAGCGCTTTCAGGCCTATGCTTAAAATAGGAAATATCTACCTACAGAAACTAGACAGAAGCATTCTGAGAATCACGTTTGTGATGTGGGTACTCAACTAACAGTGTTGATCCATTCTTTTGATACAGCAGTTTTGAACCACACTTTTTGTAGAATCTGCAAGAGGATATTTGGATAGCTGTGAGGATTTCGTTGGAAACGGGAATGTCTTCAAAGAAAATCTAGACAGAAGCATTCTCAGAAATACCTTCGTGATGTTTGCAATCAAGTCACTGAGTTGAACCTTCCGTTTCATAGAGCAGGTTGGAAACACTCTTATTGTAGTATCTGGAAGTGGACATTTGGAGCGCTTTCAGGCCTATGGTGAAAAAGGAAATATCTTCCCATAAAAACGATATAGAAGCTATCTCAGGAACTTGTTTATGATGCATCTAATCAACTAACAGTGTTGAACCTTTGTACTGACAGAGCAGTTTGAAACACTCTTTTTTTGGAATCTGCAAGTGGATATTTGGATCGCTTTGAGGATTTCGTTGGAAACGGGATGCAATATAAAACGTACACAGCAGCATACTCAGAAAATACTTTGCCATATTTCCATTCAAGTCACAGAGTGGAACATTCCCATTCATAGAGCAGGTTGGAAACACTCTTTTTGGAGTATCTGGAAGTGGACATTTGGAGCGCTTTCTGATCTATGGTGAAAAAGGAAATATCTTCCAATGAAAACAAGACAGAAGCATTCTGAGAAACTTATTTGTGATGTGTGTCCTCAACAAACGGACTTGAACCTTTCGTTTCATGCAGTACTTCTGGAACACTCTTTTTGAAGATTCTGCATGCGGATATTTGGATAGCTTTGAGGATTTCGTTGGAAACGGGCTTACATGTAAAAATTAGACAGCAGCATTCTCAGAAACTACTTTGTGGTGTCTGCATTCAAGTCACAGAATTGAACTTCCCCTCACATAGAGCAGTTGTGCAGCACTCTATTTGTAGTATCTCGAAGTGGACATTTGGAGGGCTTTGTAGCCTATCTGGAAAAAGGAAATATCTTCCCATGAATGCGAGATAGAAGTAATCTCAGAAACATGTTTATGCTGTATCTACTCAACTAACTGTGCTGAACATTTCTATTGATAGAGCAGTTTTGAGACACTCTTCTTTTGGAATCTGCAAGTGGATATTTGGATAGATTTGAGGATTTCGTTGGAAACGGGATTATATATAAAAAGTAGACAGCAGCATTCTCAGAAACTTCTTTGTGATGTTTGCATCCAGCTCTCAGAGTTGAACATTCCCTTTCATAGAGTAGGTTTGAAACCCTCTTTTTATAGTGTCTGGAAGCGGGCATTTGGAGCGCTTTCAGGCCTATGCTGAATAAGGAAATATCTACCTATAGAAACTAGACAGAAGCATTCTGAGAATCACGTTTGTGATGTGGGTACTCAACTAACAGTGTTGATCCATTCTTTTGATACAGCAGTTTTGAACCACACTTTTTGTAGAATCTGCAAGTGGATATTTGGATAGCTGTGAGGATTTCGTTGGAAACGGGAATGTCTTCATAGAAAATTTAGACAGAAGCATTCTCAGAACCTTGATTGTGAAGTGTGTTCTCCACTAACAGAGTTGAACCTTTCTTTTGACAGAACTGTTCTGAAACATTCTTTTTATAGAATCTGGAAGTGGATATTTGGAAAGCTTTGAGGATTTCGTTGGAAACGGGAATATCTTCAAATCAAATCTAGCCAGAAGCATTCTAAGAAACATCTTAGGGATGTTTACAATCAAGTCACAGAGTTGAACATTCCCTTTCACAGAGCAGGTTTGAAACAATCTTCTCGTACTATCTGGCAGTGGACATTTTGAGCTCCTTGGGGCCTATGCTGAAAAAGGAAATATCTTCCGACAAAAACTAGACAGAAGCATTCGCAGAATCACGTTTGTGATGTGTGCACTCAACTGTCAGAATTGAACCTTGGTTTGGACAGAGCACTTTTGAAACACTCTTTTTGTAGAATCTGCAGGTGGATATTTGGCTAGCTTTGAGGATTTCGTTGGAAACGGTAATGTCTTCAAAGAAAATCTAGACAGAAGCATTCTCAGAAACACCTTCGTGATGTTTGCAATCAAGTCACAGAGTTGAACCTTCCGTTTCATAGAGCAGGTTGGAAACACTCTTTTTGTAGTATCTGGAAGTGGACATTTGGAGTGCTTTCAGGCCTATGGTGAAAAAGGAAATATCTTCCCATAAAAACGACATAGAAGCTATCTCAGGAACTTGTTTATGATGCATCTAATCAACTAACAGTGTTGAACCTTTGTACTGACAGAGCAGTTTGAAACACTCTTTTTTTGGAATCTGCAAGTGGATATTTGGATCGCTTTGAGGATTTCGTTGGAAACGGGATGCAATATAAAACGTACACAGCAGCATACTCAGAAAATACTTTGCCATATTTCCATTCAAGTCACAGAGTGGAACATTCCCATTCATAGAGCAGGTTTGAAACACTCTTTTTGGAGTATCTGGAAGTGGACATTTGGAGCGCTTTCTGAACTATGGTGAAAAAGGAAATATCTTCCAATGAAAACAAGACAGAAGCATTCTGAGAAACTTATTTGTGATGTGTGTCCTCAACAAACGGACTTGAACCTTTCGTTTCATGCAGTACTTCTGGAACACTCTTTTTGAAGATTCTGCATGCGGATATTTGGATAGCTTTGAGGATTTCGTTGGAAACGGGCTTACATGTAAAAATTAGACAGCAGCATTCTCAGAAACTTCTCTGTGGTGTCTGCATCCAAGTGACAGAATTGAACATCCCCTCACATAGAGCAGTTGTGCAGCACTCTATTTGTAGTATCTCGAAGTGGACATTTGGAGGGCTTTGTAGCCTATCTGGAAAAAGGAAATATCTTCCCATGAATGCGAGATAGAAGTAATCTCAGAAACATGTTTATGCTGTATCTACTCAACTAACTGTGCTGAACATTTCTATTGATAGAGCAGTTTTGAGACACTCTTCTTTTGGAATCTGCAAGTGGATATTTGGATAGATTTGAGGATTTCGTTGGAAACGGGATTATATATCAAAAGTAGACAGCAGCATTCTCAGAAACTTCTTTGTGATGTTTGCATCCAGCTCTCAGAGTTGGACATTCCCTTTCATAGAGTAGGTTTGAAACCCTCTTTTTATAGTGTCTGGAAGCGGGCATTTGGAGCGCTTTCAGGCCTATGCTTAAAATAGGAAATATCTACCTACAGAAACTAGACAGAAGCATTCTGAGAATCACGTTTGTGATGTGGGTACTCAACTAACAGTGTTGATCCATTCTTTTGATACAGCAGTTTTGAACCACACTTTTTGTAGAATCTGCAAGAGGATATTTGGATAGCTGTGAGGATTTCGTTGGAAACGGGAATGTCTTCAAAGAAAATCTAGACAGAAGCATTCTCAGAAACACCTTCGTGATGTTTGCAATCAAGTCACAGAGTTGAACCTTCCGTTTCATAGAGCAGGTTGGAAACACTCTTATTGTAGTATCTGGAAGTGGACATTTGGAGCGCTTTCAGGCCTATGGTGAAAAAGGAAATATCTTCCCATAAAAACGACATAGAAGCTATCTCAGGAACTTGTTTATGATGCATCTAATCAACTAACAGTGTTGAACCTTTGTACTGACAGAGCAGGTTGAAACACTTTTTTTTTGGAATCTGCAAGTGGATATTTGGATCGCTTTGAGGATTTCGTTGGAAACGGGATGCAATATAAAACGTACACAGCAGCATACTCAGGAAAATTCTTTGCCATATTTCCATTCAAGTCACAGAGTGGAACATTCCCATTCATAGAGCAGGTTGGAAACACTCTTTTTGGAGTATCTGGAAGTGGACATTTGGAGCGCTTTCTGAACTATGGTGAAAAAGGAAATATCTTCCAATAAAAACAAGACAGAAGCATTCTGAGAAACTTATTTGTGATGTGTGTCCTCAACAAACGGACTTGAACCTTTCGTTTCATGCAGTACTTCTGGAACACTCTTTTTGAAGATTCTGCATGCGGATATTTGGATAGCTTTGAGGATTTCGTTGGAAACGGGCTTACATGTAAAAATTAGACAGCAGCATTCTCAGAAACTTCTTTGTGGTGTCTGCATTCAAGTCACAGAATTGAACTTCCCCTCACATAGAGCAGTTGTGCAGCACTCTATTTGTAGTATCTGGAAGTGGACATTTGGAGGGCTTTGTAGCCTATCTGGAAAAAGGAAATATCTTCCCATGAATGCGAGATAGAAGTAATCTCAGAAACATGTTTATGCTGTATCTACTCAACTAACTGTGCTGAACATTTCTATTGATAGAGCAGTTTTGAGACCCTCTTCTTTTGGAATCTGCAAGTGGATATTTGGATAGATTTGAGGATTTCGTTGGAAACGGGATTATATATAAAAAGTAGACAGCAGCATTCTCAGAAACTTCTTTGTGATGTTTGCATCCAGCTCTCAGAGTTGAACATTCCCTTTCATAGAGTAGGTTTGAAACCCTCTTTTTATAGTGTCTGGAAGCGGGCATTTGGAGCGCTTTCAGGCCTATGCTGAAAAAGGAGATATCTACCTATAGAAACTAGACAGAAGCATTCTGAGAATCACGTTTGTGATGTGGGTACTCAACTAACAGTGTTGATCCATTCTTTTGATACAGCAGTTTTGAACCACACTTTTTGTAGAATCTGCAAGTGGATATTTGGATAGCTGTGAGGATTTCGTTGGAAACGGGAATGTCTTCATAGAAAATTTAGACAGAAGCATTCTCAGAACCTTGATTGTGATGTGTGTTCTCCACTAACAGAGTTGAACCTTTCTTTTGACAGAACTGTTCTGAAACATTCTTTTTATAGAATCTGGAAGTGGATATTTGGAAAGCTTTGAGGATTTCGTTGGAAACGGGAATATCTTCAAATAAAATCTAGCCAGAAGCATTCTAAGAAACATCTTAGGGATGTTTACATTCAAGTCACAGAGTTGAACATTCCCTTTCACAGAGCAGGTTTGAAACAATCTTCTCGTACTATCTGGCAGTGGACATTTTGAGCTCCTTGGGGCCTATGCTGAAAAAGGAAATATCTTCCGACAAAAACTAGACAGAAGCATTCGCAGAATCACGTTTGTGATGTGTGCACTCAACTGTCAGAATTGAACCTTGGTTTGGACAGAGCACTTTTGAAACACTCTTTTTGTAGAATCTGCAGGTGGATATTTGGCTAGCTTTGAGGATTTCGTTGGAAACGGTAATGTCTTCAAAGAAAATCTAGACAGAAACATCCTCAGAAACACCTTCGTGATGTTTGCAATCAAGTCACAGAGTTGAACCTTCCGTTTCATAGAGCAGGTTGGAAACACTCATTTTGTAGTATCTGGAATTGGACATTTGGAGCGCTTTCAGGCCTATGGTGTAAAAGGAAATATCTTCCCATAAAAGCGACATAGAAGCTATCTCAGGAACTTGTTTATGATGCATCTAATCAACTAACAGTGTTGAACCTTTGTACTGACAGAGCAGTTTGAAACACTCTTTTTTTGGAATCTGCAAGTGGATATTTGGATCGCTTTGAGGATTTCGTTGGAAACGGGATGCAATATAAAACGTACACAGCAGCATACTCAGAAAATACTTTGCCATATTTCCATTCAAGTCACAGAGTGGAACATTCCCATTCATAGAGCAGGTTGGAAACACTCTTTTTGGAGTATCTGGAAGTGGACATTTGGAGCGCTTTCTGAACTATGGTGAAAAAGGAAATATCTTCCAATGAAAACAAGACAGAAGCATTCTGAGAAACTTATTTGTGATGTGTGTCCTCAACAAACGGACTTGAACCTTTCGTTTCATGCAGTACTTCTGGAACACTCTTTTTGAAGATTCTGCATGCGGATATTTGGATAGCTTTGAGGATTTCGTTGGAAACGGGCTTACATGTAAAAATTAGACAGCAGCATTCTCAGAAACTTCTTTGTGGTGTCTGCATTCAAGTCACAGAATTGAACTTCCCCTCACATAGAGCAGTTGTGCAGCACTCTATTTGTAGTATCTGGAAGTGGACATTTGGAGGGCTTTGTAGCCTATCTGGAAAAAGGAAATATCTTCCCATGAATGCGAGATAGAAGTAATCTCAGAAACATGTTTATGCTGTATCTACTCAACTAACTGTGCTGAACATTTCTATTGATAGAGCAGTTTTGAGACACTCTTCTTTTGGAATCTGCAAGTGGATATTTGGATAGATTTGAGGATTTCGTTGGAAACGGGATTATATATAAAAAGTAGACAGCAGCATTCTCAGAAACTTCTTTGTGATGTTTGCATCCAGCTCTCAGAGTTGAACATTCCCTTTCATAGAGTAGGTTTGAAACCCTCTTTTTATAGTGTCTGGAAGCGGGCATTTGGAGCGCTTTCAGGCCTATGCTTAAAATAGGAAATATCTACCTACAGAAACTAGACAGAAGCATTCTGAGAATCACGTTTGTGATGTGGGTACCTCAACTAACAGTGTTGATCCATTCTTTTGATACAGCAGTTTTGAACCACACTTTTTGTAGAATCTGCAAGAGGATATTTGGATAGCTGTGAGGATTTCGTTGGAAACGGGAATGTCTTCAAAGAAAATCTAGACAGAAGTATTCTCAGAAACTTCTTTGTGATGTCTGCACTTTATTCACAGAGTTGAACCTTCCTTTCTTTAGAACAGTTTTGAAACACTATTTTTGTAGAATTTGCAAGTGGATGTTTACAAAGCTTTGGGGCCTGTGGTAGAAAAGGAAGTATCTTCATAGAAAAACAACACAGAAGCATTCTCAGAAACTACTTTGTGATGTTTGCATTCAACTCACAGAGGTAAATATTCCTTTCGATAGAGCAGTTTTGAACCACCCTTTTTGTAGGATCTGCAAGTGGATATTTGGATAGCTTTGAGGATTTCGTTGGAAACGGGAATGTCTTCATAGAAAATTTAGACAGAAGCATTCTCAGAACCTTGATTGTGATGTGTGTTCTCCACTAACAGAGTTGAACCTTTCTTTTGACGGAACTGTTTTGAAACATTCTTTTTATAGAATCTGGAAGTGGATATTTGGAAAGCTTTGAGGATTTCGTTGGAAACGGGAATATCTTCATATAAAATCTAGAAAGAAGCATTCTAAGAAACATCTTAGGGATGTTTACATTCAAGTCACAGAGTTGAACATTCCCTTTCACAGAGCAGGTTTGAAACAATCTTCTCATACTATCTGGAAGTGGACATTTTGAGCTCCTTGGGGCCTATGCTGAAAAAGGAAATATCTTCCGACAAAAACTAGACAGAAGCATTCGCAGAATCATGTTTGTGATGTGTGCACTCAACTGTCAGAATTGAACCTTTGTTTGGACAGAGCACTTTTGAAACACTCTTTTTGTAGAATCTGCAGGTGGATATTTGGCTAGCTTTGAGGATTTCGTTGGAAACGGTAATGTCTTCAAAGAAAATCTAGACAGAAGCATTCTCAGTAAACACCTTCGTGATGTTTGCAATCAAGTCACAGAGTTGAACCTTCCGTTTCATAGAGCAGGTTGGAAACACTCTTATTGTAGTATCTGGAAGTGGACATTTGGAGCGCTTTCAGGCCTATGGTGAAAAAGGAAATATCTTCCCATAAAAACGACATAGAAGGTATCTCAGGAACTTGTTTATGATGCATCTAATCAACTAACAGTGTTGAACCTTTGTACTGACAGAGCAGTTTGAAACACTCTTTTTTTGGAATCTGCAAGTGGATATTTGGATCGCTTTGAGGATTTCGTTGGAAACGGGATGCAATATAAAACGTACACAGCAGCATACTCAGAAAATACTTTGCCATATTTCCATTCAAGTCACAGAGTGGAACATTCCCATTCATAGAGCAGGTTGGAAACACTCTTTTTGGAGTATCTGGAAGTGGACATTTGGAGCGCTTTCTGAACTATGGTGAAAAAGGAAATATCTTCCAATGAAAACAAGACAGAAGCATTCTGAGAAACTTATTTGTGATGTGTGTCCTCAACAAACGGACTTGAACCTTTCGTTTCATGCAGTACTTCTGGAACACTCTTTTTGAAGATTCTGCATGCGGATATTTGGATAGCTTTGAGGATTTCGTTGGAAACGGGCTTACATGTAAAAATTAGACAGCAGCATTCTCAGAAACTTCTTTGTGGTGTCTGCATTCAAGTCACAGAATTGAACTTCCCCTCACATAGAGCAGTTGTGCAGCACTCTATTTGTAGTATCTGGAAGTGGACATTTGGAGGGCTTTGTAGCCTATCTGGAAAAAGGAAATATCTTCCCATGAATGCGAGATAGAAGTAATCTCAGAAACATGTTTATGCTGTATCTACTCAACTAACTGTGCTGAACATTTCTATTGATAGAGCAGTTTTGAGACACTCTTCTTTTGGAATCTGCAAGTGGATATTTGGATAGATTTGAGGATTTCGTTGGAAACGGGATTATATATCAAAAGTAGACAGCAGCATTCTCAGAAACTTCTTTGTGATGTTTGCATCCAGCTCTCAGAGTTGAACATTCCCTTTCATAGAGTAGGTTTGAAACCCTCTTTTTATAGTGTCTGGAAGCGGGCATTTGGAGCGCTTTCAGGCCTATGCTTAAAATAGGAAATATCTACCTACAGAAACTAGACAGAAGCATTCTGAGAATCACGTTTGTGATGTGGGTACTCAACTAACAGTGTTGATCCATTCTTTTGATACAGCAGTTTTGAACCACACTTTTTGTAGAATCTGCAAGAGGATATTTGGATAGCTGTGAGGATTTCGTTGGAAACGGGAATGTCTTCAAAGAAAATCTAGACAGAAGCATTCTGAGGAACACCTTCGTGATGTTTGCAATCAAGTCACAGAGTTGAACCTTCCGTTTCATAGAGCAGGTTGGAAACACTCTTATTGTAGTATCTGGAAGTGGACATTTGGAGCGCTTTCAGGCCTATGGTGAAAAAGGAAATATCTTCCCATAAAAACGACATAGAAGCTGTCTCAGGAACTTGTTTATGATGCATCTAATCAACTAACAGTGTTGAACCTTTGTACTGACAGAGCAGTTTGAAACACTCTTTTTTTGGAATCTGCAAGTGGATATTTGGATCGCTTTGAGGATTTCGTTGGAAACGGGATGCAATATAAAACGTACACAGCAGCATACTCAGAAAATACTTTGCCATATTTCCATTCAAGTCACAGAGTGGAACATTCCCATTCATAGAGCAGGTTGGAAACACTCTTTTTGGAGTATCTGGAAGTGGACATTTGGAGCGCTTTCTGAACTATGGTGAAAAAGGAAATATCTTCCAATGAAAACAAGACAGAAGCATTCTGAGAAACTTATTTGTGATGTGTGTCCTCAACAAACGGACTTGAACCTTTCGTTTCATGCAGTACTTCTGGAACACTCTTTTTGAAGATTCTGCATGCGGATATTTGGATAGCTTTGAGGATTTCGTTGGAAACGGGCTTACATGTAAAAATTAGACAGCAGCATTCTCAGAAACTTCTTTGTGGTGTCTGCATTCAAGTCACAGAATTGAACTTCCCCTCACATAGAGCAGTTGTGCAGCACTCTATTTGTAGTATCTGGAAGTGGACATTTGGAGGGCTTTGTAGCCTATCTGGAAAAAGGAAATATCTTCCCATGAATGCGAGATAGAAGTAATCTCAGAAACATGTTTATGCTGTATCTTCTCAACTAACTGTGCTGAACATTTCTATTGATAGAGCAGTTTTGAGACACTCTTCTTTTGGAATCTGCAAGTGGATATTTGGATAGATTTGAGGATTTCGTTGGAAACGGGATTATATATCAAAAGTAGACAGCAGCATTCTCAGAAACTTCTTTGTGATGTTTGCATCCAGCTCTCAGAGTTGAACATTCCCTTTCATAGAGTAGGTTTGAAACCCTCTTTTTATAGTGTCTGGAAGCGGGCATTTGGAGCGCTTTCAGGCCTATGCTTAAAATAGGAAATATCTACCTACAGAAACTAGACAGAAGCATTCTGAGAATCACGTTTGTGATGTGGGTACTCAACTAACAGTGTTGATCCATTCTTTTGATACAGCAGTTTTGAACCACACTTTTTGTAGAATCTGCAAGAGGATATTTGGATAGCTGTGAGGATTTCGTTGGAAACGGGAATGTCTTCAAAGAAAATCTAGACAGAAGCATTCTCAGAAACACCTTCGTGATGTTTGCAATCAAGTCACAGAGTTGAACCTTCCGTTTCATAGAGCAGGTTGGAAACACTCTTATTGTAGTATCTGGAAGTGGACATTTGGAGCGCTTTCAGGCCTATGGTGAAAAAGGAAATATCTTCCCATAAAAACGACATAGAAGCTATCTCAGGAACTTGTTTATGATGCATCTAATCAACTAACAGTGTTGAACCTTTGTACTGACAGAGCAGTTTGAAACACTCTTTTTTTGGAATCTGCAAGTGGATATTTGGATCGCTTTGAGGATTTCGTTGGAAACGGGATGCAATATAAAACGTACACAGCAGCATACTCAGAAAATACTTTGCCATATTTCCATTCAAGTCACAGAGTGGAACATTCCCATTCATAGAGCAGGTTGGAAACACTCTTTTTGGAGTATCTGGAAGTGGACATTTGGAGCGCTTTCTGAACTATGGTGAAAAAGGAAATATCTTCCAATGAAAACAAGACAGAAGCATTCTGAGAAACTTATTTGTGATGTGTGTCCTCAACAAACGGACTTGAACCTTTCGTTTCATGCAGTACTTCTGGAACACTCTTTTTGAAGATTCTGCATGCGGATATTTGGATAGCTTTGAGGATTTCGTTGGAAACGGGCTTACATGTAAAAATTAGACAGCAGCATTCTCAGAAACTTCTTTGTGGTGTCTGCATTCAAGTCACAGAATTGAACTTCCCCTCACATAGAGCAGTTGTGCAGCACTCTATTTGTAGTATCTCGAAGTGGACATTTGGAGGGCTTTGTAGCCTATCTGGAAAAAGGAAATATCTTCCCATGAATGCGAGATAGAAGTAATCTCAGAAACATGTTTATGCTGTATCTTCTCAACTAACTGTGCTGAACATTTCTATTGATAGAGCAGTTTTGAGACACTCTTCTTTTGGAATCTGCAAGTGGATATTTGGATAGATTTGAGGATTTCGTTGGAAACGGGATTATATATCAAAAGTAGACAGCAGCATTCTCAGAAACTTCTTTGTGATGTTTGCATCCAGCTCTCAGAGTTGAACATTCCCTTTCATAGAGTAGGTTTGAAACCCTCTTTTTATAGTGTCTGGAAGCGGGCATTTGGAGCGCTTTCAGGCCTATGCTGAAAAAGGAAATATCTACCTATAGAAACTAGACAGAAGCATTCTGAGAATCACGTTTGTGATGTGGGTACTCAACTAACAGTGTTGATCCATTCTTTTGATACAGCAGTTTTGAACCACACTTTTTGTAGAATCTGCAAGTGGATATTTGGATAGCTGTGAGGATTTCGTTGGAAACGGGAATGTCTTCATAGAAAATTTAGACAGAAGCATTCTCAGAACCTTGATTGTGATGTGTGTTCTCCACTAACAGAGTTGAACCTTTCTTTTGACAGAACTGTTCTGAAACATTCTTTTTATAGAATCTGGAAGTGGATATTTGGAAAGCTTTGAGGATTTCGTTGGAAACGGGAATATCTTCAAATAAAATCTAGCCAGAAGCATTCTAAGAAACATCTTAGGGATGTTTACATTCAAGTCACAGAGTTGAACATTCCCTTTCACAGAGCAGGTTTGAAACAATCTTCTCGTACTATCTGGCAGTGGACATTTTGAGCTCCTTGGGGCCTATGCTGAAAAAGGAAATATCTTCCGACAAAAACTAGACAGAAGCATTCGCAGAATCACGTTTGTGATGTGTGCACTCAATTGTCAGAATTGAACCTTGGTTTGGACAGAGCACTTTTGAAACACTCTTTTTGTAGAATCTGCAGGTGGATATTTGGCTAGCTTTGAGGATTTCGTTGGAAACGGTAATGTCTTCAAAGAAAATCTAGACAGAAGCATTCTCAGAAACACCTTCGTGATGTTTGCAATCAAGTCACAGAGTTGAACCTTCCGTTTCATAGAGCAGGTTGGAAACACTCTTTTTGTAGTATCTGGAAGTGGACATTTGGAGGGCTTTGTAGCCTATGTGGAAAAAGGAAATATCTTCCCATGAATGCGAGATAGAAGTAATCTCAGAAACATGTTTATGCTGTATCTACTCAACTAACTGTGCTGAACATTTCTATTGATAGAGCAGTTTTGAGACACTCTTCTTTTGGAATCTGCAAGTGGATATTTGGAGAGATTTGAGGATTTCGTTGGAAACGGGATTATATATAAAAAGTAGACAGCAGCATTCTCAGAAACTTCTTTGTGATGTTTGCATCCAGCTCTCAGAGTTGAACATTCCCTTTCATAGAGTAGGTTTGAAACCCTCTTTTTATAGTGTCTGGAAGCGGGCATTTGGAGCGCTTTCAGACCTATGCTTAAAATAGGAAATATCTACCTACAGAAACTAGACAGAAGCATTCTGAGAATCTCGTTTGTGATGTGGGTACTCAACTAACAGTGTTGATCCATTCTTTTGATACAGCAGTTTTGAACCACACTTTTTGTAGAATCTGCAAGAGGATATTTGGATAGCTGTGAGGATTTCGTTGGAAACGGGAATGTCTTCAAAGAAAATCTAGACAGAAACATTCTCAGAAACACCTTCGTGATGTTTGCAATCAAGTCACAGAGTTGAACCTTCCGTTTCATAGAGCAGGTTGGAAACACTCTTATTGTAGTATCTGGAAGTGGACATTTGGAGCGCTTTCAGGCCTATGGTGAAAAAGGAAATATCTTCCCATAAAAACGACATAGAAGCTATCTCAGGAACTTGTTTATGATGCATCTAATCAACTAACAGTGTTGAACCTTTGTACTGACAGAGCACTTTGAAACACTCTTTTTTTGGAATCTGCAAGTGGATATTTGGATCGCTTTGAGGATTTCGTTGGAAACGGGATGCAATATAAAACGTACACAGCAGCATACTCAGAAAATACTTTGCCATATTTCCATTCAAGTCACAGAGTGGAACATTCCCATTCATAGAGCAGGTTGGAAACACTCTTTTTGGAGTATCTGGAAGTGGACATTTGGAGCGCTTTCTGAACTATGGTGAAAAAGGAAATATCTTCCAATGAAAACAAGACAGAAGCATTCTGAGAAACTTATTTGTGATGTGTGTCCTCAACAAACGGACTTGAACCTTTCGTTTCATGCAGTACTTCTGGAACACTCTTTTTGAAGATTCTGCATGCGGATATTTGGATAGCTTTGAGGATTTCGTTGGAAACGGGCTTACATGTAAAAATTAGACAGCAGCATTCTCAGAAACTTCTTTGTGGTGTCTGCATTCAAGTCACAGAATTGAACTTCCCCTCACATAGAGCAGTTGTGCAGCACTCTATTTGTAGTATCTGGAAGTGGACATTTGGAGGGCTTTGTAGCCTATCTGGAAAAAGGAAATATCTTCCCATGAATGCGAGATAGAAGTAATCTCAGAAACGTGTTTATGCTGTATCTACTCAACTAACTGTGCTGAACATTTCTATTGATAGAGCAGTTTTGAGACACTCTTCTTTTGGAATCTGCAAGTGGATATTTGGATAGATTTGAGGATTTCGTTGGAAACGGGATTATATATAAAAAGTAGACAGCAGCATTCTCAGAAACTTCTTTGTGATGTTTGCATCCAGCTCTCCGAGTTGAACATTCCCTTTCATAGAGTAGGTTTGAAACCCTCTTTTTATAGTGTCTGGAAGCGGGTATTTGGAGCGCTTTCAGGCCTATGCTTAAAATAGGAAATATCTACCTACAGAAACTAGACAGAAGCATTCTGAGAATCACGTTTGTGATGTGGGTACTCAACTAACAGTGTTGATCCATTCTTTTGATACAGCAGTTTTGAACCACACTTTTTGTAGAATCTGCAAGAGGATATTTGGATAGCTGTGAGGATTTCGTTGGAAACGGGAATGTCTTCAAAGAAAATCTAGACAGAAGCATTCTCAGAAACACCTTCGTGATGTTTGCAATCAAGTCACAGAGTTGAACCTTCCGTTTCATAGAGCAGGTTGGAAACACTCTTATTGTAGTATCTGGAAGTGGACATTTGGAGCGCTTTCAGGCCTATGGTGAAAAAGGAAATATCTTCCCATAAAAACGACATAGAAGCTATCTCAGGAACTTGTTTATGATGCATCTAATCAACTAACAGTGTTGAACCTTTGTACTGACAGAGCACTTTGAAACACTCTTTTTTTGGAATCTGCAAGTGGATATTTGGATCGCTTTGAGGATTTCGTTGGAAACGGGATGCAATATAAAACGTACACAGCAGCATACTCAGAAAATACTTTGCCATATTTCCATTCAAGTCACAGAGTGGAACATTCCCATTCATAGAGCAGGTTGGAAACACTCTTTTTGGAGTATCTGGAAGTGGACATTTGGAGCGCTTTCTGAACTATGGTGAAAAAGGAAATATCTTCCAATGAAAACAAGACAGAAGCATTCTGAGAAACTTATTTGTGATGTGTGTCCTCAACAAACGGACTTGAACCTTTCGTTTCATGCAGTACTTCTGGAACACTCTTTTTGAAGATTCTGCATGCGGATATTTGGATAGCTTTGAGGATTTCGTTGGAAACGGGCTTACATGTAAAAATTAGACAGCAGCATTCTCAGAAACTTCTTTGTGGTGTCTGCATTCAAGTCACAGAATTGAACATCCCCTCACATAGAGCAGTTGTGCAGCACTCTATTTGTAGTATCTGGAAGTGGACATTTGGAGGGCTTTGTAGCCTATGTGGAAAAAGGAAATATCTTCCCATGAATGCGAGATAGAAGTAATCTCAGAAACATGTTTATGCTGTATCTACTCAACTAACTGTGCTGAACATTTCTATTGATAGAGCAGTTTTGAGACACTCTTCTTTTGGAATCTGCAAGTGGATATTTGGATAGATTTGAGGATTTCGTTGGAAACGGGATTATATATAAAAAGTAGACAGCAGCATTCTCAGAAACTTCTTTGTGATGTTTGCATCCAGCTCTCAGAGTTGAACATTCCCTTTCATAGAGTAGGTTTGAAACCCTCTTTTTATAGTGTCTGGAAGCGGGCATTTGGAGCGCTTTCAGGCCTATGCTGAAAAAGGAAATATCTACCTATAGAAACTAGACAGAAGCATTCTGAGAATCACGTTTGTGATGTGGGTACTCAACTAACAGTGTTGATCCATTCTTTTGATACAGCAGTTTTGAACCACACTTTTTGTAGAATCTGCAAGTGGATATTTGGATAGCTGTGAGGATTTCGTTGGAAACGGGAATGTCTTCATAGAAAATTTAGACAGAAGCATTCTCAGAACCTTGATTGTGATGTGTGTTCTCCACTAACAGAGTTGAACCTTTCTTTTGACAGAACTGTTCTGAAACATTCTTTTTATAGAATCTGGAAGTGGATATTTGGAAAGCTTTGAGGATTTCGTTGGAAACGGGAATATCTTCAAATAAAATCTAGCCAGAAGCATTCTAAGAAACATCTTAGGGATGTTTACATTCAAGTCACAGAGTTGAACATTCCCTTTCACAGAGCAGGTTTGAAACAATCTTCTCGTACTATCTGGCAGTGGACATTTTGAGCTCCTTGGGGCCTATGCTGAAAAAGGAAATATCTTCCGACAAAAACTAGACAGAAGCATTCGCAGAATCACGTTTGTGATGTGTGCACTCAACTGTCAGAATTGAACCTTGGTTTGGACAGAGCACTTTTGAAACACTCTTTTTGTAGAATCTGCAGGTGGATATTTGGCTAGCTTTGAGGATTTCGTTGGAAACGGTAATGTCTTCAAAGAAAATCTAGACAGAAGCATTCTCAGAAACACCTTCGTGATGTTTGCAATCAAGTCACAGAGTTGAACCTTCCGTTTCATAGAGCAGGTTGGAAACACTCTTTTTGTAGTATCTGGAAGTGGACATTTGGAGGGCTTTGTAGCCTATCTGGAAAAAGGAAATATCTTCCCATGAATGCGAGATAGAAGTAATCTCAGAAACATGTTTATGCTGTATCTACTCAACTAACTGTGCTGAACATTTCTATTGATAGAGCAGTTTTGAGATACTCTTCTTTTGGAATCTGCAAGTGGATATTTGGAAAGATTTGAGGATTTCGTTGGCAATGGGATTATATATAAAAAGTAGACAGCAGCATTCTCAGTAAACTTCTTTGTGATGTTTGCATCCAGCTCTCAGAGTTGAACATTCCCTTTCATAGAGTAGGTTTGAAACCCTCTTTTTATAGTGTCTGCAAGCGGGCATTTGGAGCGCTTTCAGGCCTATGCTTAAAATAGGAAATATCTACCTACAGAAACTAGACAGAAGCATTCTGAGAATCACGTTTGTGATGTGGGTACTCAACTAACAGTGTTGATCCATTCTTTTGATACAGCAGTTTTGAACCACACTTTTTGTAGAATCTGCAAGAGGATATTTGGATAGCTGTGAGGATTTCGTTGGAAACGGGAATGTCTTCAAAGAAAATCTAGACAGAAGCATTCTCAGAAACACCTTCGTGATGTTTGCAATCAAGTCACAGAGTTGAACCTTCCGTTTCATAGAGCAGGTTGGAAACACTCTTTTTGTAGTATCTGGAAGTGGACATTTGGAGCGCTTTCAGGCCTATGGTGAAAAAGGAAATATCTTCCCATAAAAACGACATAGAAGCTATCTCAGGAACTTGTTTATGATGCATCTAATCAACTAACAGTGTTGAACCTTTGTACTGACAGAGCACTTTGAAACACTCTTTTTTTGGAATCTGCAAGTGGATATTTGGATCGCTTTGAGGATTTCGTTGGAAACGGGATGCAATATAAAACGTACACAGCAGCATACTCAGAAAATACTTTGCCATATTTCCATTCAAGTCACAGAGTGGAACATTCCCATTCATAGAGCAGGTTTGAAACACTCTTTTTGGAGTATCTGGAAGTGGACATTTGGAGCGCTTTCTGAACTATGGTGAAAAAGGAAATAACTTCCAATGAAAACAAGACAGAAGCATTCTGAGAAACTTATTTGTGATGTGTGTCCTCAACAAACGGACTTGAACCTTTCGTTTCATGCAGTACTTCTGGAACACTCTTTTTGAAGATTCTGCATGCGGATATTTGGATAGCTTTGAGGATTTCGTTGGAAACGGGCTTACATGTAAAAATTAGACAGCAGCATTCTCAGAAACTTCTTTGTGGTGTCTGCATTCAAGTCACAGAATTGAACTTCCCCTCACATAGAGCAGTTGTGCAGCACTCTATTTGTACTATCTGGAAGTGGACATTTGGAGGGCTTTGTAGCCTATCTGGAAAAAGGAAATATCTTCCCATGAATGCGAGATAGAAGTAATCTCAGAAACATGTTTATGCTGTATCTACTCAACTAACTGTGCTGAACATTTCTATTGATAGAGCAGTTTTGAGACACTCTTCTTTTGGAATCTGCAAGTGGATATTTGGATAGATTTGAGGATTTCGTTGGAAACGGGATTATATATAAAAAGTAGACAGCAGCATTCTCAGAAACTTCTTTGTGATGTTTGCATCCAGCTCTCAGAGTTGAACATTCCCTTTCATAGAGTAGGTTTGAAACCCTCTTTTTATAGTGTCTGGAAGCGGGCATTTGGAGCGCTTTCAGGCCTATGCTGAAAAAGGAAATATCTACCTATAGAAACTAGACAGAAGCATTCTGAGAATCACGTTTGTGATGTGGGTACTCAACTAACAGTGTTGATCCATTCTTTTGATACAGCAGTTTTGAACCACACTTTTTGTAGAATCTGCAAGTGGATATTTGGATAGCTGTGAGGATTTCGTTGGAAACGGGAATGTCTTCATAGAAAATTTAGACAGAAGCATTCTCAGAACCTTGATTGTGATGTGTGTTCTCCACTAACAGAGTTGAACCTTTCTTTTGACAGAACTGTTCTGAAACATTCTTTTTATAGAATCTGGAAGTGGATATTTGGAAAGCTTTGAGGATTTCGTTGGAAACGGGAATATCTTCAAATAAAATCTAGCCAGAAGCATTCTAAGAAACATCTTAGGGATGTTTACATTCAAGTCACAGAGTTGAACATTCCCTTTCACAGAGCAGGTTTGAAACAATCTTCTCGTACTATCTGGCAGTGGACATTTTGAGCTCCTTGGGGCCTATGCTGAAAAAGGAAATATCTTCCGACAAAAACTAGACAGAAGCATTCGCAGAATCACGTTTGTGATGTGTGCACTCAACTGTCAGAATTGAACCTTGGTTTGGACAGAGCACTTTTGAAACACTCTTTTTGTAGAATCTGCAGGTGGATATTTGGCTAGCTTTGAGGATTTCGTTGGAAACGGTAATGTCTTCAAAGAAAATCTAGACAGAAGCATTCTCAGAAACACCTTCGTGATGTTTGCAATCAAGTCACAGAGTTGAACCTTCCGTTTCATAGAGCAGGTTGGAAACACTCTTTTTGTAGTATCTGGAAGTGGACATTTGGAGGGCTTTGTAGCCTATGTGGAAAAAGGAAATATCTTCCCATGAATGCGAGATAGAAGTAATCTCAGAAACATGTTTATGCTGTATCTACTCAACTAACTGTGCTGAACATTTCTATTGATAGAGCAGTTTTGAGACACTCTTCTTTTGGAATCTGCAAGTGGATATTTGGATAGATTTGAGGATTTCGTTGGAAACGGGATTATATATCAAAAGTAGACAGCAGCATTCTCAGAAACTTCTTTGTGATGTTTGCATCCAGCTCTCAGAGTTGAACATTCCCTTTCATAGAGTAGGTTTGAAACCCTCTTTTTATAGTGTCTGGAAGCGGGCATTTGGAGCGCTTTCAGGCCTATGCTGAAAAAGGAAATATCTACCTATAGAAACTAGACAGAAGCATTCTGAGAATCACGTTTGTGATGTGGGTACTCAACTAACAGTGTTGATCCATTCTTTTGATACAGCAGTTTTGAACCACACTTTTTGTAGAATCTGCAAGTGGATATTTGGATAGCTGTGAGGATTTCGTTGGAAACGGGAATGTCTTCATAGAAAATTTAGACAGAAGCATTCTCAGAACCTTGATTGTGATGTGTGTTCTCCACTAACAGAGTTGAACCTTTCTTTTGACAGAACTGTTCTGAAACATTCTTTTTATAGAATCTGAAAGTGGATATTTGGAAAGCTTTGAGGATTTCGTTGGAAACGGGAATATCTTCAAATCAAATCTAGCCAGAAGCATTCTAAGAAACATCTTAGGGATGTTTACATTCAAGTCACAGAGTTGAACATTCCCTTTCACAGAGCAGGTTTGAAACAATCTTCTCGTACTATCTGGAAGTGGACATTTTGAGCTCCTTGGGGCCTATGGTGAAAAAGGAAATATCTTCCGACAAAAACTAGACAGAGAGCATTCGCAGAATCACGTTTGTGATGTGTGCACTCAACTGTCACAATTGAACCTTGGTTTGGACAGAGCACTTTTGAAACACTCTTTTTGTAGAATCTGCAGGTGGATATTTGGCTAGCTTTGAGGATTTCGTTGGAAACGGTAATGTCTTCAAAGAAAATCTAGACAGAGCATTCTCAGAAACACCTTCGTGATGTTTGCAATCAAGTCACAGAGTTGAACCTTCCGTTTCATAGAGCAGGTTGGAAACACTCTTTTTGTAGTATCTGGAAGTGGACATTTGGAGGGCTTTGTAGCCTATCTGGAAAAAGGAAATATCTTCCCATGAATGCGAGATAGAAGTAATCTCAGAAACATGTTTATGCTGTATCTACTCAACTAACTGTGCTGAACATTTCTATTGATAGAGCAGTTTTGAGACACTCTTCTTTTGGAATCTGCAAGTGGATATTTGGATAGATTTGAGGATTTCGTTGGAAACGGGATTATATATCAAAAGTAGACAGCAGCATTCTCAGAAACTTCTTTGTGATGTTTGCATCCAGCTCTCAGAGTTGAACATTCCCTTTCATAGAGTAGGTTTGAAACCCTCTTTTTATAGTGTCTGGAAGCGGGCATTTTGAGCGCTTTCGGGCCTATGCTGAAAAAGGAAATATCTACCTATAGAAACTAGACAGAAGCATTCTGAGAATCACGTTTGTGATGTGGGTACTCAACTAACAGTGTTGATCCATTCTTTTGATACAGCAGTTTTGAACCACACTTTTTGTAGAATCTGCAAGTGGATATTTGGATAGCTGTGAGGATTTCGTTGGAAACGGGAATGTCTTCATAGAAAATTTAGACAGAAGCATTCTCAGAACCTTGATTGTGATGTGTGTTCTCCACTAACAGCAGTTGAACCTTTCTTTTGACAGAACTGTTCTGAAACATTCTTTTTATAGAATCTGGAAGTGGATATTTGGAAAGCTTTGAGGATTTCGTTGGAAACGGGAATATCTTCAAATCAAATCTAGCCAGAAGCATTCTAAGAAACATCTTAGGGATGTTTACATTCAAGTCACAGAGTTGAACATTCCCTTTCACAGAGCAGGTTTGAAACAATCTTCTCGTACTATCTGGCAGTGGACATTTTGAGCTCCTTGGGGCCTATGCTGAAAAAGGAAATATCTTCCGACAAAAACTAGACAGAAGCATTCGCAGAATCACGTTTGTGATGTGTGCACTCAACTGTCAGAATTGAACCTCGGTTTGGACAGAGCACTTTTGAAACACTCTTTTTGTAGAATCTGCAGGTGGATATTTGGCTAGCTTTGAGGATTTCGTTGGAAACGGTAATGTCTTCAAAGAAAATCTAGACAGAAGCATTCTCAGAAACACCTTCGTGATGTTTGCAATCAAGTCACAGAGTTGAACCTTCCGTTTCATAGAGCAGGTTGGAAACACTCTTTTTGTAGTATCTGGAAGTGGACATTTGGAGGGCTTTGTAGCCTATGTGGAAAAAGGAAATATCTTCCCATGAATGCGAGATAGAAGTAATCTCAGAAACATGTTTATGCTGTATCTACTCAACTAACTGTGCTGAACATTTCTATTGATAGAGCAGTTTTGAGACACTCTTCTTTTGGAATCTGCAAGTGGATATTTGGATAGATTTGAGGATTTTGTTGGAAACGGGATTATATATCAAAAGTAGACAGCCAGCATTCTCAGAAACTTCTTTGTGATGTTTGCATCCAGCTCTCAGAGTTGAACATTCCCTTTCATAGAGTAGGTTTGAAACCCTCTTTTTATAGTGTCTGGAAGCGGGCATTTGGAGCGCTTTCAGGCCTATGCTTAAAATAGGAAATATCTACCTACAGAAACTAGACAGAGCATTCTGAGAATCACGTTTGTGATGTGGGTACTCAACTAACAGTGTTGATCCATTCTTTTGATACAGCAGTTTTGAACCACACTTTTTGTAGAATCTGCAAGTGGATATTTGGATAGCTGTGAGGATTTCGTTGGAAACGGGAATGTCTTCATAGAAAATTTAGACAGAAGCATTCTCAGAACCTTGATTGTGATGTGTGTTCTCCACTAACAGAGTTGAACCTTTCTTTTGACAGAACTGTTCTGAAACATTCTTTTTATAGAATCTGGAAGTGGATATTTGGAAAGCTTTGAGGATTTCGTTGGAAACGGGAATATCTTCAAATCAAATCTAGCCAGAAGCATTCTAAGAAACATCTTAGGGATGTTTACATTCAAGTCACAGAGTTGAACATTCCCTTTCACAGAGCAGGTTTGAAACAATCTTCTCGTACTATCTGGCAGTGGACATTTTGAGCTCCTTGGGGCCTATGCTGAAATAGGAAATATCTTCCGACAAAAACTAGACAGAAGCATTCGCAGAATCACGTTTGTGATGTGTGCACTCAACTGTCAGAATTGAACCTTGGTTTGGACAGAGCACTTTTGAAACACTCTTTTTGTAGAATCTGCAGGTGGATATTTGGCTAGCTTTGAGGATTTCGTTGGAAACGGTAATGTCTTCAAAGAAAATCTAGACAGAAAGCATTCTCAGAAACACCTTCGTGATGTTTGCAATCAAGTCACAGAGTTGAACCTTCCGTTTCATAGAGCAGGTTGGAAACACTCTTTTTGTAGTATCTGGAAGTGGACATTTGGAGGGCTTTGTAGCCTATCTGGAAAAAGGAAATATCTTCCCATGAATGCGAGATAGAGTAATCTCAGAAACATGTTTATGCTGTATCTACTCAACTAACTGTGCTGAACATTTCTATTGATAGAGCAGTTTTGAGACACTCTTCTTTTGGAATCTGCAAGTGGATATTTGGATAGATTTGAGGATTTCGTTGGAAACGGGATTATATATAAAAAGTAGACAGCAGCATTCTCAGAAACTTCTTTGTGATGTTTGCATCCAGCTCTCAGAGTTGAACATTCCCTTTCATAGAGTAGGTTTGAAACCCTCTTTTTATAGTGTCTGGAAGCGGGCATTTGGAGCGCTTTCAGGCCTATGCTGAAAAAGGAAATATCTACCTATAGAAACTAGACAGAAGCATTCTGAGAATCACGTTTGTGATGTGGGTACTCAACTAACAGTGTTGATCCATTCTTTTGATACAGCAGTTTTGAACCACACTTTTTGTAGAATCTGCAAGTGGATATTTGGATAGCTGTGAGGATTTCGTTGGAAACGGGAATGTCTTCATAGAAAATTTAGACAGAAGCATTCTCAGAACCTTGATTGTGATGTGTGTTCTCCACTAACAGAGTTGAACCTTTCTTTTGACAGAACTGTTCTGAAACATTCTTTTTATAGAATCTGGAAGTGGATATTTGGAAAGCTTTGAGGATTTCGTTGGAAACGGGAATATCTTCAAATCAAATCTAGCCAGAAGCATTCTAAGAAACATCTTAGGGATGTTTACATTCAAGTCACAGAGTTGAACATTCCCTTTCACAGAGCAGGTTTGAAACAATCTTCTCGTACTATCTGGCAGTGGACATTTTGAGCTCCTTGGGGCCTATGCTGAAAAAGGAAATATCTTCCGACAAAAACTAGACAGAAGCATTCGCAGAATCACGTTTGTGATGTGTGCACTCAACTGTCAGAATTGAACCTTGGTTTGGACAGAGCACTTTTGAAACACTCTTTTTGTAGAATCTGCAGGTGGATATTTGGCTAGCTTTGAGGATTTCGTTGGAAACGGTAATGTCTTCAAAGAAAATCTAGACAGAAGCATTCTCAGAAACACCTTCGTGATGTTTGCAATCAAGTCACAGAGTTGAACCTTCCGTTTCATAGAGCAGGTTGGAAACACACTTTTTGTAGTATCTGGAAGTGGACATTTGGAGGGCTTTGTAGCCTATGTGGAAAAAGGAAATATCTTCCCATGAATGCGAGATAGAAGCTACCTCAGGAACTTGTTTATGATGCATCTAATCAACTAACAGTGTTGAACCTTTGTACTGACAGAGCAGTTTGAAACACTCTTTTTTTGGAATCTGCAAGTGGATATTTGGATCACTTTGAGGATTTCGTTGGAAACGGGATGCAATATAAAACGTACACAGCAGCATACTCAGAAAATACTTTGCCATATTTCCATTCAAGTCACAGAGTGGAACATTCCCATTCATAGAGCAGGTTGGAAACACTCTTTTTGGAGTATCTGGAAGTGGACATTTGGAGCGCTTTCTGAACTATGGTGAAAAAGGAAATATCTTCCAATGAAAACAAGACAGAAGCATTCTGAGAAACTTATTTGTGATGTGTGTCCTCAACAAACGGACTTGAACCTTTCGTTTCATGCAGTACTTCTGGAACACTCTTTTTGAAGATTCTGCATGCGGATATTTGGATAGCTTTGAGGATTTCGTTGGAAACGGGCTTACATGTAAAAATTAGACAGCAGCATTCTCAGAAACTTCTTTGTGGTGTCTGCATTCAAGTCACAGAATTGAACTTCCCCTCACATAGAGCAGTTGTGCAGCACTCTATTTGTAGTATCTGGAAGTGGACATTTGGAGGGCTTTGTAGCCTATCTGGAAAAAGGAAATATCTTCCCATGAATGCGAGATAGAAGTAATCTCAGAAACATGTTTATGCTGTATCTACTCAACTAACTGTGCTGAACATTTCTATTGATAGAGCAGTTTTGAGACCCTCTTCTTTTGGAATCTGCAAGTGGATATTTGGATAGATTTGAGGATTTCGTTGGAAACGGGATTATATATAAAAAGTAGACAGCAGCATTCTCAGAAACTTCTTTGTGATGTTTGCATCCAGCTCTCAGAGTTGAACATTCCCTTTCATAGAGTAGGTTTGAAACCCTCTTTTTATAGTGTCTGGAAGCGGGCATTTGGAGCGCTTTCAGGCCTATGCTGAAAAAGGAGATATCTACCTATAGAAACTAGACAGAAGCATTCTGAGAATCACGTTTGTGATGTGGGTACTCAACTAACAGTGTTGATCCATTCTTTTGATACAGCAGTTTTGAACCACACTTTTTGTAGAATCTGCAAGTGGATATTTGGATAGCTGTGAGGATTTCGTTGGAAACGGGAATGTCTTCATAGAAAATTTAGAGAGAAGCATTCTCAGAACCTTGATTGTGATGTGTGTTCTCCACTAACAGAGTTGAACCTTTCTTTTGACAGAACTGTTCTGAAACATTCTTTTTATAGAATCTGGAAGTGGATATTTGGAAAGCTTTGAGGATTTCGTTGGAAACGGGAATATCTTCAAATAAAATCTAGCCAGAAGCATTCTAAGAAACATCTTAGGGATGTTTACATTCAAGTCACAGAGTTGAACATTCCCTTTCACAGAGCAGGTTTGAAACAATCTTCTCGTACTATCTGGCAGTGGACATTTTGAGCTCTTTGGGGCCTATGCTGAAAAAGGAAATATCTTCCGACAAAAACTAGTCAGAAGCATTCGCAGAATCACGTTTGTGATGTGTGCACTCAACTGTCAGAATTGAACCTTGGTTTGGACAGAGCACTTTTGAAACACTCTTTTTGTAGAATCTGCAGGTGGATATTTGGCTAGCTTTGAGGATTTCGTTGGAAACGGTAATGTCTTCAAAGAAAATCTAGACAGAAGCATTCTCAGAAACACCTTCGTGATGTTTGCAATCAAGTCACAGAGTTGAACCTTCCGTTTCATAGAGCAGGTTGGAAACACTCTTTGTAGTATCTGGAAGTGGACATTTGGAGGGCTTTGTAGCCTATCTGGAAAAAGGAAATATCTTCCCATGAATGCGAGATAGAAGTAATCTCAGAAACATGTTTATGCTGTATCTACTCAACTAACTGTGCTGAACATTTCTATTGATAGAGCAGTTTTGAGACACTCTTCTTTTGGAATCTGCAAGTGGATATTTGGATAGATTTGAGGATTTCGTTGGAAACGGGATTATATATCAAAAGTAGACAGCAGCATTCTCAGAAACTTCTTTGTGATGTTTGCATCCAGCTCTCAGAGTTGAACATTCCCTTTCATAGAGTAGGTTTGAAACCCTCTTTTTATAGTGTCTGGAAGCGGGCATTTGGAGCGCTTTCAGGCCTATGCTGAAAAAGGAAATATCTACCTATAGAAACTAGACAGAAGCATTCTGAGAATCACGTTTGTGATGTGGGTACTCAACTAACAGTGTTGATCCATTCTTTTGATACAGCAGTTTTGAACCACACTTTTTGTAGAATCTGGAAGTGGATATTTGGAAAGCTTTGAGGATTTCGTTGGAAACGGGAATATCTTCAAATAAAATCTAGCCAGAAGCATTCTAAGAAACATCTTAGGGATGTTTACATTCAAGTCACAGAGTTGAACATTCCCTTTCACAGAGCAGGTTTGAAACAATCTTCTCGTACTATCTGGCAGTGGACATTTTGAGCTCCTTGGGGCCTATGCTGAAAAAGGAAATATCTTCCGACAAAAACTAGACAGAAGCATTCGCAGAATCACGTTTGTGATGTGTGCACTCAACTGTCAGAATTGAACCTTGGTTTGGACAGAGCACTTTTGAAACACTCTTTTTGTAGAATCTGCAGGTGGATATTTGGCTAGCTTTGAGGATTTCGTTGGAAACGGTAATGTCTTCAAAGAAAATCTAGACAGAAGCATTCTCAGAAACACCTTCGTGATGTTTGCAATCAAGTCACAGAGTTGAACCTTCCGTTTCATAGAGCAGGTTGGAAACACTCTTTTTGTAGTATCTGGAAGTGGACATTTGGAGGGCTTTGTAGCCTATCTGGAAAAAGGAAATATCTTCCCATGAATGCGAGATAGAAGTAATCTCAGAAACATGTTTATGCTGTATCTACTCAACTAACTGTGCTGAACATTTCTATTGATAGAGCAGTTTTGAGACACTCTTCTTTTGGAATCTGCAAGTGGATATTTGGATAGATTTGAGGATTTTCGTTGGAAACGGGATTATATATCAAAAGTAGACAGCAGCATTCTCAGAAACTTCTTTGTGATGTTTGCATCCAGCTCTCAGAGTTGAACATTCCCTTTCATAGAGTAGGTTTGAAACCCTCTTTTTATAGTGTCTGGAAGCGGGCATTTGGAGCGCTTTCAGGCCTATGCTTAAAATAGGAAATATCTACCTACAGAAACTAGACAGAAGCATTCTGAGAATCACGTTTGTGATGTGGGTACTCAACTAACAGTGTTGATCCATTCTTTTGATAAAGCAGTTTTGAACCACACTTTTTGTAGAATCTGCAAGAGGATATTTGGATAGCTGTGAGGATTTCGTTGGAAACGGGAATGTCTTCAAAGAAAATCTAGACAGAAGCATTCTCAGAACCTTGATTGTGATGTGTGTTCTCCACTAACAGAGTTGAACCTTTCTTTTGACAGAACTGTTCTGAAACATTCTTTTTATAGAATCTGGAAGTGGATATTTGGAAAGCTTTGAGGATTTCGTTGGAAACGGGAATATCTTCAAATAAAATCTAGCCAGAAGCATTCTAAGAAACATCTTAGGGATGTTTACATTCAAGTCACAGAGTTGAACATTCCCTTTCACAGAGCAGGTTTGAAACAATCTTCTCGTACTATCTGGCAGTGGACATTTTGAGCTCTTTGGGGCCTATGCTGAAAAAGGAAATATCTTCCGACAAAAACTAGTCAGAAGCATTCGCAGAATCACGTTTGTGATGTGTGCACTCAACTGTCAGAATTGAACCTTGGTTTGGAGAGAGCACTTTTGAAACACACTTTTTGTAGAATCTGCAGGTGGATATTTGGCTAGCTTTGAGGATTTCGTTGGAAACGGTAATGTCTTCAAAGAAAATCTAGACAGAAGCATTCTCAGAAACACCTTCGTGATGTTTGCAATCAAGTCACAGAGTTGAACCTTCCGTTTCATAGAGCAGGTTGGAAACACAGTTTTTGTAGTATCTGGAAGTGGACATTTGGAGGGCTTTGTAGCCTATCTGGAAAAAGGAAATATCTTCCCATGAATGCGAGATAGATGTAATCTCAGAAACATGTTTATGCTGTATGTACTCAACTAACTGTGCTGAACATTTCTATTGATAGAGCAGTTTTGAGACCCTCTTCTTTTGGAATCTGCAAGTGGATATTTGGATAGATTTGAGGATTTCGTTGGAAACGGGATTATATATAAAAAGTAGACAGCAGCATTCTCAGAAACTTCTTTGTGATGTTTGCATCCAGCTCTCAGAGTTGAACATTCCCTTTCATAGAGTAGGTTTGAAACCCTCTTTTTATAGTGTCTGGAAGCGGGCATTTGGAGCGCTTTCAGGCCTATGCTGAAAAAGGATATATCTACCTGTAGAAACTAGACAGAAGCATTCTGAGAATCACGTTTGTGATGTGGGTACTCAACTAACAGTGTTGATCCATTCTTTTGATACAGCAGTTTTGAACCACACTTTTTGTAGAATCTGCAAGTGGATATTTGGATAGCTGTGAGGATTTCGTTGGAAACGGGAATGTCTTCATAGAAAATTTAGACAGAAGCATTCTCAGAACCTTGATTGTGATGTGTGTTCTCCACTAACAGAGTTGAACCTTTCTTTTGACAGAACTGTTCTGAAACATTCTTGTTATAGAATCTGGAAGTGGATATTTGGAAAGCTTTGAGGATTTCGTTGGAAACGGGAATATCTTCAAATCAAATCTAGCCAGAAGCATTCTAAGAAACATCTTAGGGATGTTTACATTCAAGTCACAGAGTTGAACATTCCCTTTCACAGAGCAGGTTTGAAACAATCTTCTCGTACTATCTGGCAGTGGACATTTTGAGCTCCTTGGGGCCTATGCTGAAAAAGGAAATATCTTCCGACAAAAACTAGACAGAAGCATTCACAGAATCGCGTTTGTGATGTGTGCACTCAACTGTCAGAATTGAACCTTGGTTTGGACAGAGCACTTTTGAAACACTCTTTTTGTAGAATCTGCAGGTGGATATTTGGCTAGCTTTGAGGATTTCGTTGGAAACGGTAATGTCTTCAAAGAAAATCTAGACAGAAGCATTCTCAGAAACACCTTCGTGATGTTTGCAATCAAGTCACAGAGTTGAACCTTCCGTTTCATAGAGCAGGTTGGAAACACTCTTTTTGTAGTATCTGGAAGTGGACATTTGGAGGGCTTTGTAGCCTATGTGGAAAAAGGAAATATCTTCCCATGAATGCGAGATAGAAGTAATCTCAGAAACATGTTTATGCTGTATCTACTCAACTAACTGTGCTGAACATTTCTATTGATAGAGCAGTTTTGAGACACTCTTCTTTTGGAATCTGCAAGTGGATATTTGGAGAGATTTGAGGATTTCGTTGGAAACGGGATTATATATAAAAAGTAGACAGCAGCATTCTCAGAAACTTCTTTGTGATGTTTGCATCCAGCTCTCAGAGTTGAACATTCCCTTTCATAGAGTAGGTTTGAAACCCTCTTTTTATAGTGTCTGGAAGCGGGCATTTGGAGCGCTTTCAGACCTATGCTTAAAATAGGAAATATCTACCTACAGAAACTAGACAGAAGCATTATGAGAATCTCGTTTGTGATGTGGGTACTCAACTAACAGTGTTGATCCATTCTTTTGATACAGCAGTTTTGAACCACACTTTTTGTAGAATCTGCAAGAGGATATTTGGATAGCTGTGAGGATTTCGTTGGAAACGGGAATGTCTTCAAAGAAAATCTAGACAGAAGCATTCTCAGAACCTTGATTGTGATGTGTGTTCTCCACTAACAGGGTTGAACCTTTCTTTTGACAGAACTGTTCTGAAACATTCTTTGTATAGAATCTGGAAGTGCATATTTGGAAAGCTTTGAGGACTTCGTTTGAAACGGGAATATCTTCAAATCAAATCTAGCCAGAAGCATTCTAAGAAACATCTTAGGGATGTTTACATTCAAGTCACAGAGTTGAACATTCCCTTTCACAGAGCAGGTTTGAAACAATCTTCTCGTACTATCTGGCAGTGGACATTTTGAGCTCCTTGGGGCCTATGCTGAAAAAGGAAATATCTTCCGACAAAAACTAGACAGAAGCATTCGCAGAATCACGTTTGTGATGTGTGCACTCAACTGTCAGAATTGAACCTTGGTTTGGACAGAGCACTTTTGAAACACTCTTTTTGTAGAATCTGCAGGTGGATATTTGGCTAGCTTTGAGGATTTCGTTGGAAACGGTAATGTCTTCAAAGAAAATCTAGACAGAAGCATTCTCAGAAACACCTTCGTGATGTTTGCAATCAAGTCACAGAGTTGAACCTTCCGTTTCATAGAGCAGGTTGGAAACACTCTTTTTGTAGTATCTGGAAGTGGACATTTGGAGGGCTTTGTAGCCTATCTGGAAAAAGGAAATATCTTCCCATGAATGCGAGATAGAAGTAATCTCAGAAACATGTTTATGCTGTATCTACTCAACTAACTGTGCTGAACATTTCTATTGATAGAGCAGTTTTGAGACACTCTTCTTTTGGAATCTGCAAGTGGATATTTGGATAGATTTGAGGATTTCGTTGGAAACGGGATTATATATAAAAAGTAGACAGCAGCATTCTCAGAAACTTCTTTGTGATGTTTGCATCCAGCTCTCAGAGTTGAACATTCCCTTTCATAGAGTAGGTTTGAAACCCTCTTTTTATAGTGTCTGGAAGCGGGCATTTGGAGCGCTTTCAGGCCTATGCTTAAAATAGGAAATATCTACCTACAGAAACTAGACAGAAGCATTCTGAGAATCACGTTTGTGATGTGGGTACTCAACTAACAGTGTTGATCCATTCTTTTGATACAGCAGTTTTGAACCACACTTTTTGTAGAATCTGCAAGAGGATATTTGGATAGCTGTGAGGATTTCGTTGGAAACGGGAATGTCTTCAAAGAAAATCTAGACAGAAGCATTCTCAGAAACACCTTCGTGATGTTTGCAATCAAGTCACAGAGTTGAACCTTCCGTTTCATAGAGCAGGTTGGAAACACTCTTATTGTAGTATCTGGAAGTGGACATTTGGAGCGCTTTCAGGCCTATGGTGAAAAAGGAAATATCTTCCCATAAAAACGACATAGAAGCTATCTCAGGAACTTGTTTATGATGCATCTAATCAACTAACAGTGTTGAACCTTTGTACTGACAGAGCAGTTTGAAACACTCTTTTTTTGGAATCTGCAAGTGGATATTTGGATCGCTTTGAGTATTTCGTTGGAAACGGGATGCAATATAAAACGTACACAGCAGCATACTCAGAAAATACTTTGCCATATTTCCATTCAAGTCACAGAGTGGAACATTCCCATTCATAGAGCAGGTTTGAAACACTCTTTTTGGAGTATCTGGAAGTGGACATTTGGAGCGCTTTCTGAACTATGGTGAAAAAGGAAATATCTTCCAATGAAAACAAGACAGAAGCATTCTGAGAAACTTATTTGTGATGTGTGTCCTCAACAAACGGACTTGAACCTTTCGTTTCATGCAGTACTTCTGGAACACTCTTTTTGAAGATTCTGCATGCGGATATTTGGATAGCTTTGAGGATTTCGTTGGAAACGGGCTTACATGTAAAAATTAGACAGCAGCATTCTCAGAAACTTCTTTGTGGTGTCTGCATTCAAGTCACAGAATTGAACTTCCCCTCACATAGAGCAGTTGTGCAGCACTCTATTTGTAGTATCTCGAAGTGGACATTTGGAGGGCTTTGTAGCCTATCTGGAAAAAGGAAATATCTTCCCATGAATGCGAGATAGAAGTAATCTCAGAAACATGTTTATGCTGTATCTACTCAACTAACTGTGCTGAACATTTCTATTGATAGAGCAGTTTTGAGACACTCTTCTTTTGGAATCTGCAAGTGGATATTTGGATAGATTTGAGGATTTCGTTGGAAATGGGATTATATATAAAAAGTAGACAGCAGCATTCTCAGAAACTTCTTTGTGATGTTTGCATCCAGCTCTCAGAGTTGAACATTCCCTTTCATAGAGTAGGTTTGAAACCCTCTTTTTATAGTGTCTGGAAGCGGGCATTTGGAGCGCTTTCAGGCCTATGCTTAAAATAGGAAATATCTACCTACAGAAACTAGACAGAGAAGCATTCTGAGGAATCACGTTTGTGATGTGGGTACTCAACTAACAGTGTTGATCCATTCTTTTGATACAGCAGTTTTGAACCACACTTTTTGTAGAATCTGCAAGAGGATATTTGGATAGCTGTGAGGATTTCGTTGGAAACGGTAATGTCTTCAAAGAAAATCTAGACAGAAGCATTCTCAGAAACACCTTCGTGATGTTTGCAATCAAGTCACAGAGTTGAACCTTCCGTTTCATAGAGCAGGTTGGAAACACTCTTATTGTAGTATCTGGAAGTGGACATTTGGAGCGCTTTCAGGCCTATGGTGAAAAAGGAAATATCTTCCCATAAAAACGACATAGAAGCTATCTCAGGAACTTGTTTATGATGCATCTAATCAACTAACAGTGTTGAACCTTTGTACTGACAGAGCAGTTTGAAACACTTTTTTTTTGGAATCTGCAAGTGGATATTTGGATCGCTTTGAGGATTTCGTTGGAAACGGGATGCAATATAAAACGTACACAGCAGCATACTCAGAAAATACTTTGCCATATTTCCATTCAAGTCACAGAGTGGAACATTCCCATTCATAGAGCAGGTTGGAAACACTCTTTTTGGAGTATCTGGAAGTGGACATTTGGAGCGCTTTCTGAACTATGGTGAAAAAGGAAATATCTTCCAATGAAAACAACACAGAAGCATTCTGAGAAACTTATTTGTGATGTGTGTCCTCAACAAACGGACTTGAACCTTTCGTTTCATGCAGTACTTCTGGAACACTCTTTTTGAAGATTCTGCATGCGGATATTTGGATAGCTTTGAGGATTTCGTTGGAAACGGTCTTACATGTAAAAATTAGACAGCAGCATTCTCAGAAACTTCTTGTGGTGTCTGCATTCAAGTCACAGAATTGAACTTCCCCTCACATAGAGCAGTTGTGCAGCACTCTATTTGTAGTATCTGGAAGTGGACATTTGGAGGGCTTTGTAGCCTATCTGGAAAAAGGAAATATCTTCCCATGAATGCGTGATAGAAGTAATCTGAGAAACATGTTTATGCTGTATCTACTCAACTAACTGTGCTGAACATTTCTATTGATAGAGCAGTTTTGAGACACTCTTCTTTTGGAATCTGCAAGTGGATATTTGGATAGATTTGAGGATTTCGTTGGAAACGGGATTATATATAAAAAGTAGACAGCAGCATTCTCAGAAACTTCTTTGTGATGTTTGCATCCAGCTCTCAGAGTTGAACATTCCCTTTCATAGAGTAGGTTTGAAACCCTCTTTTTATAGTGTCTGGAAGCGGGCATTTGGAGCGCTTTCAGGCCTATGCTGAAAAAGGAAATATCTACCTATAGAAACTAGACAGAAGCATTCTGAGAATCACGTTTGTGATGTGGGTACTCAACTAACAGTGTTGATCCATTCTTTTGATACAGCAGTTTTGAACCACACTTTTTGTAGAATCTGCAAGTGGATATTTGGATAGCTGTGAGGATTTCGTTGGAAACGGGAATGTCTTCATAGAAAATTTAGACAGAAGCATTCTCAGAACCTTGATTGTGATGTGTGTTCTCCACTAACAAAGTTGAACCTTTCTTTTGACAGAACTGTTCTGAAACATTCTTTTTATAGAATCTGGAAGTGGATATTTGGAAAGCTTTGAGGATTTCGTTGGAAACGGGAATATCTTCAAATCAAATCTAGCCAGAAGCATTCTAAGAAACATCTTAGGGTTGTTTACATTCAAGTCACAGAGTTGAACATTCCCTTTCACAGAGCAGGTTTGAAACAATCTTCTCGTACTATCTGGCAGTGGACATTTTGAGCTCCTTGGGGCCTATGCTGAAAAAGGAAATATCTTCCGACAAAAACTAGACAGAAGCATTCGCAGAATCACGTTTGTGATGTGTGCACTCAACTGTCAGAATTGAACCTTGGTTTGGAGATTGCACTCTTGAAACACTCTTTTTGTAAAATCTGCAGGTGGATATTTGGCTAGCTTTGAGGATTTCGTTGGAAACGGTAATGTCTTCAAAGAAAATCTAGACAGAAGCATTCTCAGAAACACCTTCGTGATGTTTGCAATCAAGTCACAGAGTTGAACCTTCCGTTTCATAGAGCAGGTTGGAAACACTCTTTTTGTAGTATCTGGAAGTGGACATTTGGAGTGCTTTCAGGCCTATGGTGAAAAAGGAAATATCTTCCCATAAAAACGACATAGAAGCTATCTCAGGAACTTGTTTATGATGCATCTAATCAACTAACAGTGTTGAACCTTTGTACTGACAGAGCAGTTTGAAACACTCTTTTTTTGGAATCTGCAAGTGGATATTTGGATCGCTTTGAGGATTTCGTTGGAAACGGGATGCAATATAAAACGTACACAGCAGCATACTCAGAAAATACTTTGCCATATTTCCATTCAAGTCACAGAGTGGAACATTCCCATTCATAGAGCAGGTTGGAAACACTCTTTTTGGAGTATCTGGAAGTGGACATTTGGAGCGCTTTCTGAACTATGGTGAAAAAGGAAATATCTTCCAATGAAAACAAGACAGAAGCATTCTGAGAAACTTATTTGTGATGTGTGTCCTCAACAAACGGACTTGAACCTTTCGTTTCATGCAGTACTTCTGGAACACTCTTTTTGAAGATTCTGCATGCGGATATTTGGATAGCTTTGAGGATTTCGTTGGAAACGGGCTTACATGTAAAAATAGACAGCCAGCATTCTCAGAAACTTCTTTGTGGTGTCTGCATTCAAGTCACAGAATTGAACTTCCCCTCACATAGAGCAGTTGTGCAGCACTCTATTTGTAGTATCTGGAAGTGGACATTTGGAGGGCTTTGTAGCCTATCTGGAAAAAGGAAATATCTTCCCATGAATGCGAGATAGAGTAATCTCAGAAACATGTTTATGCTGTATCTAATCAACTAACTGTGCTGAACATTTCTATTGATAGAGCAGTTTTGAGACACTCTTCTTTTGGAATCTGCAAGTGGATATTTGGATAGATTTGAGGATTTCGTTGGAAACGGGATTATATATAAAAAGTAGACAGCAGCATTCTCAGAAACTTCTTTGTGATGTTTGCATCCAGCTCTCAGAGTTGAACATTCCCTTTCATAGAGTAGGTTTGAAACCCTCTTTTTATAGTGTCTGGAAGCGGGCATTTGGAGCGCTTTCAGGCCTATGCTTAAAATAGGAAATATCTACCTACAGAAACTAGACAGAAGCATTCTGAGAATCACGTTTGTGATGTGGGTACTCAACTAACAGTGTTGATCCATTCTTTTGATACAGCAGTTTTGAACCACACTTTTTGTAGAATCTGCAAGTGGATATTTGGATAGCTGTGAGGATTTCGTTGGAAACGGGAATGTCTTCCTAGAAAATTTAGACAGAAGCATTCTCAGAACCTTGATTGTGATGTGTGTTCTCCACTAACAGAGTTGAACCTTTCTTTTGACAGAACTGTTCTGAAACATTCTTTTTATAGAATCTGGAAGTGGATATTTGGAAAGCTTTGAGGATTTCGTTGGAAACGGGAATATCTTCAAATAAAATCTAGCCAGAAGCATTCTAAGAAACATCTTAGGGATGTTTACATTCAAGTCACAGAGTTGAACATTCCCTTTCACAGAGCAGGTTTGAAACAATCTTCTCGTACTATCTGGCAGTGGACATTTTGAGCTCTTTGGGGCCTATGCTGAAAAAGGAAATATCTTCCGACAAAAACTAGTCAGAAGCATTCGCAGAATCACGTTTGTGATGTGTGCACTCAACTGTCAGAATTGAACCTTGGTTTGGAGGGAGCACTTTTGAAACACACTTTTTGTAGAATCTGCAGGTGGATATTTGGCTAGCTTTGAGGATTTCGTTGGAAACGGTAATGTCTTCAAAGAAAATCTAGACAGAAGCATTCTCAGAAACACCTTCGTGATGTTTGCAATCAAGTCACAGAGTTGAACCTTCCGTTTCATAGAGCAGGTTGGAAACACACTTTTTGTAGTATCTGGAAGTGGACATTTGGAGGGCTTTGTAGCCTATCTGGAAAAAGGAAATATCTTCCCATGAATGCGAGATAGATGTAATCTCAGAAACATGTTTATGCTGTATCTACTCAACTAACTGTGCTGAACATTTCTATTGATAGAGCAGTTTTGAGACCCTCTTCTTTTGGAATCTGCAAGTGGATATTTGGATAGATTTGAGGATTTCGTTGGAAACGGGATTATATATAAAAAGTAGACAGCAGCATTCTCAGAAACTTCTTTGTGATGTTTGCATCCAGCTCTCAGAGTTGAACATTCCCTTTCATAGAGTAGGTTTGAAACCCTCTTTTTATAGTGTCTGGAAGCGGGCATTTGGAGCGCTTTCAGGCCTATGCTGAAAAAGGAAATATCTACGTATAGAAACTAGACAGAAGCATTCTGAGAATCACGTTTGTGATGTGGGTACTCAACTAACAGTGTTGATCCATTCTTTTGATACAGCAGTTTTGAACCACACTTTTTGTAGAATCTGCAAGTGGATATTTGGATAGCTGTGAGGATTTCGTTGGAAACGGGAATGTCTTCATAGAAAATTTAGACAGAAGCATTCTCAGAACCTTGATTGTGATGTGTGTTCTCCACTAACAGAGTTGAACCTTTCTTTTGACAGAACTGTTCTGAAACATTCTTTTTATAGAATCTGGAAGTGGATATTTGGAAAGCTTTGAGGATTTCGTTGGAAACGGGAATATCTTCAAATAAAATCTAGCCAGAAGCATTCTAAGAAACATCTTAGGGATGTTTACATTCAAGTCACAGAGTTGAACATTCCCTTTCACAGAGCAGGTTTGAAACAATCTTCTCGTACTATCTGGCAGTGGACATTTTGAGCTCCTTGGGGCCTATGCTGAAAAAGGAAATATCTTCCGACAAAAACTAGACAGAAGCATTCGCAGAATCACGTTTGTGATGTGTGCACTCAACTGTCAGAAATGAACCTTGGTTTGGACAGAGCACTTTTGAAACACTCTTTTTGTAGAATCTGCAGGTGGATATTTGGCTAGCTTTGAGGATTTCGTTGGAAACGGTAATGTCTTCAAAGAAAATCTAGACAGAAGCATTCTCAGAAACACCTTCGTGATGTTTGCAATCAAGTCACAGAGTTGAACCTTCCGTTTCATAGAGCAGGTTGGAAACACTCTTTTTGTAGTATCTGGAAGTGGACATTTGGAGGGCTTTGTAGCCTATCTGGAAAAAGGAAATATCTTCCCATGAATGCGAGATAGAAGTAATCTCAGAAACATGTTTATGCTGTATCTACTCAACTAACTGTGCTGAACATTTCTATTGATAGAGCAGTTTTGAGACACTCTTCCTTTGGAATCTGCAAGTGGATATTTGGAGAGATTTGAGGATTTCGTTGGAAACGGGATTATATATAAAAAGTAGACAGCAGCATTCTCAGAAACTTCTTTGTGATGTTTGCATCCAGCTCTCAGAGTTGAACATTCCCTTTCATAGAGTAGGTTTGAAACCCTCTTTTTATAGTGTCTGGAAGCGGGCATTTGGAGCGCTTTCAGGCCTATGCTTAAAATAGGAAATATCTACCTACAGAAACTAGACAGAAGCATTCTGAGAATCACGTTTGTGATGTGGGTACTCAACTAACAGTGTTGATCCATTCTTTTGATACAGCAGTTTTGAACCACACTTTTTGTAGAATCTGCAAGTGGATATTTGGATAGCTGTGAGGATTTCGTTGGAAACGGGAATGTCTTCATAGAAAATGTAGACAGAAGCATTCTCAGAACCTTGATTGTGATGTGTGTTCTCCACTAACAGAGTTGAACCTTTCTTTTGACAGAACTGTTCTGAAACATTCTTTTTATAGAATCTGGAAGTGGATATTTGGAAAGCTTTGAGGATTTCGTTGGAAACGGGAATATCTTCAAATCAAATCTAGCCAGAAGCATTCTAAGAAACATCTTAGGGATGTTTACATTCAAGTCACAGAGTTGAACATTCCCTTTCACAGAGCAGGTTTGAAACAATCTTCTCGTACTATCTGGCAGTGGACATTTTGAGCTCCTTGGGGCCTATGCTGAAAAAGGAAATATCTTCCGACAAAAACTAGACAGAAGCATTCGCAGAATCACGTTTGTGATGTGTGCACTCAACTGTCAGAATTGAACCTTGGTTTGGACAGAGCACTTTTGAAACACTCTTTTTGTAGAATCTGCAGGTGGATATTTGGCTAGCTTTGAGGATTTCGTTGGAAACGGTAATGTCTTCAAAGAAAATCTAGACAGAAGCATTCTCAGAAACACCTTCGTGATGTTTGCAATCAAGTCACAGAGTTGAACCTTCCGTTTCATACAGCAGGTTGGAAACACTCTTTTTGTAGTATCTGGAAGTGGACATTTGGAGCGCTTTAAGGCCTATGGTGAAAAAGGAAATATCTTCCCATAGAAACGACATAGAAGCTATCTCAGGAACTTGTTTATGATGCATCTAATCAACTAACAGTGTTGAACCTTTGTACTGACAGAGCAGTTTGAAACACTCTTTTTTTGGAATCTGCAAGTGGATATTTGGATCGCTTTGAGGATTTCGTTGGAAACGGGATGCAATATAAAACGTACACAGCAGCATACTCAGAAAATACTTTGCCATATTTCCATTCAAGTCACAGAGTGGAACATTCCCATTCATAGAGCAGGTTTGAAACACTCTTTTTGGAGTATCTGGAAGTGGACATTTGGAGCGCTTTCTGAACTATGGTGAAAAAGGAAATATCTTCCAATGAAAACAAGACAGAAGCATTCTGAGAAACTTATTTGTGATGTGTGTCCTCAACAAACGGGACTTGAACCTTTCGTTTCATGCAGTACTTCTGGAACACTCTTTTTGAAGATTCTGCATGCGGATATTTGGATAGCTTTGAGGATTTCGTTGGAAACGGGCTTACATGTAAAAATTAGACAGCAGCATTCTCAGAAACTTCTTTGTGGTGTCTGCATTCAAGTCACAGAATTGAACTTCCCCTCACATAGAGCAGTTGTGCAGCACTCTATTTGTAGTATCTGGAAGTGGACATTTGGAGGGCTTTGTAGCCTATCTGGAAAAAGGAAATATCTTCCCATGAATGCGAGATAGAAGTAATCTCAGAAACATGTTTATGCTGTATCTACTCAACTAACTGTGCTGAACATTTCTATTGATAGAGCAGTTTTGAGACACTCTTCTTTTGGAATCTGCAAGTGGATATTTGGATAGATTTGAGGATTTCGTTGGAAACGGGATTATATATAAAAAGTAGACAGCAGCATTCTCAGACACTTCTTTGTGATGTTTGCATCCAGCTCTCAGAGTTGAACATTCCCTTTCATAGAGTAGGTTTGAAACCCTCTTTTTATAGTGTCTGGAAGCGGGCATTTGGAGCGCTTTCAGGCCTATGCTTAAAATAGGAAATATCTACCTACAGAAACTAGACAGAAGCATTCTGAGAATCACGTTTGTGATGTGGGTACTCAACTAACAGTGTTGATCCATTCTTTTGATACAGCAGTTTTGAACCACACTTTTTGTAGAATCTGCAAGAGGATATTTGGATAGCTGTGAGGATTTCGTTGGAAACGGGAAAGTCTTCAAAGAAAATCTAGACAGAAGCATTCTCAGAAACACCTTCGTGATGTTTGCAATCAAGTCACAGAGTTGAACCTTCCGTTTCATAGAGCAGGTTGGAAACACTCTTATTGTAGTATCTGGAAGTGGACATTTGGAGCGCTTTCAGGCCTATGGTGAAAAAGGAAATATCTTCCCATAAAAACGACATAGAAGCTATCTCAGGAACTTGTTTATGATGCATCTAATCAACTAACAGTGTTGAACCTTTGTACTGACAGAGCAGTTTGAAACACTCTTTTTTTGGAATCTGCAAGTGGATATTTGGATCGCTTTGAGGATTTCGTTGGAAACGGGATGCAATATAAAACGTACACAGCAGCATACTCAGAAAATACTTTGCCATATTTCCATTCAAGTCACAGAGTGGAACATTCCCATTCATAGAGCAGGTTGGAAACACTCTTTTTGGAGTATCTGGAAGTGGACATTTGGAGCGCTTTCTGAACTATGGTGAAAAAGGAAATATCTTCCAATGAAAACAAGACAGAAGCATTCTGAGAAACTTATTTGTGATGTGTGTCCTCAACAAACGGACTTGAACCTTTCGTTTCATGCAGTACTTCTGGAACACTCTTTTTGAAGATTCTGCATGCGGATATTTGGATAGCTTTGAGGATTTCGTTGGAAACGGGCTTACATGTAAAAATTAGACAGCAGCATTCTCAGAAACTTCTTTGTGGTGTCTGCATTCAAGTCACAGAATTGAACTTCCCCTCACATAGAGCAGTTGTGCAGCACTCTATTTGTAGTATCTGGAAGTGGACATTTGGAGGGCTTTGTAGCCTATCTGGAAAAAGGAAATATCTTCCCATGAATGCGAGATAGAAGTAATCTCAGAAACATGTTTATGCTGTATCTACTCAACTAACTGTGCTGAACATTTCTATTGATAGAGCAGTTTTGAGACACTCTTCTTTTGGAATCTGCAAGTGGATATTTGGATAGATTTGAGGATTTCGTTGGAAACGGGATTATATATCAAAAGTAGACAGCAGCATTCTCAGAAACTTCTTTGTGATGTTTGCATCCAGCTCTCAGAGTTGAACATTCCCTTTCATAGAGTAGGTTTGAAACCCTCTTTTTATAGTGTCTGGAAGCGGGCATTTGGAGCGCTTTCAGGCCTATGCTTAAAATAGGAAATATCTACCTACAGAAACTAGACAGAAGCATTCTGAGAATCACGTTTGTGATGTGGGTACTCAACTAACAGTGTTGATCCATTCTTTTGATACAGCAGTTTTGAACCACACTTTTTGTAGAATCTGCAAGAGGATATTTGGATAGCTGTGAGGATTTCGTTGGAAACGGGAATGTCTTCAAAGAAAATCTAGACAGAAGCATTCTCAGAAACACCTTCGTGATGTTTGCAATCAAGTCACAGAGTTGAACCTTCCGTTTCATAGAGCAGGTTGGAAACACTCTTATTGTAGTATCTGGAAGTGGACATTTGGAGCGCTTTCAGGCCTATGGTGAAAAAGGAAATATCTTCCCATAAAAACGACATAGAAGCTATCTCAGGAACTTGTTTATGATGCATCTAATCAACTAACAGTGTTGAACCTTTGTACTGACAGAGCAGTTTGAAACACTCTTTTTTTGGAATCTGCAAGTGGATATTTGGATCGCTTTGAGGATTTCGTTGGAAACGGGATGCAATATAAAACGTACACAGCAGCATACTCAGAAAATACTTTGCCATATTTCCATTCAAGTCACAGAGTGGAACATTCCCATTCATAGAGCAGGTTTGAAACACTCTTTTTGGAGTATCTGGAAGTGGACATTTGGAGCGCTTTCTGAACTATGGTGAAAAAGGAAATATCTTCCAATGAAAACAAGACAGAAGCATTCTGAGAAACTTATTTGTGATGTGTGTCCTCAACAAACGGACTTGAACCTTTCGTTTCATGCAGTACTTCTGGAACACTCTTTTTGAAGATTCTGCATGCGGATATTTGGATAGCTTTGAGGATTTCGTTGGAAACGGGCTTACATGTAAAAATTAGACAGCAGCATTCTCAGAAACTTCTTTGTGGTGTCTGCATTCAAGTCACAGAATTGAACTTCCCCTCACATAGAGCAGTTGTGCAGCACTCTATTTGTAGTATCTGGAAGTGGACATTTGGAGGGCTTTGTAGCCTATCTGGAAAAAGGAAATATCTTCCCATGAATGCGAGATAGAAGTAATCTCAGAAACATGTTTATGCTGTATCTACTCAACTAACTGTGCTGAACATTTCTATTGATAGAGCAGTTTTGAGACACTCTTCTTTTGGAATCTGCAAGTGGATATTTGGATAGATTTGAGGATTTTCGTTGGAAACGGGATTATATATCAAAAGTAGACAGCAGCATTCTCAGAAACTTCTTTGTGATGTTTGCATCCAGCTCTCAGAGTTGAACATTCCCTTTCATAGAGTAGGTTTGAAACCCTCTTTTTATAGTGTCTGGAAGCGGGCATTTGGAGCGCTTTCAGGCCTATGCTGAAAAAGGAAATATCTACCTATAGAAACTAGACAGAAGCATTCTGAGAATCACGTTTGTGATGTGGGTACTCAACTAACAGTGTTGATCCATTCTTTTGATACAGCAGTTTTGAACCACACTTTTTGTAGAATCTGCAAGTGGATATTTGGATAGCTGTGAGGATTTCGTTGGAAACGGGAATGTCTTCATAGAAAATTTAGACAGAAGCATTCTCAGAACCTTGATTGTGATGTGTGTTCTCCACTAACAGAGTTGAACCTTTCTTTAGACACAACTGTTCTGAAACATTCTTTTTATAGAATCTGGAAGTGGATATTTGGAAAGCTTTGAGGATTTCGTTGGAAACGGGAATATCTTCAAATCAAATCTAGCCAGAAGCATTCTAAGAAACATCTTAGGGATGTTTACATTCAAGTCACAGAGTTGAACATTCCCTTTCACAGAGCAGGTTTGAAACAATCTTCTCGTACTATCTGGCAGTGGACATTTTGAGCTCCTTGGGGCCTATGCTGAAAAAGGAAATATCTTCCGACAAAAACTAGACAGAAGCATTCGCAGAATCACGTTTGTGATGTGTGCACTCAACTGTCAGAATTGAACCTTGGTTTGGACAGAGCACTTTTGAAACACTCTTTTTGTAGAATCTGCAGGTGGATATTTGGCTAGCTTTGAGGATTTCGTTGGAAACGGTAATGTCTTCAAAGAAAATCTAGACAGAAGCATTCTCAGAAACACCTTCGTGATGTTTGCAATCAAGTCACAGAGTTGAACCTTCCGTTTCATAGAGCAGGTTGGAAACACTCTTTTTGTAGTATCTGGAAGTGGACATTTGGAGGGCTTTGTAGCCTATCTGGAAAAAGGAAATATCTTCCCATGAATGCGAGATAGAAGTAATCTCAGAAACATGTTTATGCTGTATCTACTCAACTAACTGTGCTGAACATTTCTATTGATAGAGCAGTTTTGAGACACTCTTCTTTTGGAATCTGCAAGTGGATATTTGGATAGATTTGAGGATTTCGTTGGAAACGGGATGATATATAAAAAGTAGACAGCAGCATTCTCAGAAACTTCTTTGTGATGTTTGCATCCAGCTCTCAGAATTGAACATTCCCTTTCATAGAGTAGGTTTGAAACCCTCTTTTTATAGTGTCTGGAAGCGGGCATTTGGAGCGCTTTCAGGCCTATGCTGAAAAAGGAAATATCTACCTATAGAAACTAGACAGAAGCATTCTGAGAATCACGTTTCTGATGTGGGTACTCAACTAACAGTGTTGATCCATTCTTTTGATACAGCAGTTTTGAACCACACTTTTTGTAGAATCTGCAAGTGGATATTTGGATAGCTGTGAGGATTTCGTTGGAAACGGGAATGTCTTCATAGAAAATTTAGACAGAAGCATTCTCAGAACCTTGATTGTGATGTGTGTTCTCCACTAACAGAGTTGAACCTTTCTTTTGACAGAACTGTTCTGAAACATTCTTTTTATAGAATCTGGAAGTGGATATTTGGAAAGCTTTGAGGATTTCGTTGGAAACGGGAATATCTTCAAATCAAATCTAGCCAGAAGCATTCTAAGAAACATCTTAGGGATGTTTACATTCAAGTCACAGAGTTGAACATTCCCTTTCACAGAGCAGGTTTGAAACAATCTTCTCGTACTATCTGGCAGTGGACATTTTGAGCTCCTTGGGGCCTATGCTGAAAAAGGAAATATCTTCCGACAAAAACTAGACAGAAGCATTCGCAGAATCACGTTTGTGATGTGTGCACTCAACTGTCAGAATTGAACCTTGGTTTGGACAGAGCACTTTTGACACACTCTTTTTGTAGAATCTGCAGGTGGATATTTGGCTAGCTTTAAGGATTTCGTTGGAAACGGTAATGTCTTCAAAGAAAATCTAGACAGAAACATTCTCAGAAACACCTTCGTGATGTTTGCAATCAAGTCACAGAGTTGAACCTTCCGTTTCATAGAGCAGGTTGGAAACACTCTTTTTGTAGTATCTGGAAGTGGACATTTGGAGCGCTTTCAGGCCTATGGTGAAAAAGGAAATATCTTCCCATAAAAACGACATAGAAGCTATCTCAGGAACTTGTTTATGATGCATCTAATCAACTAACAGTGTTGAACCTTTGTACTGACAGAGCAGTTTGAAACACTCTTTTTTTGGAATCTGCAAGTGGATATTTGGATCGCTTTGAGGATTTCGTTGGAAACGGGATGCAATATAAAACGTACACAGCAGCATACTCAGAAAATACTTTGCCATATTTCCATTCAAGTCACAGAGTGGAACATTCCCATTCATAGAGCAGGTTTGAAACACTCTTTTTGGAGTATCTGGAAGTGGACATTTGGAGCGCTTTCTGAACTATGGTGAAAAAGGAAATATCTTCCAATGAAAACAAGACAGAAGCATTCTGAGAAACTTATTTGTGATGTGTGTCCTCAACAAACGGGACTTGAACCTTTCGTTTCATGCAGTACTTCTGGAACACTCTTTTTGAAGATTCTGCATGCGGATATTTGGATAGCTTTGAGGATTTCGTTGGAAACGGGCTTACATGTAAAAATTAGACAGCAGCATTCTCAGAAACTTCTTTGTGGTGTCTGCATTCAAGTCACAGAATTGAACATCCCCTCACATAGAGCAGTTGTGCAGCACTCTATTTGTAGTATCTGGAAGTGGACATTTGGAGGGCTTTGTAGCCTATCTGGAAAAAGGAAATATCTTCCCATGAATGCGAGATAGAAGTAATCTCAGAAACATGTTTATGCTGTATCTACTCAACTAACTGTGCTGAACATTTCTATTGATAGAGCAGTTTTGAGACACTCTTCTTTTGGAATCTGCAAGTGGATATTTGGATAGATTTGAGGATTTCGTTGGAAACGGGATTATATATAAAAAGTAGACAGCAGCATTCTCAGAAACTTCTTTGTGATGTTTGCATCCAGCTCTCAGAGTTGAACATTCCCTTTCATAGAGTAGGTTTGAAACCCTCTTTTTATAGTGTCTGGAAGCGGGCATTTGGAGCGCTTTCAGGCCTATGCTGAAAAAGGAAATATCTACCTATAGAAACTAGACAGAAGCATTCTGAGAATCACGTTTGTGATGTGGGTACTCAACTAACAGTGTTGATCCATTCTTTTGATACAGCAGTTTTGAACCACACTTTTTGTAGAATCTGCAAGTGGATATTTGGATAGCTGTGAGGATTTCGTTGGAAACGGGAATGTCTTCATAGAAAATTTAGACAGAAGCATTCTCAGAACCTTGATTGTGATGTGTGTTCTCCACTAACAGAGTTGAACCTTTCTTTAGACAGAACTGTTCTGAAACATTCTTTTTATAGAATCTGGAAGTGGATATTTGGAAAGCTTTGAGGATTTCGTTGGAAACGGGAATATCTTCAAATCAAATCTAGCCAGAAGCATTCTAAGAAACATCTTAGGGATGTTTACATTCAAGTCACAGAGTTGAACATTCCCTTTCACAGAGCAGGTTTGAAACAATCTTCTCGTACTATCTGGCAGTGGACATTTTGAGCTCCTTGGGGCCTATGCTGAAAAAGGAAATATCTTCCGACAAAAACTAGACAGAAGCATTCGCAGAATCACGTTTGTGATGTGTGCACTCAACTGTCAGAATTGAACCTTGGTTTGGACAGAGCACTTTTGAAACACTCTTTTTGTAGAATCTGCAGGTGGATATTTGGCTAGCTTTGAGGATTTCGTTGGAAACGGTAATGTCTTCAAAGAAAATCTAGACAGAAGCATTCTCAGAAACACCTTCGTGATGTTTGCAATCAAGTCACAGAGTTGAACCTTCCGTTTCATAGAGCAGGTTGGAAACACTCTTTTTGTAGTATCTGGAAGTGGACATTTGGAGGGCTTTGTAGCCTATCTGGAAAAAGGAAATATCTTCCCATGAATGCGAGATAGAAGTAATCTCAGAAACATGTTTATGCTGTATCTACTCAACTAACTGTGCTGAACATTTCTATTGATAGAGCAGTTTTGAGACACTCTTCTTTTGGAATCTGCAAGTGGATATTTGGATAGATTTGAGGATTTCGTTGGAAACGGGATTATATATCAAAAGTAGACAGCAGCATTCTCAGAAACTTCTTTGTGATGTTTGCATCCAGCTCTCAGAGTTGAACATTCCCTTTCATAGAGTAGGTTTGAAACCCTCTTTTTATAGTGTCTGGAAGCGGGCATTTGGAGCGCTTTCAGGCCTATGCTGAAAAAGGAAATATCTACCTACAGAAACTAGACAGAAGCATTCTGAGAATCACGTTTGTGATGTGGGTACTCAACTAACAGTGTTGATCCATTCTTTTGATACAGCAGTTTTGAACCACCCTTTTTGTAGAATCTGCAAGTGGATATTTGGATAGCTGTGAGGATTTCGTTGGAAACGGGAATGTCTTCATAGAAAATTTAGACAGAAGCATTCTCAGAACCTGGATTGTGATGTGTGTTCTCCACTAACAGAGTTGAACCTTTCTTTTGACAGAACTGTTTTGAAACATTCTTTTTATAGAATCTGGAAGTGGATATTTGGAAAGCTTTGAGGAATTCGTTGGAAACGGGAATATCTTCAAATAAAATCTAGCCAGAAGCATTCTAAGAAACATCTTAGGGATGTTTACATTCAAGTCACAGAGTTGAACATTCCCTTTCACAGAGCAGGTTTGAAACAATCTTCTCGTACTATCTGGCAGTGGACATTTTGAGCTCCTTGGGGCCTATGCTGAAAAAGGAAATATCTTCCGACAAAAACTAGACAGAAGCATTCGCAGAATCACGTTTGTGATGTGTGCACTCAACTGTCAGAATTGAACCTTGGTTTGGACAGAGCACTTTTGAAACACTCTTTTTGTAGAATCTGCAGGTGGATATTTGGCTAGCTTTGAGGATTTCGTTGGAAACGGTAATGTCTTCAAAGAAAATCTAGACAGAAGCATTCTCAGAAACACCTTCGTGATGTTTGCAATCAAGTCACAGAGTTGAACCTTCCGTTTCATAGAGCAGGTTGGAAACACTCTTTTTGTAGTATCTGGAAGTGGACATTTGGAGGGCTTTGTAGCCTATGTGGAAAAAGGAAATATCTTCCCATGAATGCGAGATAGAAGTAATCTCAGAAACATGTTTATGCTGTATCTACTCAACTAACTGTGCTGAACATTTCTATTGATAGAGCAGTTTTGAGACACTCTTCTTTTGGAATCTGCAAGTGGATATTTGGAGAGATTTGAGGATTTCGTTGGAAACGGGATTATATATAAAAAGTAGACAGCAGCATTCTCAGAAACTTCTTTGTGATGTTTGCATCCAGCTCTCAGAGTTGAACATTCCCTTTCATAGAGTAGGTTTGAAACCCTCTTTTTATAGTGTCTGGAAGCGGGCATTTGGAGCGCTTTCAGACCTATGCTTAAAATAGGAAATATCTACCTACAGAAACTAGACAGAAGCATTCTGAGAATCACGTTGGTGATGTGGGTACTCAACTAACAGTGTTGATCCATTCTTTTGATACAGCAGTTTTGAACCACACTTTTTGTAGAATCTGCAAGTGGATACTTGGATAGCTGTGAGGATTTCGTTGGAAACGGGAATGTCTTCATAGAAAATTTAGACAGGAAGCATTCTCAGAACCTTGATTGTGATGTGTGTTCTCCACTAACAGAGTTGAACCTTTCTTTTGACAGAACTGTTCTGAAACATTCTTTTTATAGAATCTGGAAGTGGATATTTGGAAAGCTTTGAGGATTTCGTTGGAAACGGGAATATCTTCAAATCAAATCTAGCCAGAAGCATTCTAAGAAACATCTTAGGGATGTTTACATTCAAGTCACAGAGTTGAACATTCCCTTTCACAGAGCAGGTTTGAAACAATCTTCTCGTACTATCTGGCAGTGGACATTTTGAGCTCCTTGGGGCCTATGCTGAAAAAGGAAATATCTTCCGACAAAAACTAGACAGAAGCATTCGCAGAATCACGTTTGTGATGTGTGCACTCAACTGTCAGAATTGAACCTTGGTTTGGACAGAGCACTTTTGAAACACTCTTTTTGTAGAATCTGCAGGTGGATATTTGGCTAGCTTTGAGGATTTCGTTGGAAACGGTAATGTCTTCAAAGAAAATCTAGACAGAAAGCATTCTCAGAAACACCTTCGTGATGTTTGCAATCAAGTCACAGAGTTGAACCTTCCGTTTCATAGAGCAGGTTGGAAACACTCTTTTTGTAGTATCTGGAAGTGGACATTTGGAGGGCTTTGTAGCCTATCTGGAAAAAGGAAATATCTTCCCATGAATGCGAGATAGAGCTATCTCAGGAACTTGTTTATGATGCATCCAATCAACTAACAGTGTTGTACTTTTGTACTGACAGAGCAGTGTGAAACACTCTTTTTTTTGGAATCTGCAAGTGGATATTTGGATTGCTTTGAGGATTTCGTTGGAAACGGGATGCAATATAAAACGTACACAGCAGCATACTCAGAAAATACTTTGCCATATTTCCATTCAAGTCACAGAGTGGAACATTCCCATTCATAGAGCAGGTTTGAAACACTCTTTTTGGAGTATCTGGAAGTGGACATTTGGAGCGCTTTCTGAACTATGGTGAAAAAGGAAATAACTTCCAATGAAAACAAGACAGAAGCATTCTGAGAAACTTATTTGTGATGTGTGTCCTCAACAAACGGACTTGAACCTTTCGTTTCATGCAGTACTTCTGGAACACTCTTTTTGAAGATTCTGCATGCGGATATTTGGATAGCTTTGAGGATTTCGTTGGAAACGGGCTTACATGTAAAAATTAGACAGCAGCATTCTCAGAAACTTCTTTGTGGTGTCTGCATTCAAGTCACAGAATTGAACTTCCCCCTCACATAGAGCAGTTGTGCAGCACTCTATTTGTAGTATCTGGAAGTGGACATTTGGAGGGCTTTGTAGCCTATCTGGAAAAAGGAAATATCTTCCCATGAATGCGAGATAGAAGTAATCTCAGAAACATGTTTATGCTGTATCTACTCAACTAACTGTGCTGAACATTTCTATTGATAGAGCAGTTTTGAGACACTCTTCTTTTGGAATCTGCAAGTGGATATTTGGATAGATTTGAGGATTTCGTTGGAAACGGGATTATATATAAAAAGTAGACAGCAGCATTCTCAGAAACTTCTTTGTGATGTTTGCATCCAGCTCCCAGAGTTGAACATTCCCTTTCATAGAGTAGGTTTGAAACCCTCTTTTTATAGTGTCTGGAAGCGGGCATTTGGAGCGCTTTCAGGCCTATGCTGAAAAAGGAAATATCTACCTATAGAAACTAGACAGAAAGCATTCTGAGAATCACGTTTGTGATGTGGGTACTCAACTAACAGTGTTGATCCATTCTTTTGATACAGCAGTTTTGAACCACCCTTTTTGTAGAATCTGCAAGTGGATATTTGGATAGCTGTGAGGATTTCGTTGGAAACGGGAATGTCTTCATAGAAAATTTAGACAGAGCATTCTCAGAACCTTGATTGTGATGTGTGTTCTCCACTAACAGAGTTGAAACTTTCTTTTGACAGAACTGTTCTGAAACATTCTTTTTATAGAATCTGGAAGTGGATATTTGGAAAGCTTTGAGGATTTCGTTGGAAACGGGAATATCTTCAAATCAAATCTAGCCAGAAGCATTATAAGAAACATCTTAGGGATGTTTACATTCAAGTCACAGAGTTGAACATTCCCTTTCACAGAGCAGGTTTGAAACAATCTTCTCGTACTATCTGGCAGTGGACATTTTGAGCTCCTTGGGGCCTATGCTGAAAAAGGAAATATCTTCCGACAAAAACTAGACAGAAGCATTCGCAGAATCACGTTTGTGATGTGTGCACTCAACTGTCAGAATTGAACCTTGGTTTGGACAGAGCACTTTTGAAACACTCTTTTTGTAGAATCTGCAGGTGGATATTTGGCTAGCTTTGAGGATTTCGTTGGAAACGGTAATGTCTTCAAAGAAAATCTAGACAGAAACATCCTCAGAAACACCTTCGTGATGTTTGCAATCAAGTCACAGAGTTGAACCTTCCGTTTCATAGAGCAGGTTGGAAACACTCATTTTGTAGTATCTGGAAGTGGACATTTGGAGCGCTTTCAGGCCTATGGTGTAAAAGGAAATATCTTCCCATAAAAGCGACATAGAAGCTATCTCAGGAACTTGTTTATGATGCATCTAATCAACTAACAGTGTTGAACCTTTGTACTGACAGAGCAGTTTGAAACACTCTTTTTTTGGAATCTGCAAGTGGATATTTGGATCGCTTTGAGGATTTCGTTGGAAACGGGATGCAATATAAAACGTACACAGCAGCATACTCAGAAAATACTTTGCCATATTTCCATTCAAGTCACAGAGTGGAACATTCCCATTCATAGAGCAGGTTGGAAACACTCTTTTTGGAGTATCTGGAAGTGGACATTTGGAGCGCTTTCTGAACTATGGTGAAAAAGGAAATATCTTCCAATGAAAACAAGACAGAAGCATTCTGAGAAACTTATTTGTGATGTGTGTCCTCAACAAACGGACTTGAACCTTTCGTTTCATGCAGTACTTCTGGAACACTCTTTTTGAAGATTCTGCATGCGGATATTTGGATAGCTTTGAGGATTTCGTTGGAAACGGGCTTACATGTAAAAATTAGACAGCAGCATTCTCAGAAACTTCTTTGTGGTGTCTGCATTCAAGTCACAGAATTGAACATCCCCTCACATAGAGCAGTTGTGCAGCACTCTATTTGTAGTATCTGGAAGTGGACATTTGGAGGGCTTTGTAGCCTATGTGGAAAAAGGAAATATCTTCCCATGAATGCGAGATAGAAGTAATCTCAGAAACATGTTTATGCTGTACCTACTCAACTAACTGTGCTGAACATTTCTATTGATAGAGCAGTTTTGAGACACTCTTCTTTTGGAATCTGCAAGTGGATATTTGGATAGATTTGAGGATTTCGTTGGAAACGGGATTATATATAAAAAGTAGACAGCAGCATTCTCAGAAACTTCTTTGTGATGTTTGCATCCAGCTCTCAGAGTTGAACATTCCCTTTCATAGAGTAGGTTTGAAACCCTCTTTTTATAGTGTCTGGAAGCGGGCATTTGGAGCGCTTTCAGGCCTATGCTGAAAAAGGAAATATCTACCTATAGAAACTAGACAGAAGCATTCTGAGAATCACGTTTGTGATGTGGGTACTCAACTAACAGTGTTGATCCATTCTTTTGATACAGCAGTTTTGAACCACACTTTTTGTAGAATCTGCAAGTGGATATTTGGATAGCTGTGAGGATTTCGTTGGAAACGGGAATGTCTTCATAGAAAATTTAGACAGAAGCATTCTCAGAACCTTGATTGTGATGTGTGTTCTCCACTAACAGAGTTGAACCTTTCTTTTGACAGAACTGTTCTGAAACATTCTTTTTATAGAATCTGGAAGTGGATATTTGGAAAGCTTTGAGGATTTCGTTGGAAACGGGAATATCTTCAAATCAAATCTAGCCAGAAGCATTCTAAGAAACATCTTAGGGATGTTTACATTCAAGTCACAGAGTTGAACATTCCCTTTCACAGAGCAGGTTTGAAACAATCTTCTCGTACTATCTGGCAGTGGACATTTTGAGCTCCTTGGGGCCTATGCTGAAAAAGGAAATATCTTCCGACAAAAACTAGACAGAAGCATTCGCAGAATCACGTTTGTGATGTGTGCACTCAACTGTCAGAATTGAACCTTGGTTTGGACAGAGCACTTTTGAAACACTCTTTTTGTAGAATCTGCAGGTGGATATTTGGCTAGCTTTGAGGATTTCGTTGGAAACGGTAATGTCTTCAAAGAAAATCTAGACAGAAGCATTCTCAGAAACACCTTCGTGATGTTTGCAATCAAGTCACAGAGTTGAACCTTCCGTTTCATAGAGCAGGTTGGAAACACTCTTTTTGTAGTATCTGGAAGTGGACATTTGGAGGGCTTTGTAGCCTATCTGGAAAAAGGAAATATCTTCCCATGAATGCGAGATAGAAGTAATCTCAGAAACATGTTTATGCTGTATCTACTCAACTAACTGTGCTGAACATTTCTATTGATAGAGCAGTTTTCAGACACTCTTCTTTTGGAATCTGCAAGTGGATATTTGGATAGATTTGAGGATTTCGTTGGAAACGGGATTATATATAAAAAGTAGACAGCAGCATTCTCAGAAACTTCTTTGTGATGTTTGCATCCAGCTCTCAGAGTTGAACATTCCCTTTCATAGAGTAGGTTTGAAACCCTCTTTTTATAGTGTCTGGAAGCGGGCATTTGGAGCGCTTTCAGGCCTATGCTTAAAATAGGAAATATCTACCTACAGAAACTAGACAGAAGCATTCTGAGAATCACGTTTGTGATGTGGGTACTCAACTAACAGTGTTGATCCATTCTTTTGATACAGCAGTTTTGAACCACACTTTTTGTAGAATCTGCAAGAGGATATTTGGATAGCTGTGAGGATTTCGTTGGAAACGGGAATGTCTTCAAAGAAAATCTAGACAGAAGCATTCTCAGAAACACCTTCGTGATGTTTGCAATCAAGTCACAGAGTTGAACCTTCCGTTTCATAGAGCAGGTTGGAAACACTCTTTTTGTAGTATCTGGAAGTGGACATTTGGAGTGCTTTCAGGCCTATGGTGAAAAAGGAAATATCTTCCCATAAAAACGACATAGAAGCTATCTCAGGAACTTGTTTATGATGCATCTAATCAACTAACAGTGTTGAACCTTTGTACTGACAGAGCAGTTTGAAACACTCTTTTTTTGGAATCTGCAAGTGGATATTTGGATCGCTTTGAGGATTTCGTTGGAAACGGGATGCAATATAAAACGTACACAGCAGCATACTCAGAAAATACTTTGCCATATTTCCATTCAAGTCACAGAGTGGAACATTCCCATTCATAGAGCAGGTTGGAAACACTCTTTTTGGAGTATCTGGAAGTGGACATTTGGAGCGCTTTCTGAACTATGGTGAAAAAGGAAATATCTTCCAATGAAAACAAGACAGAAGCATTCTGAGAAACTTATTTGTGATGTGTGTCCTCAACAAACGGACTTGAACCTTTCGTTTCATGCAGTACTTCTGGAACACTCTTTTTGAAGATTCTGCATGCGGATATTTGGATAGCTTTGAGGATTTCGTTGGAAACGGGCTTACATGTAAAAATTAGACAGCAGCATTCTCAGAAACTTCTTTGTGGTGTCTGCATTCAAGTCACAGAATTGAACATCCCCTCACATAGAGCAGTTGTGCAGCACTCTATTTGTAGTATCTGGAAGTGGACATTTGGAGGGCTTTGTAGCCTATCTGGAAAAAGGAAATATCTTCCCATGAATGCGAGATAGAAGTAATCTCAGAAACATGTTTATGCTGTATCTACTCAACTAACTGTGCTGAACATTTCTATTGATAGAGCAGTTTTGAGACACTCTTCTTTTGGAATCTGCAAGTGGATATTTGGATAGATTTGAGGATTTCGTTGGAAACGGGATTATATATAAAAAGTAGACAGCAGCATTCTCAGAAACTTCTTTGTGATGTTTGCATCCAGCTCTCAGAGTTGAACATTCCCTTTCATAGAGTAGGTTTGAAACCCTCTTTTTATAGTGTCTGGAAGCGGGCATTTGGAGCGCTTTCAGGCCTATGCTGAAAAAGGAAATATCTACCTATAGAAACTAGACAGAAGCATTCTGAGAATCACGTTTGTGATGTGGGTACTCAACTAACAGTGTTGATCCATTCTTTTGATACAGCAGTTTTGAACCACACTTTTTGTAGAATCTGCAAGTGGATATTTGGATAGCTGTGAGGATTTCGTTGGAAACGGGAATGTCTTCATAGAAAATTTAGACAGAAGCATTCTCAGAACCTTGATTGTGATGTGTGTTCTCCACTAACAGAGTTGAACCTTTCTTTTGACAGAACTGTTCTGAAACATTCTTTTTATAGAATCTGGAAGTGGATATTTGGAAAGCTTTGAGGATTTCGTTGGAAACGGGAATATCTTCATATCAAATCTAGCCAGAAGCATTCTAAGAAACATCTTAGGGATGTTTACATTCAAGTCACAGAGTTGAACATTCCCTTTCACAGAGCAGGTTTGAAACAATCTTCTCGTACTATCTGGCAGTGGACATTTTGAGCTCCTTGGGGCCTATGCTGAAAAAGGAAATATCTTCCGACAAAAACTAGACAGAAGCATTCGCAGAATCACGTTTGTGATGTGTGCACTCAACTGTCAGAATTGAACCTTGGTTTGGACAGAGCACTTTTGAAACACTCTTTTTGTAGAATCTGCAGGTGGATATTTGGCTAGCTTTGAGGATTTCGTTGGAAACGGTAATGTCTTCAAAGAAAATCTAGACAGAAACATCCTCAGAAACACCTTCGTGATGTTTGCAATCAAGTCACAGAGTTGAACCTTCCGTTTCATAGAGCAGGTTGGAAACACTCTTTTTGTAGTATCTGGAAGTGGACATTTGGAGCGCTTTCAGGCCTATGGTGAAAAAGGAAATATCTTCCCATAAAAACGACATAGAAGCTATCTCAGGAACTTGTTTATGATGCATCTAATCAACTAACAGTGTTGAACCTTTGTACTGACAGAGCAGTTTGAAACACTCTTTTTTTGGAATCTGCAAGTGGATATTTGGATCGCTTTGAGGATTTCGTTGGAAACGGGATGCAATATAAAACGTACACAGCAGCATACTCAGAAAATACTTTGCCATATTTCCATTCAAGTCACAGAGTGGAACATTCCCATTCATAGAGCAGGTTTGAAACACTCTTTTTGGAGTATCTGGAAGTGGACATTTGGAGCGCTTTCTGAACTATGGTGAAAAAGGAAATATCTTCCAATGAAAACAAGACAGAAGCATTCTGAGAAACTTATTTGTGATGTGTGTCCTCAACAAACGGACTTGAACCTTTCGTTTCATGCAGTACTTCTGGAACACTCTTTTTGAAGATTCTGCATGCGGATATTTGGATAGCTTTGAGGATTTCGTTGGAAACGGGCTTACATGTAAAAATTAGACAGCAGCATTCTCAGAAACTTCTTTGTGGTGTCTGCATTCAAGTCACAGAATTGAACTTCCCCTCACATAGAGCAGTTGTGCAGCACTCTATTTGTAGTATCTGGAAGTGGACATTTGGAGGGCTTTGTAGCCTATCTGGAAAAAGGAAATATCTTCCCATGAATGCGAGATAGAAGTAATCTCAGAAACATGTTTATGCTGTATCTACTCAACTAACTGTGCTGAACATTTCTATTGATAGAGCAGTTTTGAGACACTCTTCTTTTGGAATCTGCAAGTGGATATTTGGATAGATTTGAGGATTTCGTTGGAAACGGGATTATATATAAAAAGTAGACAGCAGCATTCTCAGAAACTTCTTTGTGATGTTTGCATCCAGCTCTCAGAGTTGAACATTCCCTTTCATAGAGTAGGTTTGAAACCCTCTTTTTATAGTGTCTGGAAGCGGGCATTTGGAACGCTTTCAGGCCTATGCTTAAAATAGGAAATATCTACCTACAGAAACTAGACAGAAGCATTCTGAGAATCACGTTTGTGATGTGGGTACTCAACTAACAGTGTTGATCCATTCTTTTGATACAGCAGTTTTGAACCACACTTTTTGTAGAATCTGCAAGAGGATATTTGGATAGCTGTGAGGATTTCGTTGGAAACGGGAATGTCTTCAAAGAAAATCTAGACAGAAGCATTCTCAGAAACACCTTCGTGATGTTTGCAATCAAGTCACAGAGTTGAACCTTCCGTTTCATAGAGCAGGTTGGAAACACTCTTATTGTAGTATCTGGAAGTGGACATTTGGAGCGCTTTCAGGCCTATGGTGAAAAAGGAAATATCTTCCCATAAAAACGACATAGAAGCTATCTCAGGAACTTGTTTATGATGCATCTAATCAACTAACAGTGTTGAACCTTTGTACTGACAGAGCAGTTTGAAACACTCTTTTTTTGGAATCTGCAAGTGGATATTTGGATCACTTGAGGATTTCGTTGGAAACGGGATGCAATATAAAACGTACACAGCAGCATACTCAGAAAATACTTTGCCATATTTCCATTCAAGTCACAGAGTGGAACATTCCCATTCATAGAGCAGGTTTGAAACACTCTTTTTGGAGTATCTGGAAGTGGACATTTGGAGCGCTTTCTGAACTATGGTGAAAAAGGAAATATCTTCCAATGAAAACAAGACAGAAGCATTCTGAGAAACTTCTTTGTGATGTGTGTCCTCAACAAACGGACTTGAACCTTTCGTTTCATGCAGTACTTCTGGAACACTCTTTTTGAAGATTCTGCATGCGGATATTTGGATAGCTTTGAGGATTTCGTTGGAAACGGGCTTACATGTAAAAATTAGACAGCAGCATTCTCAGAAACTTCTTTGTGGTGTCTGCATTCAAGTCACAGAATTGAACTTCCCCTCACATAGAGCAGTTGTGCAGCACTCTATTTGTAGTATCTGGAAGTGGACATTTGGAGGGCTTTGTAGCCTATCTGGAAAAAGGAAATATCTTCCCATGAATGCGAGATAGAAGTAATCTCAGAAACATGTTTATGCTGTATCTACTCAACTAACTGTGCTGAACATTTCTATTGATAGAGCAGTTTTCAGACACTCTTCTTTTGGAATCTGCAAGTGGATATTTGGATAGATTTGAGGATTTCGTTGGAAACGGGATTATATATAAAAAGTAGACAGCAGCATTCTCAGAAACTTCTTTGTGATGTTTGCATCCAGCTCTCAGAGTTGAACATTCCCTTTCATAGAGTAGGTTTGAAACCCTCTTTTTATAGTGTCTGGAAGCGGGCATTTGGAGCGCTTTCAGGCCTATGCTTAAAATAGGAAATATCTACCTACAGAAACTAGACAGAAGCATTCTGAGAATCACGTTTGTGATGTGGGTACTCAACTAACAGTGTTGATCCATTCTTTTGATACAGCAGTTTTGAACCACACTTTTTGTAGAATCTGCAAGAGGATATTTGGATAGCTGTGAGGATTTCGTTGGAAACGGGAATGTCTTCAAAGAAAATCTAGACAGAAGCATTCTCAGAAATACCTTCGTGATGTTTGCAATCAAGTCACAGAGTTGAACCTTCCGTTTCATAGAGCAGGTTGGAAACACTCTTATTGTAGTATCTGGAAGTGGACATTTGGAGCGCTTTCAGGCCTATGGTGAAAAAGGAAATATCTTCCCATAAAAACGATATAGAAGCTATCTCAGGAACTTGTTTATGATGCATCTAATCAACTAACAGTGTTGAACCTTTGTACTGACAGAGCAGTTTGAAACACTCTTTTTTTGGAATCTGCAAGTGGATATTTGGATCGCTTTGAGGATTTCGTTGGAAACGGGATGCAATATAAAACGTACACAGCAGCATACTCAGAAAATACTTTGCCATATTTCCATTCAAGTCACAGAGTGGAACATTCCCATTCATAGAGCAGGTTGGAAACACTCTTTTTGGAGTATCTGGAAGTGGACATTTGGAGCGCTTTCTGAACTATGGTGAAAAAGGAAATATCTTCCAATGAAAACAAGACAGAAGCATTCTGAGAAACTTATTTGTGATGTGTGTCCTCAACAAACGGACTTGAACCTTTCGTTTCATGCAGTACTTCTGGAACACTCTTTTTGAAGATTCTGCATGCGGATATTTGGATAGCTTTGAGGATTTCGTTGGAAACGGGCTTACATGTAAAAATTAGACAGCAGCATTCTCAGAAACTTCTTTGTGGTGTCTGCATTCAAGTCACAGAATTGAACTTCCCCTCACATAGAGCAGTTGTGCAGCACTCTATTTGTAGTATCTGGAAGTGGACATTTGGAGGGCTTTGTAGCCTATCTGGAAAAAGGAAATATCTTCCCATGAATGCGAGATAGAAGTAATCTCAGAAACATGTTTATGCTGTATCTACTCAACTAACTGTGCTGAACATTTCTATTGATAGAGCAGTTTTGAGACACTCTTCTTTTGGAATCTGCAAGTGGATATTTGGATAGATTTGAGGATTTCGTTGGAAACGGGATTATATATAAAAAGTAGACAGCAGCATTCTCAGAAACTTCTTTGTGATGTTTGCATCCAGCTCTCAGAGTTGAACATTCCCTTTCATAGAGTAGGTTTGAAACCCTCTTTTTATAGTGTCTGGAAGCGGGCATTTGGAGCGCTTTCAGGCCTATGCTTAAAATAGGAAATATCTACCTACAGAAACTAGACAGAAAGCATTCTGAGGAATCACGTTTGTGATGTGGGTACTCAACTAACAGTGTTGATCCATTCTTTTGATACAGCAGTTTTGAACCACACTTTTTGTAGAATCTGCAAGAGGATATTTGGATAGCTGTGAGGATTTCGTTGGAAACGGGAATGTCTTCAAAGAAAATCTAGACAGAAGCATTCTCAGAAACACCTTCGTGATGTTTGCAATCATGTCACAGAGTTGAACCTTCCGTTTCATAGAGCAGGTTGGAAACACTCTTATTGTAGTATCTGGAAGTGGACATTTGGAGCGCTTTCAGGCCTATGGTGAAAAAGGAAATATCTTCCCATAAAAACGACATAGAAGCTATCTCAGGAACTTGTTTATGATGCATCTAATCAACTAACAGTGTTGAACCTTTGTACTGACAGAGCAGTTTGAAACACTCTTTTTTTGGAATCTGCAAGTGGATATTTGGATCGCTTTGAGGATTTCGTTGGAAACGGGATGCAATATAAAACGTACACAGCAGCATACTCAGAAAATACTTTGCCATATTTCCATTCAAGTCACAGAGTGGAACATTCCCATTCATAGAGCAGGTTGGAAACACTCTTTTTGGAGTATCTGGAAGTGGACATTTGGAGCGCTTTCTGAACTATGGTGAAAAAGGAAATATCTTCCAATGAAAACAAGACAGAAGCATTCTGAGAAACTTATTTGTGATGTGTGTCCTCAACAAACGGACTTGAACCTTTCGTTTCATGCAGTACTTCTGGAACACTCTTTTTGAAGATTCTGCATGCGGATATTTGGATAGCTTTGAGGATTTCATTGGAAACGGGCTTACATGTAAAAATTAGACAGCAGCATTCTCAGAAACTTCTTTGTGGTGTCTGCATTCAAGTCACAGAATTGAACTTCCCCTCACATAGAGCAGTTGTGCAGCACTCTATTTGTAGTATCTGGAAGTGGACATTTGGAGGGCTTTGTAGCCTATCTGGAAAAAGGAAATATCTTCCCATGAATGCGAGATAGAAGTAATCTCAGAAACATGTTTATGCTGTATCTACTCAACTAACTGTGCTGAACATTTCTATTGATAGAGCAGTTTTGAGACACTCTTCTTTTGGAATCTGCAAGTGGATATTTGGATAGATTTGAGGATTTCGTTGGAAACGGGATTATATATCAAAAGTAGACAGCAGCATTCTCAGAAACTTCTTTGTGATGTTTGCATCCAGCTCTCAGAGTTGAACATTCCCTTTCATAGAGTAGGTTTGAAACCCTCTTTTTATAGTGTCTGCAAGCGGGCATTTGGAGCGCTTTCAGGCCTATGCTTAAAATAGGAAATATCTACCTACAGAAACTAGACAGAAGCATTCTGAGAATCACGTTTGTGATGTGGGTACTCAACTAACAGTGTTGATCCATTCTTTTGATACAGCAGTTTTGAACCACACTTTTTGTAGAATCTGCAAGAGGATATTTGGATAGCTGTGAGGATTTCGTTGGAAACGGGAATGTCTTCAAAGAAAATGCTAGACAGAAGCATTCTCAGAACCTTGATTGTGATGTGTGTTCTCCACTAACAGAGTTGAACCTTTCTTTTGACAGAACTGTTCTGAAACATTCTTTTTATAGAATCTGGAAGTGGATATTTGGAAAGCTTTGAGGATTTCGTTGGAAACGGGAATATCTTCAAATAAAATCTAGCCAGAAGCATTCTAAGAAACATCTTAGGGATGTTTACATTCAAGTCACAGAGTTGAACATTCCCTTTCACAGAGCAGGTTTGAAACAATCTTCTCGTACTATCTGGCAGTGGACATTTTGAGCTCCTTGGGGCCTATGCTGAAAAAGGAAATATCTTCCGACAAAAACTAGACAGAAGCATTCGCAGAATCACGTTTGTGATGTGTGCACTCAACTGTCAGAATTGAACCTTGGTTTGGACAGAGCACTTTTGAAACACTCTTTTTGTAGAATCTGCAGGTGGATATTTGGCTAGCTTTGAGGATTTCGTTGGAAACGGTAATGTCTTCAAAGAAAATCTAGACAGAAGCATTCTCAGAAACACCTTCGTGATGTTTGCAATCAAGTCACAGAGTTGAACCTTCCGTTTCATAGAGCAGGTTGGAAACACTCTTTTTGTAGTATCTGGAAGTGGACATTTGGAGGGCTTTGTAGCCTATCTGGAAAAAGGAAATATCTTCCCATGAATGCGAGATAGAAGTAATCTCAGAAACATGTTTATGCTGTATCTACTCAACTAACTGTGCTGAACATTTCTATTGATAGAGCAGTTTTGAGACACTCTTCTTTTGGAATCTGCAAGTGGATATTTGGATAGATTTGAGGATTTCGTTGGAAACGGGATTATATATAAAAAGTAGACAGCAGCATTCTCAGAAACTTCTTTGTGATGTTTGCATCCAGCTCTCAGAGTTGGACATTCCCTTTCATAGAGTAGGTTTGAAACCCTCTTTTTATAGTGTCTGGAAGCGGGCATTTGGAGCGCTTTCAGGCCTATGCTTAAAATAGGAAATATCTACCTACAGAAACTAGACAGAAGCATTCTGAGAATCACGTTTGTGATGTGGGTACTCAACTAACAGTGTTGATCCATTCTTTTGATACAGCAGTTTTGAACCACACTTTTTGTAGAATCTGCAAGAGGATATTTGGATAGCTGTGAGGATTTCGTTGGAAACGGGAATGTCTTCAAAGAAAATCTAGACAGAAGCATTCTCAGAAACACCTTCGTGATGTTTGCAATCAAGTCACAGAGTTGAACCTTCCGTTTCATAGAGCAGGTTGGAAACACTCTTATTGTAGTATCTGGAAGTGGACATTTGGAGCGCTTTCAGGCCTATGGTGAAAAAGGAAATATCTTCCCATAAAAACGACATAGAAGCTATCTCAGGAACTTGTTTATGATGCATCTAATCAACTAACAGTGTTGAACCTTTGTACTGACAGAGCACTTTGAAACACTCTTTTTTTGGAATCTGCAAGTGGATATTTGGATCGCTTTGAGGATTTCGTTGGAAACGGGATGCAATATAAAACGTACACAGCAGCATACTCAGAAAATACTTTGCCATATTTCCATTCAAGTCACAGAGTGGAACATTCCCATTCATAGAGCAGGTTGGAAACACTCTTTTTGGAGTATCTGGAAGTGGACATTTGGAGCGCTTTCTGAACTATGGTGAAAAAGGAAATATCTTCCAATGAAAACAAGACAGAAGCATTCTGAGAAACTTATTTGTGATGTGTGTCCTCAACAAACGGACTTGAACCTTTCGTTTCATGCAGTACTTCTGGAACACTCTTTTTGAAGATTCTGCATGCGGATATTTGGATAGCTTTGAGGATTTCGTTGGAAACGGGCTTACATGTAAAAATTAGACAGCAGCATTCTCAGAAACTTCTTTGTGGTGTCTGCATTCAAGTCACAGAATTGAACTTCTCCTCACATAGAGCAGTTGTGCAGCACTCTATTTGTAGTATCTGGAAGTGGACATTTGGAGGGCTTTGTAGCCTATCTGGAAAAAGGAAATATCTTCCCATGAATGCGAGATAGAAGTAATCTCAGAAACATGTTTATGCTGTATCTACTCAACTAACTGTGCTGAACATTTCTATTGATAGAGCAGTTTTGAGACCCTCTTCTTTTGGAATCTGCAAGTGGATATTTGGATAGATTTGAGGATTTCGTTGGAAACGGGATTATATATAAAAAGTAGACAGCAGCATTCTCAGAAACTTCTTTGTGATGTTTGCATCCAGCTCTCAGAGTTGAACATTCCCTTTCATAGAGTAGGTTTGAAACCCTCTTTTTATAGTGTCTGGAAGCGGGCATTTGGAGCGCTTTCAGGCCTATGCTGAAAAAGGAGACATCTACCTATAGAAACTAGACAGAAGCATTCTGAGAATCACGTTTGTGATGTGGGTACTCAACTAACAGTGTTGATCCATTCTTTTGATACAGCAGTTTTGAACCACACTTTTTGTAGAATCTGCAAGAGGATATTTGGATAGCTGTGAGGATTTCGTTGGAAACGGGAATGTCTTCAAAGAAAATCTAGACAGAAGCATTCTCAGAAACACCTTCGTGATGTTTGCAATCAAGTCACAGAGTTGAACCTTCCGTTTCATAGAGCAGGTTGGAAACACTCTTATTGTAGTATCTGGAAGTGGACATTTGGAGCGCTTTCAGGCCTATGGTGAAAAAGGAAATATCTTCCCATAAAAACGACATAGAAGCTATCTCAGGAACTTGTTTATGATGCATCTAATCAACTAACAGTGTTGAACCTTTGTACTGACAGAGCAGTTTGAAACACTCTTTTTTTGGAATCTGCAAGTGGATATTTGGATCGCTTTGAGGATTTCGTTGGAAACGGGATGCAATATAAAACGTACACAGCAGCATACTCAGAAAATACTTTGCCATATTTCCATTCAAGTCACAGAGTGGAACATTCCCATTCATAGAGCAGGTTTGAAACACTCTTTTTGGAGTATCTGGAAGTGGACATTTGGAGCGCTTTCTGAACTATGGTGAAAAAGGAAATATCTTCCAATGAAAACAAGCAGAAGCATTCTGAGAAACTTATTTGTGATGTGTGTCCTCAACAAACGGACTTGAACCTTTCGTTTCATGCAGTACTTCTGGAACACTCTTTTTGAAGATTCTGCATGCGGATATTTGGATAGCTTTGAGGATTTCGTTGGAAACGGGCTTACATGTAAAAATTAGACAGCAGCATTCTCAGAAACTTCTTTGTGGTGTCTGCATTCAAGTCACAGAATTGAACATCCCCTCACATAGAGCAGTTGTGCAGCACTCTATTTGTAGTATCTGGAAGTGGACATTTGGAGGGCTTTGTAGCCTATGTGGAAAAAGGAAATATCTTCCCATGAATGCGAGATAGAGAAGTAATCTCAGAAACATGTTTATGCTGTATCTACTCAACTAACTGTGCTGAACATTTCTATTGATAGAGCAGTTTTGAGACACTCTTCTTTTGGAATCTGCAAGTGGATATTTGGATAGATTTGAGGATTTCGTTGGAAACGGGATTATATATAAAAAGTAGACAGCAGCATTCTCAGAAACTTCTTTGTGATGTTTGCATCCAGCTCTCAGAGTTGAACATTCCCTTTCATAGAGTAGGTTTGAAACCCTCTTTTTATAGTGTCTGGAAGCGGGCATTTGGAGCGCTTTCAGGCCTATGCTGAAAAAGGAAATATCTACCTATAGAAACTAGACAGAAGCATTCTGAGAATCACGTTTGTGATGTGGGTACTCAACTAACAGTGTTGATCCATTCTTTTGATACAGCAGTTTTGAACCACACTTTTTGTAGAATCTGCAAGTGGATATTTGGATAGCTGTGAGGATTTCGTTGGAAACGGGAATGTCTTCATAGAAAATTTAGACAGAAGCATTCTCAGAACCTTGATTGTGATGTGTGTTCTCCACTAACAGAGTTGAACCTTTCTTTTGACAGAACTGTTCTGAAACATTCTTTTTATAGAATCTGGAAGTGGATATTTGGAAAGCTTTGAGGATTTCGTTGGAAACGGGAATATCTTCAAATAAAATCTAGCCAGAAGCATTCTAAGAAACATCTTAGGGATGTTTACATTCAAGTCACAGAGTTGAACATTCCCTTTCACAGAGCAGGTTTGAAACAATCTTCTCGTACTATCTGGCAGTGGACATTTTGAGCTCCTTGGGGCCTATGCGGAAAAAGGAAATATCTTCCGACAAAAACTAGACAGAAGCATTCGCAGAATCACGTTTGTGATGTGTGCACTCAACTGTCAGAATTGAACCTTGGTTTGGACAGAGCACTTTTGAAACACTCTTTTTGTAGAATCTGCAGGTGGATATTTGGCTAGCTTTGAGGATTTCGTTGGAAACGGTAATGTCTTCAAAGAAAATCTAGACAGAAGCATTCTCAGAAACACCTTCGTGATGTTTGCAATCAAGTCACAGAGTTGAACCTTCCGTTTCATAGAGCAGGTTGGAAACACTCTTTTTGTAGTATCTGGAAGTGGACATTTGGAGGGCTTTGTAGCCTATCTGGAAAAAGGAAATATCTTCCCATGAATGCGAGATAGAAGTAATCTCAGAAACATGTTTATGCTGTATCTACTCAACTAACTGTGCTGAACATTTCTATTGATAGAGCAGTTTTGAGACACTCTTCTTTTGGAATCTGCAAGTGGATATTTGGATAGATTTGAGGATTTCGTTGGAAACGGGATTATATATCAAAAGTAGACAGCAGCATTCTCAGAAACTTCTTTGTGATGTTTGCATCCAGCTCTCAGAGTTGAACATTCCCTTTCATAGAGTAGGTTTGAAACCCTCTTTTTATAGTGTCTGGAAGCGGGCATTTGGAGCGCTTTCAGGCCTATGCTTAAAATAGGAAATATCTACCTACAGAAACTAGACAGAAGCATTCTGAGAATCACGTTTGTGATGTGGGTACTCAACTAACAGTGTTGATCCATTCTTTTGATACAGCAGTTTTGAACCACACTTTTTGTAGAATCTGCAAGAGGATATTTGGATAGCTGTGAGGATTTCGTTGGAAACGGGAATGTCTTCAAAGAAAATCTAGACAGAAGCATTCTCAGAAACACCTTCGTGATGTTTGCAATCAAGTCACAGAGTTGAACCTTCCGTTTCATAGAGCAGGTTGGAAACACTCTTTTTGTAGTATCTGGAAGTGGACATTTGGAGCGCTTTCAGGCCTATGGTGAAAAAGGAAATATCTTCCCATAAAAACGACATAGAAGCTATCTCAGGAACTTGTTTATGATGCATCTAATCAACTAACAGTGTTGAACCTTTGTACTGACAGAGCAGTTTGAAACACTCTTTTTTTGGAATCTGCAAGTGGATATTTGGATCGCTTTGAGGATTTCGTTGGAAACGGGATGCAATATAAAACGTACACAGCAGCATACTCAGAAAATACTTTGCCATATTTCCATTCAAGTCACAGAGTGGAACATTCCCATTCATAGAGCAGGTTTGAAACACTCTTTTTGGAGTATCTGGAAGTGGACATTTGGAGCGCTTTCTGAACTATGGTGAAAAAGGAAATATCTTCCAATGAAAACAAGACAGAAGCATTCTGAGAAACTTATTTGTGATGTGTGTCCTCAACAAACGGACTTGAAACTTTCGTTTCATGCAGTACTTCTGGAACACTCTTTTTGAAGATTCTGCATGCGGATATTTGGATAGCTTTGAGGATTTCGTTGGAAACGGGCTTACATGTAAAAATTAGACAGCAGCATTCTCAGAAACTTCTTTGTGGTGTCTGCATTCAAGTCACAGAATTGAACTTCCCCTCACATAGAGCAGTTGTGCAGCACTCTATTTGTAGTATCTGGAAGTGGACATTTGGAGGGCTTTGTAGCCTATCTGGAAAAAGGAAATATCTTCCCATGAATGCGAGATAGAAGTAATCTCAGAAACATGTTTATGCTGTATCTACTCAACTAACTGTGCTGAACATTTCTATTGATAGAGCAGTTTTGAGACACTCTTCTTTTGGAATCTGCAAGTGGATATTTGGATAGATTTGAGGATTTCGTTGGAAACGGGATTATATATAAAAAGTAGACAGCAGCATTCTCAGAAACTTCTTTGTGATGTTTGCATCCAGCTCTCAGAGTTGAACATTCCCTTTCATAGAGTAGGTTTGAAACCCTCTTTTTATAGTGTCTGGAAGCGGGCATTTGGAGCGCTTTCAGGCCTATGCTGAAAAAGGAAATATCTACCTACAGAAACTAGACAGAAGCATTCTGAGTATCAAGTTTGTGATGTGGGTACTCAACTAACAGTGTTGATCCATTCTTTTGATACAGCAGTTTTGAACCACACTTTTTGTAGAATCTGCAAGTGGATATTTGGATAGCTGTGAGGATTTCGTTGGAAACGGGAATGTCTTCATAGAAAATTTAGACAGAAGCATTCTCAGAACCTTGATTGTGATGTGTGTTCTCCACTAACAGAGTTGAACCTTTCTTTTGACAGAACTGTTCTGAAACATTCTTTTTATAGAATCTGGAAGTGGATATTTGGAAAGCTTTGAGGATTTCGTTGGAAACGGGAATATCTTCAAATAAAATCTAGCCAGAAGCATTCTAAGAAACATCTTAGGGATGTTTACATTCAAGTCACAGAGTTGAACATTCCCTTTCACAGAGCAGGTTTGAAACAATCTTCTCGTACTATCTGGCAGTGGACATTTTGAGCTCCTTGGGGCCTATGCTGAAAAAGGAAATATCTTCCGACAAAAACTAGACAGAAGCATTCGCAGAATCACGTTTGTGATGTGTGCACTCAACTGTCAGAATTGAACCTTGGTTTGGACAGAGCACTTTTGAAACACTCTTTTTGTAGAATCTGCAGGTGGATATTTGGCTAGCTTTGAGGATTTCGTTGGAAACGGTAATGTCTTCAAAGAAAATCTAGACAGAAGCATTCTCAGAAACACCTTCGTGATGTTTGCAATCAAGTCACAGAGTTGAACCTTCCGTTTCATAGAGCAGGTTGGAAACACTCTTTTTGTAGTATCTGGAAGTGGACATTTGAAGGGCTTTGTAGCCTATGTGGAAAAAGGAAATATCTTCCCATGAATGCGAGATAGAAGTAATCTCAGAAACATGTTTATGCTGTATCTACTCAACTAACTGTGCTGAACATTTCTATTGATAGAGCAGTTTTGAGACACTCTTCTTTTGGAATCTGCAAGTGGATATTTGGAGAGATTTGAGGATTTCGTTGGAAACGGGATTATATATAAAAAGTAGACAGCAGCATTCTCAGAAACTTCTTTGTGATGTTTGCATCCAGCTCTCAGAGTTGAACATTCCCTTTCATAGAGTAGGTTTGCAACCCTCTTTTTATAGTGTCTGGAAGCGGGCATTTGGAGCGCTTTCAGGCCTATGCTTAAAATAGGAAATATCTACCTACAGAAACTAGACAGAAGCATTCTGAGAATCTCGTTTGTGATGTGGGTACTCAACTAACAGTGTTGATCCATTCTTTTGATACAGCAGTTTTGAACCACACTTTTTGTAGAATCTGCAAGAGGATATTTGGATAGCTGTGAGGATTTCGTTGGAAACGGGAATGTCTTCAAAGAAAATCTAGACAGAAGCATTCTCAGAAACACCTTCGTGATGTTTGCAATCAAGTCACAGAGTTGAACCTTCCGTTTCATAGAGCAGGTTGGAAACACTCTTTTTGTAGTATCTGGAAGTGGACATTTGGAGTGCTTTCAGGCCTATGGTGAAAAAGGAAATATCTTCCCATAAAAACGACATAGAAGCTATCTCAGGAACTTGTTTATGATGCATCTAATCAACTAACAGTGTTGAACCTTTGTACTGACAGAGCAGTTTGAAACACTCTTTTTTTGGAATCTGCAAGTGGATATTTGGATCGCTTTGAGGATTTCGTTGGAAACGGGATGCAATATAAAACGTACACAGCAGCATACTCAGAAAATACTTTGCCATATTTCCATTCAAGTCACAGAGTGGAACATTCCCATTCATAGAGCAGGTTGGAAACACTCTTTTTGGAGTATCTGGAAGTGGACATTTGGAGCGCTTTCTGAACTATGGTGAAAAAGGAAATATCTTCCAATGAAAACAAGACAGAAGCATTCTGAGAAACTTATTTGTGATGTGTGTCCTCAACAAACGGACTTGAACCTTTCGTTTCATGCAGTACTTCTGGAACACTCTTTTTGAAGATTCTGCATGCGGATATTTGGATAGCTTTGAGGATTTCGTTGGAAACGGTCTTACATGTAAAAATTAGACAGCAGCATTCTCAGAAACTTCTTTGTGGTGTCTGCATTCAAGTCACAGAATTGAACTTCCCCTCACATAGAGCAGTTGTGCAGCACTCTATTTGTAGTATCTGGAAGTGGACATTTGGAGGGCTTTGTAGCCTATCTGGAAAAAGGAATTATCTTCCCATGAATGCGAGATAGAAGTAATCTGAGAAACATGTTTATGCTGTATCTACTCAACTAACTGTGCTGAACATTTCTATTGATAGAGCAGTTTTGAGACACTCTTCTTTTGGAATCTGCAAGTGGATATTTGGATAGATTTGAGGATTTCGTTGGAAACGGGATTATATATAAAAAGTAGACAGCAGCATTCTCAGAAACTTCTTTGTGATGTTTGCATCCAGCTCTCAGAGTTGAACATTCCCTTTCATAGAGTAGGTTTGAAACCCTCTTTTTATAGTGTCTGGAAGCGGGCATTTGGAGCGCTTTCAGGCCTATGCTGAAAAAGGAAATATCTACCTATAGAAACTAGACAGAAGCATTCTGAGAATCACGTTTGTGATGTGGGTACTCAACTAACAGTGTTGATCCATTCTTTTGATACAGCAGTTTTGAACCACACTTTTTGTAGAATCTGCAAGTGGATATTTGGATAGCTGTGAGGATTTCGTTGGAAACGGGAATGTCTTCATAGAAAATTTAGACAGAAGCATTCTCAGAACCTTGATTGTGATGTGTGTTCTCCACTAACAGAGTTGAACCTTTCTTTTGACAGAACTGTTCTGAAACATTCTTTTTATAGAATCTGGAAGTGGATATTTGGAAAGCTTTGAGGATTTCGTTGGAAACGGGAATATCTTCAAATAAAATCTAGCCAGAAGCATTCTAAGAAACATCTTAGGGATGTTTACATTCAAGTCACAGAGTTGAACATTCCCTTTCACAGAGCAGGTTTGAAACAATCTTCTCGTACTATCTGGCAGTGGACATTTTGAGCTCCTTGGGGCCTATGCTGAAAAAGGAAATATCTTCCGACAAAAACTAGACAGAAGCATTCGCAGAATCACGTTTGTGATGTGTGCACTCAACTGTCAGAATTGAACCTTGGTTTGGACAGAGCACTTTTGAAACACTCTTTTTGTAGAATCTGCAGGTGGATATTTGGCTAGCTTTGAGGATTTCGTTGGAAACGGTAATGTCTTCAAAGAAAATCTAGACAGAAGCATTCTCAGAAACACCTTCGTGATGTTTGCAATCAAGTCACAGAGTTGAACCTTCCGTTTCATAGAGCAGGTTGGAAACACTCTTTTTGTAGTATCTGGAAGTGGACATTTGGAGGGCTTTGTAGCCTATGTGGAAAAAGGAAATATCTTCCCATGAATGCGAGATAGAAGTAATCTCAGAAACATGTTTATGCTGTATCTACTCAACTAACTGTGCTGAACATTTCTATTGATAGAGCAGTTTTGAGACACTCTTCTTTTGGAATCTGCAAGTGGATATTTGGATAGATTTGAGGATTTCGTTGGAAACGGGATTATATATCAAAAGTAGACAGCAGCATTCTCAGAAACTTCTTTGTGATGTTTGCATCCAGCTCTCAGAGTTGAACATTCCCTTTCATAGAGTAGGTTTGAAACCCTCTTTTTATAGTGTCTGGAATCGGGCATTTGGAGCGCTTTCAGGCCTATGCTGAAAAAGGAAATATCTACCTATAGAAACTAGACAGAAGCATTCTGAGAATCACGTTTGTGATGTGGGTACTCAACTAACAGTGTTGATCCATTCTTTTGATACAGCAGTTTTGAACCACACTTTTTGTAGAATCTGCAAGAGGATATTTGGATAGCTGTGAGGATTTCGTTGGAAACGGGAATGTCTTCAAAGAAAATCTAGACAGAAGCATTCTCAGAAACACCTTCGTGATGTTTGCAATCAAGTCACAGAGTTGAACCTTCCGTTTCATAGAGCAGGTTGGAAACACTCTTATTGTAGTATCTGGAAGTGGACATTTGGAGCGCTTTCAGGCCTATGGTGAAAAAGGAAATATCTTCCCATAAAAACGACATAGAAGCTATCTCAGGAACTTGTTTATGATGCATCTAATCAACTAACAGTGTTGAACCTTTGTACTGACAGAGCACTTTGAAACACTCTTTTTTTGGAATCTGCAAGTGGATATTTGGATCGCTTTGAGGATTTCGTTGGAAACGGGATGCAATATAAAACGTACACAGCAGCATACTCAGAAAATACTTTGCCATATTTCCATTCAAGTCACAGAGTGGAACATTCCCATTCATAGAGCAGGTTGGAAACACTCTTTTTGGAGTATCTGGAAGTGGACATTTGGAGCGCTTTCTGAACTATGGTGAAAAAGGAAATATCTTCCAATGAAAACAAGACAGAAGCATTCTGAGAAACTTATTTGTGATGTGTGTCCTCAACAAACGGACTTGAACCTTTCGTTTCATGCAGTACTTCTGGAACACTCTTTTTGAAGATTCTGCATGCGGATATTTGGATAGCTTTGAGGATTTCGTTGGAAACGGGCTTACATGTAAAAATTAGACAGCAGCATTCTCAGAAACTTCTTTGTGGTGTCTGCATTCAAGTCACAGAATTGAACTTCCCCTCACATAGAGCAGTTGTGCAGCACTCTATTTGTAGTATCTGGAAGTGGACATTTGGAGGGCTTTGTAGCCTATCTGGAAAAAGGAAATATCTTCCCATGAATGCGAGATAGAAGTAATCTCAGAAACATGTTTATGCTGTATCTACTCAACTAACTGTGCTGAACATTTCTATTGATAGAGCAGTTTTGAGACACTCTTCTTTTGGAATCTGCAAGTGGATATTTGGATAGATTTGAGGATTTCGTTGGAAACGGGATTATATATAAAAAGTAGACAGCAGCATTCTCAGAAACTTCTTTGTGATGTTTGCATCCAGCTCTCAGAGTTGAACATTCCCTTTCATAGAGTAGGTTTGAAACCCTCTTTTTATAGTGTCTGGAAGCGGGCATTTTGAGCGCATTCAGGCCTATGCTTAAAATAGGAAATATCTACCTACAGAAACTAGACAGAAGCATTCTGAGAATCACGTTTGTGATGTGGGTACTCAACTAACAGTGTTGATCCATTCTTTTGATACAGCAGTATTGAACCACACTTTTTGTAGAATCTGCAAGAGGATATTTGGATAGCTGTGAGGATTTCGTTGGAAACGGGAATGTCTTCAAAGAAAATCTAGACAGAAGCATTCTCAGAAACACCTTCGTGATGTTTGCAATCAAGTCACAGAGTTGAACCTTCCGTTTCATAGAGCAGGTTGGAAACACTCTTATTGTAGTATCTGGAAGTGGACATTTGGAGCGCTTTCAGGCCTATGGTGAAAAAGGAAATATCTTCCCATAACAACGACATAGAAGCTATCTCAGGAACTTGTTTATGATGCATCTAATCAACTAACAGTGTTGAACCTTTGTACTGACAGAGCAGTTTGAAACACTCTTTTTTTGGAATCTGCAAGTGGATATTTGGATCGCTTTGAGGATTTCGTTGGAAACGGGATGCAATATAAAACGTACACAGCAGCATACTCAGAAAATACTTTGCCATATTTCCATTCAAGTCACAGAGTGGAACATTCCCATTCATAGAGCAGGTTTGAAACACTCTTTTTGGAGTATCTGGAAGTGGACATTTGGAGCGCTTTCTGAACTATGGTGAAAAAGGAAATATCTTCCAATGAAAACAAGACAGAAGCATTCTGAGAAACTTATTTGTGATGTGTGTCCTCAACAAACGGACTTGAACCTTTCGTTTCATGCAGTACTTCTGGAACACTCTTTTTGAAGATTCTGCATGCGGATATTTGGATAGCTTTGAGGATCTCGTTGGAAACGGGCTTACATGTAAAAATTAGACAGCAGCATTCTCAGAAACTTCTTTGTGGTGTCTGCATTCAAGTCACAGAATTGAACATCCCCTCACATAGAGCAGTTGTGCAGCACTCTATTTGTAGTATCTGGAAGTGGACATTTGGAGGGCTTTGTAGCCTATCTGGAAAAAGGAAATATCTTCCCATGAATGCGAGATAGAAGTAATCTCAGAAACATGTTTATGCTGTATCTACTCAACTAACTGTGCTGAACATTTCTATTGATAGAGCAGTTTTGAGACACTCTTCTTTTGGAATCTGCAAGTGGATATTTGGATAGATTTGAGGATTTCGTTGGAAACGGGATTATATATAAAAAGTAGACAGCAGCATTCTCAGAAACTTCTTTGTGATGTTTGCATCCAGCTCTCAGAGTTGAACATTCCCTTTCATAGAGTAGGTTTGAAACCCTCTTTTTATAGTGTCTGGAAGCGGGCATTTGGAGCGCTTTCAGGCCTATGCTTAAAATAGGAAATATCTACCTACAGAAACTAGACAGAAGCATTCTGAGAATCACGTTTGTGATGTGGGTACTCAACTAACAGTGTTGATCCATTCTTTTGATACAGCAGTTTTGAACCACACTTTTTGTAGAATCTGCAAGAGGATATTTGGATAGCTGTGAGGATTTCGTTGGAAACGGGAATGTCTTCAAAGAAAATCTAGACAGAAGCATTCTCAGAAACACCTTCGTGATGTTTGCAATCAAGTCACAGAGTTGAACCTTCCGTTTCATAGAGCAGGTTGGAAACACTCTTATTGTAGTATCTGGAAGTGGACATTTGGAGCGCTTTCAGGCCTATGGTGAAAAAGGAAATATCTTCCCATAAAAACGACATAGAAGCTATCTCAGGAACTTGTTTATGATGCATCTAATCAACTAACAGTGTTGAACCTTTGTACTGACAGAGCAGTTTGAAACACTCTTTTTTTGGAATCTGCAAGTGGATATTTGGATCGCTTTGAGGATTTCGTTGGAAACGGGATGCAATATAAAACGTACACAGCAGCATACTCAGAAAATACTTTGCCATATTTCCATTCAAGTCACAGAGTGGAACATTCCCATTCATAGAGCAGGTTGGAAACACTCTTTTTGGAGTATCTGGAAGTGGACATTTGGAGCGCTTTCTGAACTATGGTGAAAAAGGAAATATCTTCCAATGAAAACAAGACAGAAGCATTCTGAGAAACTTATTTGTGATGTGTGTCCTCAACAAACGGGACTTGAACCTTTCGTTTCATGCAGTACTTCTGGAACACTCTTTTTGAAGATTCTGCATGCGGATATTTGGATAGCTTTGAGGATTTCGTTGGAAACGGGCTTACATGTAAAAATTAGACAGCAGCATTCTCAGAAACTTCTTTGTGGTGTCTGCATTCAAGTCACAGAATTGAACATCCCCTCACATAGAGCAGTTGTGCAGCACTCTATTTGTAGTATCTGGAAGTGGACATTTGGAGGGCTTTGTAGCCTATCTGGAAAAAGGAAATATCTTCCCATGAATGCGAGATAGAAGTAATCTCAGAAACATGTTTATGCTGTATCTACTCAACTAACTGTGCTGAACATTTCTATTGATAGAGCAGTTTTGAGACACTCTTCTTTTGGAATCTGCAAGTGGATATTTGGATAGATTTGAGGATTTCGTTGGAAACGGGATTATATATAAAAAGTAGACAGCAGCATTCTCAGAAACTTCTTTGTGATGTTTGCATCCAGCTCTCAGATTTGAACATTCCCTTTCATAGAGTAGGTTTGAAACCCTCTTTTTATAGTGTCTGGAAGCGGGCATTTGGAGCGCTTTCAGGCCTATGCTTAAAATAGGAAATATCTACCTACAGAAACTAGACAGAAGCATTCTGAGAATCACGTTTGTGATGTGGGTACTCAACTAACAGTGTTGATCCATTCTTTTGATACAGCAGTTTTGAACCACACTTTTTGTAGAATCTGCAAGAGGATATTTGGATAGCTGTGAGGATTTCGTTGGAAACGGGAATGTCTTCAAAGAAAATGCTAGACAGAAGCATTCTCAGAACCTTGATTGTGATGTGTGTTCTCCACTAACAGAGTTGAACCTTTCTTTTGACAGAACTGTTCTGAAACATTCTTTTTATAGAATCTGGAAGTGGATATTTGGAAAGCTTTGAGGATTTCGTTGGAAACGGGAATATCTTCAAATAAAATCTAGCCAGAAGCATTCTAAGAAACATCTTAGGGATGTTTACATTCAAGTCACAGAGTTGAACATTCCCTTTCACAGAGCAGGTTTGAAACAATCTTCTCGTACTATCTGGAAGTGGACATTTTGAGCTCCTTGGGGCTTATGCTGAAAAAGGAAATATCTTCCGACAAGAACCAGACAGAAGCATTCGCAGAATCACGTTTGTGATGTGTGCACTCAACTGTCAGAATTGAACCTTTGTTTGGACAGAGCACTTTTGAAACACTCTTTTTGTAGAATCTGCAGGTGGATATTTGGCTAGCTTTGAGGATTTCGTTGGAAACGGTAATGTCTTCAAAGAAAATCTAGACAGAAACATCCTCAGAAACACCTTCGTGATGTTTGCAATCAAGTCACAGAGTTGAACCTTCCGTTTCATAGAGCAGGTTGGAAACACTCTTTTTGTAGTATCTGGAAGTGGACATCTGGAGCGCTTTCAGGCCTATGGTGAAAAAGGAAATAGCTTCCCATAAAAACGACATAGAAGCTATCTCAGGAACTTGTTTATGATGCATCTAATCAACTAACAGTGTTGAACCTTTGTACTGACAGAGCAGTTTGAAACACTCTTTTTTTGGAATCTGCAAGTGGATATTTGGATCGCTTTGAGGATTTCGTTGGAAACGGGATGCAATATAAAACGTACACAGCAGCATACTCAGAAAATACTTTGCCATATTTCCATTCAAGTCACAGAGTGGAACATTCCCATTCATAGAGCAGGTTGGAAACACTCCTTTTGTAGTATCTGGAAGTGGACATTTGGAGCGCTTTCTGAACTATGGTGAAAGAGGAAATATACTTCCAATGAAAACAAGACAGAAGCATTCTGAGAAACTTATTTTTGATGTGTGTCCTCCACTAACGGACTTGAACCTTTCGTTTCATGCAGTACTTCTGGAACACTCTTTTTGAAGATTCTGCATGCGGATATTTGGATAGCTTTGAGGATTTCTTTGGAAACGGGCTTACATATAAAAATTAGACAGCAGCATTATCAAAACTTCTTTGTGGTGTCTGTATTCAAGTCACAGAATTGAACATCCCCTCACATAGAGCAGCTGTGCAGCACTCTATTTGTAGTATCTCGAAGTGGACATTTGGAGGGCTTTGTAGCCTATCTGGATAAAGGAAATATCTTCCCATGAATGCGAGATAGAAGTAATATCAGAAACATGTTTATGCTGTATCTACTCAACTAACTGTGCTGAACATTTCTATTGATAGAGCAGTTTTGAGACACTCTTCTTTTGGAATCTGCAAGTGGATATTTGGATAGATTTCAGGATTTCGTTGGCAACGGGATTATATATAAAAAGTAGACAGCAGCATTCTCAGAAACTTCTTTGTGATGTTTGCATCCAGCTCCCAGAGTTGAACATTCCCTTTCATAGAGTAGGTTTGAAACCCTCTTTTTATAGTGTCTGGAAGCGGGCATTTGGAGCGCTTTCAGGCCTATGCTGAAAAAGGAAATATCTACCTATAGAAACTAGACAGAAGCATTCTGAGAATCACGTTTGTGATGTGGGTACTCAACTAACAGTGTTGATCCATTCTTTTGATACAGCAGTTTTGAACCACACTTTTTGTAGAATCTGCAAGAGGATATTTGGATAGCTGTGAGGATTTCGTTGGAAACGGGAATGTCTTCAAAGAAAATCTAGACAGAAGCATTCTCAGAAATACCTTCGTGATGTTTGCAATCAAGTCACAGAGTTGAACCTTCCGTTTCATAGAGCAGGTTGGAAACACTCTTATTGTAGTATCTGGAAGTGGACATTTGGAGCGCTTTCAGGCCTATGGTGAAAAAGAAATATCTTCCCATAAAAACGACATAGAAGCTATCTCAGGAACTTGTTTATGATGCATCTAATCAACTAACAGTGTTGAACATTTGTACTGACAGAGCAGTTTGAAACACTCTTTTTTTGGAATCTGCAAGTGGATATTTGGATCACTTTGAGGATTTCGTTGGAAACGGGATGCAATATAAAACGTACACAGCAGCATACTCAGAAAATACTTTGCCATATTTCCATTCAAGTCACAGAGTGGAACATTCCCATTCATAGAGCAGATTGGAAACACTCTTTTTGGAGTATCTGGAAGTGGACATTTGGAGCGCTTTCTGAACTATGGTGAAAAAGGAAATATCTTCCAATGAAAACAAGACAGAAGCATTCTGAGAAACTTATTTGTGATGTGTGTCCTCAACAAACGGACTTGAACCTTTTGTTTCATGCAGTATTTCTGGAACACTCTTTTTGAAGATTCTGCATGCGGATATTTGGATAGCTTTGAGGATTTCGTTGGAAACGGGCTTACATGTAAAAATTAGACAGCAGCATTCTCAGAAACTTCTTTGTGGTGTCTGCATTCAAGTCACAGAATTGAACTTCCCCTCACATAGAGCAGTTGTGCAGCACTCTATTTGTAGTATCTGGAAGGGGACATTTGGAGGGCTTTGTAGCCTATCTGGAAAAAGGAAATATCTTCCCATGAATGCGAGATAGAAGTAATCTCAGAAACATGTTTATGCTGTATCTACTCAACTAACTGTGCTGAACATTTCTATTGATAGAGCAGTTTTGAGACACTCTTCTTTTGGAATCTGCAAGTGGATATTAGGATAGATTTGAGGATTTCGTTGGAAACGGGATTATATATAAAAAGTAGACAGCAGCATTCTCAGAAACTTCTTTGTGATGTTTGCATCCAGCTCTCAGAGTTGAGCATTCCCTTTCATAGAGTAGGTTTGAAACCCTCTTTTTATAGTGTCTGGAAGCGGGCATTTGGAGCGCTTTCAGGCCTATGCTTAAAATAGGAAATATCTACCTACAGAAACTAGACAGAAGCATTCTGAGAATCACGTTTGTGATGTGGGTACTCAACTAACAGAGTTGATCCATTCTTTTGATACAGCAGTTTTGAACCACACTTTTTGTAGAATCTGCAAGAGGATATTTGGATAGCTGTGAGGATTTCGTTGGAAACGGGAATGTCTTCAAAGAAAATCTAGACAGAAGCATTCTCAGAAACACCTTCGTGATGTTTGCAATCAAGTCACAGAGTTGAACCTTCCGTTTCATAGAGCAGGTTGGAAACACTCTTATTGTAGTATCTGGAAGTGGACATTTGGAGCGCTTTCAGGCCTATGGTGAAAAAGGAAATATCTTCCCATAAAAACGACATAGAAGCTATCTCAGGAAATTGTTTATGATGCATCTAATCAACTAACAGTGTTGAACCTTTGTACTGACAGAGCACTTTGAAACACTCTTTTTTTGGAATCTGCAAGTGGATATTTGGATCGCTTTGAGGATTTCGTTGGAAACGGGATGCAATATAAAACGTACACAGCAGCATACTCAGAAAATACTTTGCCATATTTCCATTCAAGTCACAGAGTGGAACATTCCCATTCATAGAGCAGGTTGGAAACACTCTTTTTGGAGTATCTGGAAGTGGACATTTGGAGCGCTTTCTGAACTATGGTGAAAAAGGAAATATCTTCCAATGAAAACAAGACAGAAGCATTCTGAGAAACTTATTTGTGATGTGTGTCCTCAACAAACGGACTTGAACCTTTCGTTTCATGCAGTACTTCTGGAACACTCTTTTTGAAGATTCTGCATGCGGATATTTGGATAGCTTTGAGGATTTCGTTGGAAACGGGCTTACATGTAAAAATTAGACAGCAGAATTCTCAGAAACTTCTTTGTGGTGTCTGCATTCAAGTCACAGAATTGAACTTCCCCTCATATAGAGCAGTTGTGCAGCACTCTATTTGTAGTATCTCGAAGTGGACATTTGGAGGGCTTTGTAGCCTATCTGGAAAAAGGAAATATCTTCCCATGAATGCGAGATAGAAGTAATCTCAGAAACATGTTTATGCTGTATCTACTCAACTAACTGTGCTGAACATTTCTATTGATAGAGCAGTTTTGAGACACTCTTCTTTTGGAATCTGCAAGTGGATATTTGGATAGATTTGAGGATTTCGTTGGAAACGGGATTATATATAAAAAGTAGACAGCAGCATTCTCAGAAACTTCTTTGTGATGTTTGCATCCAGCTCTCAGAGTTGAACATTCCCTTTCATAGAGTAGGTTTGAAACCCTCTTTTTATAGTGTCTGGAAGCGGGCATTTGGAGCGCTTTCAGGCCTATGCTGAAAAAGGAAATATCTACCTATAGAAACTAGACAGAAGCATTCTGAGAATCACGTTTGTGATGTGGGTACTCAACTAACAGTGTTGATCCATTCTTTTGATACAGCAGTTTTGAACCACACTTTTTGTAGAATCTGCAAGTGGATATTTGGATAGCTGTGAGGATTTCGTTGGAAACGGGAATGTCTTCATAGAAAATTTAGACAGAAGCATTCTCAGAACCTTGATTGTGATGTGTGTTCTCCACTAACAGAGTTGAACCTTTCTTTTGACAGAACTGTTCTGAAACATTCTTTTTATAGAATCTGGAAGTGGATATTTGGAAAGCTTTGAGGATTTCGTTGGAAACGGGAATATCTTCAAATCAAATCTAGCCAGAAGCATTCTAAGAAACATCTTAGGGATGTTTACATTCAAGTCACAGAGTTGAACATTCCCTTTCACAGAGCAGGTTTGAAACAATCTTCTCGTACTATCTGGCAGTGGACATTTTGAGCTCCTTGGGGCCTATGCTGAAAAAGGAAATATCTTCCGACAAAAACTAGACAGAAGCATTCGCAGAATCACGTTTGTGATGTGTGCACTCAACTGTCAGAATTGAACCTTGGTTTGGACAGAGCACTTTTGAAACACTCTTTTTGTAGAATCTGCAGGTGGATATTTGGCTAGCTTTGAGGATTTCGTTGGAAACGGTAATGTCTTCAAAGAAAATCTAGACAGAAGCATTCTCAGAAACACCTTCATGATGTTTGCAATCAAGTCACAGAGTTGAACCTTCCGTTTCATAGAGCAGGTTGGAAACACTCTTTTTGTAGTATCTGGAAGTGGACATTTGGAGGGCTTTGTAGCCTATCTGGAAAAAGGAAATATATTCCCATGAATGCGAGATAGAAGTAATCTCAGAAACATGTTTATGCTGTATCTACTCAACTAACTGTGCTGAACATATCTATTGATAGAGCAGTTTTGAGACACTCTTCTTTTGGAATCTGCAAGTGGATATTTGGATAGATTTGAGGATTTCTTTGGAAACGGGATTATATATAAAAAGTAGACAGCAGCATTCTCAGAAACTTCTTTGTGATGTTTGCGTCCAGCTCTCAGAGTTGAACATTCCCTTTCATAGAGTAGGTTTGAAACCCTCTTTTTATAGTGTCTGGAAGCGGGCATTTGGAGCGCTTTCAGGCCTATGCTGAAAAAGGAAATATCTACCTATAGAAACTAGACAGAAGCATTCTGAGAATCACGTTTGTGATGTGGGTACTCAACTAACAGTGTTGATCCATTCTTTTGATACAGCAGTTTTGAACCACACTTTTTGTAGAATCTGCAAGTGGATATTTGGATAGCTGTGAGGATTTCGTTGGAAACGGGAATGTCTTCATAGAAAATTTAGACAGAAGCATTCTCAGAACCTTGATTGTGATGTGTGTTCTCCACTAACAGAGTTGAACCTTTCTTTTGACAGAACTGTTGTGAAACATTCTTTTTATAGAATCTGGAAGTGGATATTTGGAAAGCTTTGAGGATTTCGTTGGAAACGGGAATATCTTCAAATAAAATCTAGCCAGAAGCATTCTAAGAAACATCTTAGGGATGTTTACATTCAAGTCACAGAGTTGAACATTCCCTTTCACAGAGCAGGTTTGAAACAATCTTCTCGTACTATCTGGCAGTGGACATTTTGAGCTCCTTGGGGCCTATGCTGAAAAAGGAAATATCTTCCGACAAAAACTAGACAGAAGCATTCGCAGAATCACGTTTGTGATGTGTGCACTCAACTGTCAGAATTGAACCTTGGTTTGGACAGAGCACTTTTGAAACACTCTTTTTGTAGAATCTGCAGGTGGATATTTGGCTAGCTTTGAGGATTTCGTTGGAAACGGTAATGTCTTCAAAGAAAATCTAGACAGAAGCATTCTCAGAAACACCTTCGTGATGTTTGCAATCAAGTCACAGAGTTGAACCTTCCGTTTCATAGAGCAGGTTGGAAACACTCTTTTTGTAGTATCTGGAAGTGGACATTTGGAGGGCTTTGTAGCCTATGTGGAAAAAGGAAATATCTTCCCATGAATGCGAGATAGAAGTAATCTCAGAAACATGTTTATGCTGTATCTACTCAACTAACTGTGCTGAACATTTCTATTGATAGAGCAGTTTTGAGACACTCTTCTTTTGGAATCTGCAAGTGGATATTTGGAGAGATTTGAGGATTTCGTTGGAAACGGGATTATATATAAAAAGTAGACAGCAGCATTCTCAGAAACTTCTTTGTGATGTTTGCATCCAGCTCTCAGAGTTGAACATTCCCTTTCATAGAGTAGGTTTGAAACCCTCTTTTTATAGTGTCTGGAAGCGGGCATTTGGAGCGCTTTCAGACCTATGCTTAAAATAGGAAATATCTACCTACAGAAACTAGACAGAAGCATTCTGAGAATCTCGTTTGTGATGTGGGTACTCAACTAACAGTGTTGATCCATTCGTTTGATACAGCAGTTTTGAACCACACTTTTTGTAGAATCTGCAAGAGGATATTTGGATAGCTGTGAGGATTTCGTTGGAAACGGGAATGTCTTCAAAGAAAATCTAGACAGAAACATTCTCAGAAACACCTTCGTGATGTTTGCAATCAAGTCACAGAGTTGAACCTTCCGTTTCATAGAGCAGGTTGGAAACACTCTTATTGTAGTATCTGGAAGTGGACATTTGGAGCGCTTTCAGGCCTATGGTGAAAAAGGAAATATCTTCCCATAAAAACAACATAGAAGCTATCTCAGGAACTTGTTTATGAGGCATCTAATCAACTAACAGTGTTGAACCTTTGTACTGACAGAGCAGTTTGAAACACTCTTTTTTTGGAATCTGCAAGTGGATATTTGGATCGCTTTGAGGATTTCGTTGGAAACGGGATGCAATATAAAACGTACACAGCAGCATACTCAGAAAATTCTTTGCCATATTTCCATTCAAGTCACAGAGTGGAACATTCCCATTCATAGAGCAGGTTGGAAACACTCTTTTTGGAGTATCTGGAAGTGGACATTTGGAGCGCTTTCTGAACTATGGTGAAAAAGGAAATATCTTCCAATGAAAACAAGACAGAAGCATTCTGAGAAACTTATTTGTGATGTGTGTCCTCAACAAACGGACTTGAACCTTTCGTTTCATGCAGTACTTCTGGAACACTCTTTTTGAAGATTCTGCATGCGGATATTTGGATAGCTTTGAGGATTTCGTTGGAAACGGGCTTACATGTAAAAATTAGACAGCAGCATTCTCAGAAACTTCTTTGTGGTGTCTGCATTCAAGTCACAGAATTGAACATCCCCTCACATAGAGCAGTTGTGCAGCACTCTATTTGTAGTATCTGGAAGTGGACATTTGGAGGGCTTTGTAGCCTATCTGGAAAAAGGAAATATCTTCCCATGAATGCGAGATAGAAGTAATCTCAGAAACATGTTTATGCTGTATCTACTCAACTAACTGTGCTGAACATTTCTATTGATAGAGCAGTTTTGAGACACTCTTCTTTTGGAATCTGCAAGTGGATATTTGGATAGATTTGAGGATTTCGTTGGAAACGGGATTATATATAAAAAGTAGACAGCAGCATTCTCAGAAACTTCTTTGTGATGTTTGCATCCAGCTCTCAGAGTTGAACATTCCCTTTCATAGAGTAGGTTTGAAACCCTCTTTTTATAGTGTCTGGAAGCGGGCATTTGGAGCGCTTTCAGGCCTATGCTGAAAAAGGAAATATCTACCTATAGAAACTAGACAGAAGCATTCTGAGAATCACGTTTGTGATGTGGGTACTCAACTAACAGTGTTGATCCATTCTTTTGATACAGCAGTTTTGAACCACACTTTTTGTAGAATCTGCAAGTGGATATTTGGATAGCTGTGAGGATTTCGTTGGAAACGGGAATGTCTTCATAGAAAATTTAGACAGAAGCATTCTCAGAACCTTGATTGTGATGTGTGTTCTCCACTAACAGAGTTGAACCTTTCTTTTGACAGAACTGTTCTGAAACATTCTTTTTATAGAATCTGGAAGTGGATATTTGGAAAGCTTTGAGGATTTCGTTGGAAACGGGAATATCTTCAAATCAAATCTAGCCAGAAGCATTCTAAGAAACATCTTAGGGATGTTTACATTCAACTCACAGAGTTGAACATTCCCTTTCACAGAGCAGGTTTGAAACTATCTTCTCGTACTATCTGGAAGTGGACATTTTGAGCTCCTTGGGGCCTATGCTGAAAAAGGAAATATCTTCCGAGAAAAACTAGACAGAAGCATTCGCAGAATCACGTTTGTGATGTGTGCACTCAACTGTCAGAATTGAACCTTTGGTTTGGACAGAGCACTTTTGAAACACTCTTTTTGTAGAATCTGCAGGTGGATATTTGGCTAGCTTTGAGGATTTCGTTGGAAACGGTAATGTCTTCAAAGAAAATCTAGACAGAAGCATTCTCAGAAACACCTTCGTGATGTTTGCAATCAAGTCACAGAGTTGAACCTTCCGTTTCATAGAGCAGGTTGGAAACACTCTTTGTAGTATCTGGAAGTGGACATTTGGAGGGCTTTGTAGCCTATCTGGAAAAAGGAAATATCTTCCCATGAATGCGAGATAGAAGTAATCTCAGAAACATGTTTATGCTGTATCTACTCAACTAACTGTGCTGAACATTTCTATTGATAGAGCAGTTTTGAGACACTCTTCTTTTGGAATCTGCAAGTGGATATTTGGATAGATTTGAGGATTTCGTTGGAAACGGGATTATATATCAAAAGTAGACAGCAGCATTCTCAGAAACTTCTTTGTGATGTTTGCATCCAGCTCTCAGAGTTGAACATTCCCTTTCATAGAGTAGGTTTGAAACCCTCTTTTTATAGTGTCTGGAAGCGGGCATTTGGAGCGCTTTCAGGCCTATGCTGAAAAAGGAAATATCTACCTATAGAAACTAGACAGAAGCATTCTGAGCAATCACGTTTGTGATGTGGGTACTCAACTAACAGTGTTGATCCATTCTTTTGATACAGCAGTTTTGAACCACACTTTTTGTAGAATCTGCAAGTGGATATTTGGATAGCTGTGAGGATTTCCTTGGAAACGGGAATGCCTTCATAGAAAATTTAGACAGAAGCATTCTCAGAACCTTGATTGTGATGTGTGTTCTCCACTAACAGAGTTGAACCTTTCTTTTGACAGAACTGTTCTGAAACATTCTTTTTATAGAATCTGGAAGTGGATATTTGGAAAGCTTTGAGGATTTCGTTGGAAACGGGAATATCTTCAAATCAAATCTAGCCAGAAGCATTCTAAGAAACATCTTAGGGATGTTTACATTCAAGTCACAGAGTTGAACATTCCCTTTCACAGAGCAGGTTTGAAACAATCTTCTCGTACTATCTGGCAGTGGACATTTTGAGCTCCTTGGGGCCTATGCTGAAAAAGGAAATATCTTCCGACAAAAACTAGACAGAAGCATTCGCAGAATCACGTTTGTGATGTGTGCACTCAACTGTCAGAATTGAACCTTGGTTTGGACAGAGCACTTTTGAAACACTCTTTTTGTAGAATCTGCAGGTGGATATTTGGCTAGCTTTGAGGATTTCGTTGGAAACGGTAATGTCTTCAAAGAAAATCTAGACAGAAGCATTCTCAGAAACACCTTCGTGATGTTTGCAATCAAGTCACAGAGTTGAACCTTCCGTTTCATAGAGCAGGTTGGAAACACTCTTTTTGTAGTATCTGGAAGTGGACATTTGGAGGGCTTTGTAGCCTATCTGGAAAAAGGAAATATCTTCCCATGAATGCGAGATAGAAGTAATCTCAGAAACATGTTTATGCTGTATCTACTCAACTAACTGTGCTGAACATTTCTATTGATAGAGCAGTTTTGAGACACTCTTCTTTTGGAATCTGCAAGTGGATATTTGGATAGATTTGAGGATTTCGTTGGAAACGGGATTATATATAAAAAGTAGACAGCAGCATTCTCAGAAACTTCTTTGTGATGTTTGCATCCAGCTCTCAGAGTTGAACATTCCCTTTCATAGAGTAGGTTTGAAACCCTCTTTTTATAGTGTCTGGAAGCGGGCATTTGGAGCGCTTTCAGGCCTATGCTTAAAATAGGAAATATCTACCTACAGAAACTAGACAGAAGCATTCTGAGAATCACGTTTGTGATGTGGGTACTCAACTAACAGTGTTGATCCATTCTTTTGATACAGCAGTTTTGAACCACACTTTTTGTAGAATCTGCAAGAGGATATTTGGATAGCTGTGAGGATTTCGTTGGAAACGGGAATGTCTTCAAAGAAAATCTAGACAGAAGCATTCTCAGAAACACCTTCGTGATGTTTGCAATCAAGTCACAGAGTTGAACCTTCCGTTTCATAGAGCAGGTTGGAAACACTCTTATTGTAGTATCTGGAAGTGGACATTTGGAGCGCTTTCAGGCCTATGGTGAAAAAGGAAATATCTTCCCATAAAAACGACATAGAAGCTATCTCAGGAACTTGTTTATGATGCATCTAATCAACTAACAGTGTTGAACCTTTGTACTGACAGAGCAGTTTGAAACACTCTTTTTTTGGAATCTGCAAGTGGATATTTGGATCGCTTTGAGGATTTCGTTGGAAACGGGATGCAATATAAAACGTACACAGCAGCATACTCAGAAAATACTTTGCCATATTTCCATTCAAGTCACAGAGTGGAACATTCCCATTCATAGAGCAGGTTGGAAACACTCTTTTTGGAGTATCTGGAAGTGGACATTTGGAGCGCTTTCTGAACTATGGTGAAAAAGGAAATATCTTCCAATGAAAACAAGACAGAAGCATTCTGAGAAACTTATTTGTGATGTGTGTCCTCAACAAACGGACTTGAACCTTTCGTTTCATGCAGTACTTCTGGAACACTCTTTTTGAAGATTCTGCATGCGGATATTTGGATAGCTTTGAGGATTTCGTTGGAAACGGGCTTACATGTAAAAATTAGACAGCAGCATTCTCAGAAACTTCTTTGTGGTGTCTGCATTCAAGTCACAGAATTGAACTTCCCCTCACATAGAGCAGTTGTGCAGCACTCTATTTGTAGTATCTGGAAGTGGACATTTGGAGGGCTTTGTAGCCTATCTGGAAAAAGGAAATATCTTCCCATGAATGCGAGATAGAAGTAATCTCAGAAACATGTTTATGCTGTATCTACTCAACTAACTGTGCTGAACATTTCTATTGATAGAGCAGTTTTGAGACCCTCTTCTTTTGGAATCTGCAAGTGGATATTTGGATAGATTTGAGGATTTCGTTGGAAACGGGATTATATATAAAAAGTAGACAGCAGCATTCTCAGAAACTTCTTTGTGATGTTTGCATCCAGCTCTCAGAGTTGAACATTCCCTTTCATAGAGTAGGTTTGAAACCCTCTTTTTATAGTGTCTGGAAGCGGGCATTTGGAGCGCTTTCAGGCCTATGCTGAAAAAGGAGATATCTACCTATAGAAACTAGACAGAAGCATTCCGAGAATCACGTTTGTGATGTGGGTACTCAACTAACAGTGTTGATCCATTCTTTTGATACAGCAGTTTTGAACCACACTTTTTGTAGAATCTGCAAGTGGATATTTGGATAGCTGTGAGGATTTCGTTGGAAACGGGAATGTCTTCATAGAAAATTTAGACAGAAGCATTCTCAGAACCTTGATTGTGATGTGTGTTCTCCACTAACAGAGTTGAACCTTTCTTTTGACAGAACTGTTCTGAAACATTCTTTTTATAGAATCTGGAAGTGGATATTTGGAAAGCTTTGAGGATTTCGTTGGAAACGGGAATATCTTCAAATAAAATCTAGCCAGAAGCATTCTAAGAAACATCTTAGGGATGTTTACATTCAAGTCACAGAGTTGAACATTCCCTTTCACAGAGCAGGTTTGAAACAATCTTCTCGTACTATCTGGCAGTGGACATTTTGAGCTCTTTGGGGCCTATGCTGAAAAAGGAAATATCTTCCGACAAAAACTAGACAGAAGCATTCGCAGAATCACGTTTGTGATGTGTGCACTCAACTGTCAGAATTGAACCTTGGTTTGGACAGAGCACTTTTGAAACACTCTTTTTGTAGAATCTGCAGGTGGATATTTGGCTAGCTTTGAGGATTTCGTTGGAAACGGTAATGTCTTCAAAGAAAATCTAGACAGAAGCATTCTCAGAAACACCTTCGTGATGTTTGCAATCAAGTCACAGAGTTGAACCTTCCGTTTCATAGAGCAGGTTGGAAACACTCTTTTTGTAGTATCTGGAAGTGGACATTTGGAGGGCTTTGTAGCCTATCTGGAAAAAGGAAATATCTTCCCATGAATGCGAGAGAGAAGCTATCTCAGGAACTTGTTTATGATGCATCTAATCAACTAACAGTGTTGAACCTTTGTACTGACAGAGCAGTTTGAAACACTCTTTTTTTGGAATCTGCAAGTGGATATTTGGATCGCTTTGAGGATTTCGTTGGAAACGGGATGCAATATAAAACGTACACAGCAGCATACTCAGAAAATACTTTGCCATATTTCCATTCAAGTCACAGAGTGGAACATTCCCATTCATAGAGCAGGTTTGAAACACTCTTTTTGGAGTATCTGGAAGTGGACATTTGGAGCGCTTTCTGAACTATGGTGAAAAAGGAAATATCTTCCAATGAAAACAAGACAGAAGCATTCTGAGAAACTTATTTGTGATGTGTGTCCTCAACAAACGGACTTGAACCTTTCGTTTCATGCAGTACTTCTGGAACACTCTTTTTGAAGATTCTGCATGCGGATATTTGGATAGCTTTGAGGATTTCGTTGGAAACGGGCTTACATGTAAAAATTAGACAGCAGCATTCTCAGAAACTTCTTTGTGGTGTCTGCATTCAAGTCACAGAATTGAACATCCCCTCACATAGAGCAGTTGTGCAGCACTCTATTTGTAGTATCTGGAAGTGGACATTTGGAGGGCTTTGTAGCCTATCTGGAAAAAGGAAATATCTTCCCATGAATGCGAGATAGAAGTAATCTCAGAAACATGTTTATGCTGTATCTACTCAACTAACTGTGCTGAACATTTCTATTGATAGAGCAGTTTTGAGACACTCTTCTTTTGGAATCTGCAAGTGGATATTTGGATAGATTTGAGGATTTCGTTGGAAACGGGATTATATATAAAAAGTAGACAGCAGCATTCTCAGAAACTTCTTTGTGATGTTTGCATCCAGCTCTCAGAGTTGAACATTCCCTTTCATAGAGTAGGTTTGAAACCCTCTTTTTATAGTGTCCGGAAGCGGGCATTTGGAGCGCTTTCAGGCCTATGCTGAAAAAGGAAATATCTACATATAGAAACTAGACAGAAGCATTCTGAGAATCAAGTTTGTGATGTGGGTACTCAACTAACAGTGTTGATCCATTCTTTTGATACAGCAGTTTTGAACCACACTTTTTGTAGAATCTGCAAGTGGATATTTGGATAGCTGTGAGGATTTCGTTGGAAACGGGAATGTCTTCATAGAAAATTTAGAGAGAAGCATTCTCAGAACCTTGATTGTGATGTGTGTTCTCCACTAACAGAGTTGAACCTTTCTTTTGACAGAACTGTTCTGAAACATTCTTTTTATAGAATCTGGAAGTGGATATTTGGAAAGCTTTGAGGATTTCGTTGGAAACGGGAATATCTTCAAATAAAATCTAGCCAGAAGCATTCTAAGAAACATCTTAGGGATGTTTACATTCAAGTCACAGAGTTGAACATTCCCTTTCACAGAGCAGGTTTGAAACAATCTTCTCGTACTATCTGGCAGTGGACATTTTGAGCTCCTTGGGGCCTATGCTGAAAAAGGAAATATCTTCCGACAAAAACTAGACAGAAGCATTCGCAGAATCACGTTTGTGATGTGTGCACTCAACTGTCAGAATTGAACCTTGGTTTGGACAGAGCACTTTTGAAACACTCTTTTTGTAGAATCTGCAGGTGGATATTTGGCTAGCTTTGAGGATTTCGTTGGAAACGGTAATGTCTTCAAAGAAAATCTAGACAGAAGCATTCTCAGAAACACCTTCGTGATGTTTGCAATCAAGTCACAGAGTTGAACCTTCCGTTTCATAGAGCAGGTTGGAAACACTCTTTTTGTAGTATCTGGAAGTGGACATTTGGAGGGCTTTGTAGCCTATCTGGAAAAAGGAAATATCTTCCCATGAATGCGAGATAGAAGTAATCTCAGAAACATGTTTATGCTGTATCTACTCAACTAACTGTGCTGAACATTTCTATTGATAGAGCAGTTTTGAGACACTCTTCTTTTGGAATCTGCAAGTGGATATTTGGATAGATTTGAGGATTTCGTTGGAAACGGGATTATATATCAAAAGTAGACAGCAGCATTCTCAGAAACTTCTTTGTGATGTTTGCATCCAGCTCTCAGAGTTGAACATTCCCTTTCATAGAGTAGGTTTGAAACCCTCTTTTTATAGTGTCTGGAAGCGGGCATTTGGAGCGCTTTCAGGCCTATGCTGAAAAAGGAAATATCTACCTATAGAAACTAGACAGAAGCATTCTGAGAATCACGTTTGTGATGTGGGTACTCAACTAACAGTGTTGATCCATTCTTTTGATACAGCAGTTTTGAACCACACTTTTTGTAGAATCTGCAAGTGGATATTTGGATAGCTGTGAGGATTTCGTTGGAAACGGGAATGTCTTCATAGAAAATTTAGACAGAAGCATTCTCAGAACCTTGATTGTGATGTGTGTTCTCCACTAACAGAGTTGAACCTTTCTTTTGACAGAACTGTTCTGAAACATTCTTTTTATAGAATCTGGAAGTGGATATTTGGAAAGCTTTGAGGATTTCGTTGGAAACGGGAATATCTTCAAATAAAATCTAGCCAGAAGCATTCTAAGAAACATCTTAGGGATGTTTACATTCAAGTCACAGAGTTGAACATTCCCTTTCACAGAGCAGGTTTGAAACAATCTTCTCGTACTATCTGGCAGTGGACATTTTGAGCTCCTTGGGGCCTATGCTGAAAAAGGAAATATCTTCCGACAAAAACTAGACAGAAGCATTCGCAGAAACACGTTTGTGATGTGTGCACTCAACTGTCAGAATTGAACCTTGGTTTGGAGATTGCACTCTTGAAACACTCTTTTTGTAAAATCTGCAGGTGGATATTTGGCTAGCTTTGAGGATTTCGTTGGAAACGGTAATGTCTTCAAAGAAAATCTAGACAGAAGCATTCTCAGAAACACCTTCGTGATGTTTGCAATCAAGTCACAGAGTTGAACCTTCCGTTTCATAGAGCAGGTTGGAAACACTCTTTTTGTAGTATCTGGAAGTGGACATTTGGAGCGCTTTCAGGCCTATGGTGAAAAAGGAAATATCTTCCCATAAAAACGACATAGACGCTATCTCAGGAACTTGTTTATGATGCATCTAATCAACTAACAGTGTTGAACCTTTGTACTGACAGAGCAGTTTGAAACACTCTTTTTTTGGAATCTGCAAGTGGATATTTGGATCGCTTTGAGGATTTCGTTGGAAACGGGATGCAATATAAAACGTACACAGCAGCATACTCAGAAAATACTTTGCCATATTTCCATTCAAGTCACAGAGTGGAACATTCCCATTCATAGAGCAGGTTTGAAACACTCTTTTTGGAGTATCTGGAAGTGGACATTTGGAGCGCTTTCTGAACTATGGTGAAAAAGGAAATAACTTCCAATGAAAACAAGACAGAAGCATTCTGAGAAACTTATTTGTGATGTGTGTCCTCAACAAACGGACTTGAACCTTTCGTTTCATGCAGTACTTCTGGAACACTCTTTTTGAAGATTCTGCATGCGGATATTTGGATAGCTTTGAGGATTTCGTTGGAAACGGGCTTACATGTAAAAATTAGACAGCAGCATTCTCAGAAACTTCTTTGTGGTGTCTGCATTCAAGTCACAGAATTGAACTTCCCCTCACATAGAGCAGTTGTGCAGCACTCTATTTGTAGTATCTGGAAGTGGACATTTGGAGGGCTTTGTAGCCTATCTGGAAAAAGGAAATATCTTCCCATGAATGCGAGATAGAAGTAATCTCAGAAACATGTTTATGCTGTATCTACTCAACTAACTGTGCTGAACATTTCTATTGATAGAGCAGTTTTGAGACACTCTTCTTTTGGAATCTGCAAGTGGATATTTTGGGATAGATTTGAGGATTTCGTTGGAAACGGGATTATATATAAAAAGTAGACAGCAGCATTCTCAGAAACTTCTTTGTGATGTTTGCATCCAGCTCTCAGAGTTGAACATTCCCTTTCATAGAGTAGGTTTGAAACCCCCTTTTTATAGTGTCTGGAAGCGGGCATTTGGAGCGCTTTCAGGCCTATGCTTAAAATAGGAAATATCTACCTACAGAAACTAGACAGAAGCATTCTGAGAATCACGTTTGTGATGTGGGTACTCAACTAACAGTGTTGATCCATTCTTTTGATACAGCAGTTTTGAACCACACTTTTTGTAGAATCTGCAAGTGGATATTTGGATAGCTGTGAGGATTTCGTTGGAAACGGGAATGTCTTCATAGAAAATTTAGATAGAAGCATTCTCAGAACCTTGTTTGTGATGTGTGTTCTCCACTAAGAGAGTTGAACCTTTCTTTTGACAGAACTGTTCTGAAACATTCTTTTTATAGAATCTGGAAGTGGATATTTGGAAAGCTTTGAGGATTTCGTTGGAAACGGGAATATCTTCAAATAAAATCTAGCCAGAAGCATTCTAAGAAACATCTTAGGGATGTTTACATTCAAGTCACAGAGTTGAACATTCCCTTTCACAGAGCAGGTTTGAAACAATCTTCTCGTACTATCTGGCAGTGGACATTTTGAGCTCCTTGGGGCCTATGCTGAAAAAGGAAATATCTTCCGACAAAAACTAGACAGAAGCATTCGCAGAATCACGTTTGTGATGTGTGCACTCAACTGTCAGAATTGAACCTTGGTTTGGACAGAGCACTTTTGAAACACTCTTTTTGTAGAATCTGCAGGTGGATATTTGGCTAGCTTTGAGGATTTCGTTGGAAACGGTAATGTCTTCACAGAAAATCTAGACAGAAGCATTCTCAGAAATACCTTCGTGATGTTTGCAATCAAGTCACAGAGTTGAACCTTCCGTTTCATAGAGCAGGTTGGAAACACTCTTATTGTAGTATCTGGAAGTGAACATTTGGAGCGCTTTCAGGCCTATGGTGAAAAAGGAAATATCTTCCCATAAAAACGATATAGAAGCTATCTCAGGAACTTGTTTATGATGCATCTAATCAACTAACAGTGTTGAACCTTTGTACTGACAGAGCAGTTTGAAACACTCTTTTTTTGGAATCTGCAAGTGGATATTTGGATCACTTTGAGGATTTCGTTGGAAACGGGATGCAATATAAAACGTACACAGCAGCATACTCAGAAAATACTTTGCCATATTTCCATTCAAGTCACAGAGTGGAACATTCCCATTCATAGAGCAGGTTGGAAACACTCTTTTTGGAGTATCTGGAAGTGGACATTTGGAGCGCTTTCTGAACTATGGTGAAAAAGGAAATATCTTCCAATGAAAACAAGACAGAAGCATTCTGAGAAACTTATTTGTGATGTGTGTCCTCAACAAACGGACTTGAACCTTTCGTTTCATGCAGTACTTCTGGAACACTCTTTTTGAAGATTCTGCATGCGGATATTTGGATAGCTTTGAGGATTTCGTTGGAAACGGGCTTACATGTAAAAATTAGACAGCAGCATTCTCAGAAACTTCTTTGTGGTGTCTGCATTCAAGTCACAGAATTGAACTTCCCCTCACATAGAGCAGTTGTGCAGCACTCTATTTGTAGTATCTGGAAGTGGACATTTGGAGGGCTTTGTAGCCTATCTGGAAAAAGGAAATATCTTCCCATGAATGCGAGATAGAAGTAATCTCAGAAACATGTTTATGCTGTATCTACTCAACTAACTGTGCTGAACATTTCTATTGATAGAGCAGTTTTGAGACACTCTTCTTTTGGAATCTGCAAGTGGATATTTGGATAGATTTGAGGATTTCGTTGGAAACGGGATTATATATAAAAAGTAGACAGCAGCATTCTCAGAAACTTCTTTGTGATGTTTGCATCCAGCTCTCAGAGTTGAACATTCCCTTTCATAGAGTAGGTTTGAAACCCTCTTTTTATAGTGTCTGGAAGCGGGCATTTGGAGCGCTTTCAGGCCTATGCTTAAAATAGGAAATATCTACCTACAGAAACTAGACAGAAGCATTCTGAGAATCACGTTTGTGATGTGGGTACTCAACTAACAGTGTTGATCCATTCTTTTGATACAGCAGTTTTGAACCACACTTTCTGTAGAATCTGCAAGAGGATATTTGGATAGCTGTGAGGATTTCGTTGGAAACGGGAATGTCTTCAAAGAAAATCTAGACAGAAGCATTCTCAGAAACACCTTCGTGATGTTTGCAATCAAGTCACAGAGTTGAACCTTCCGTTTCATAGAGCAGGTTGGAAACACTCTTATTGTAGTATCTGGAAGTGGACATTTGGAGCGCTTTCAGGCCTATGGTGAAAAAGGAAATATCTTCCCATAAAAACGACATAGAAGCTATCTCAGGAACTTGTTTATGATGCATCTAATCAACTAACAGTGTTGAACCTTTGTACTGACAGAGCAGTTTGAAACACTCTTTTTTTGGAATCTGCAAGTGGATATTTGGATCGCTTTGAGGATTTCGTTGGAAACGGGATGCAATATAAAACGTACACAGCAGCATACTCAGAAAATACTTTGCCATATTTCCATTCAAGTCACAGAGTGGAACATTCCCATTCATAGAGCAGGTTTGAAACACTCTTTTTGGAGTATCTGGAAGTGGACATTTGGAGCGCTTTCTGAACTATGGTGAAAAAGGAAATATCTTCCAATGAAAACAACACAGAAGCATTCTGAGAAACTTATTTGTGATGTGTGTCCTCAACAAACGGACTTGAACCTTTCGTTTCATGCAGTACTTCTGGAACACTCTTTTTGAAGATTCTGCATGCGGATATTTGGATAGCTTTGAGGATTTCGTTGGAAACGGGCTTACATGTAAAAATTAGACAGCAGCATTCTCAGAAACTTCTTTGTGGTGTCTGCATTCAAGTCACAGAATTGAACTTCCCCTCACATAGAGCAGTTGTGCAGCACTCTATTTGTAGTATCTCGAAGTGGACATTTGGAGGGCTTTGTAGCCTATCTGGAAAAAGGAAATATCTTCCCATGAATGCGAGATAGAAGTAATCTCAGAAACATGTTTATGCTGTATCTACTCAACTAACTGTGCTGAACATTTCTATTGATAGAGCAGTTTTCAGACACTCTTCTTTTGGAATCTGCAAGTGGATATTTGGATAGATTTGAGGATTTCGTTGGAAACGGGATTATATATAAAAAGTAGACAGCAGCATTCTCAGAAACTTCTTTGTGATGTTTGCATCCAGCTCTCAGTAGTTGAACATTCCCTTTCATAGAGTAGGTTTGAAACCCTCTTTTTATAGTGTCTGGAAGCGGGCATTTGGAGCGCTTTCAGGCCTATGCTGAAAAAGGAGATATCTACCTATAGAAACTAGACAGAAGCATTCCGAGAATCACGTTTGTGATGTGGGTACTCAACTAACAGTGTTGATCCATTCTTTTGATACAGCAGTTTTGAACCACACTTTTTGTAGAATCTGCAAGTGGATATTTGGATAGCTGTGAGGATTTCGTTGGAAACGGGAATGTCTTCATAGAAAATTTAGAGAGAAGCATTCTCAGAACCTTGATTGTGATGTGTGTTCTCCACTAACAGAGTTGAACCTTTCTTTTGACAGAACTGTTCTGAAACATTCTTTTTATAGAATCTGGAAGTGGATATTTGGAAAGCTTTGAGGATTTCGTTGGAAACGGGAATATCTTCAAATAAAATCTAGCCAGAAGCATTCTAAGAAACATCTTAGGGATGTTTACATTCAAGTCACAGAGTTGAACATTCCCTTTCACAGAGCAGGTTTGAAACAATCTTCTCGTACTATCTGGCAGTGGACATTTTGAGCTCCTTGGGGCCTATGCTGAAAAAGGAAATATCTTCCGACAAAAACTAGACAGAAGCATTCGCAGAATCACGTTTGTGATGTGTGCACTCAACTGTCAGAATTGAACCTTGGTTTGGACAGAGCACTTTTGAAACACTCTTTTTGTAGAATCTGCAGGTGGATATTTGGCTAGCTTTGAGGATTTCGTTGGAAACGGTAATGTCTTCAAAGAAAATCTAGACAGAAGCATTCTCAGAAACACCTTCGTGATGTTTGCAATCAAGTCACAGAGTTGAACCTTCCGTTTCATAGAGCAGGTTGGAAACACTCTTTTTGTAGTATCTGGAAGTGGACATTTGGAGGGCTTTGTAGCCTATGTGGAAAAAGGAAATATCTTCCCATGAATGCGAGATAGAAGTAATCTCAGAAACATGTTTATGCTGTATCTACTCAACTAACTGTGCTGAACATTTCTATTGATAGAGCAGTTTTGAGACACTCTTCTTTTGGAATCTGCAAGTGGATATTTGGATAGATTTGAGGATTTCGTTGGAAACGGGATTATATATAAAAAGTAGACAGCAGCATTCTCAGAAACTTCTTTGTGATGTTTGCATCCAGCTCTCAGAGTTGAACATTCCCTTTCATAGAGTAGGTTTGAAACCCTCTTTTTATAGTGTCTGGAAGCGGGCATTTGGAGCGCTTTCAGGCCTATGCTTAAAATAGGAAATATCTACCTACAGAAACTAGACAGAAGCATTCTGAGAATCACGTTTGTGATGTGGGTACTCAACTAACAGTGTTGATCCATTCTTTTGATACAGCAGTTTTGAACCACACTTTTTGTAGAATCTGCAAGAGGATATTTGGATAGCTGTGAGGATTTCGTTGGAAACGGGAATGTCTTCAAAGAAAATCTAGACAGAAGCATTCTCAGAAACACCTTCGTGATGTTTGCAATCAAGTCACAGAGTTGAACCTTCCGTTTCATAGAGCAGGTTGGAAACACTCTTATTGTAGTATCTGGAAGTGGACATTTGGAGCGCTTTCAGGCCTATGGTGAAAAAGGAAATATCTTCCCATAAAAACGACATAGAAGCTATCTCAGGAACTTGTTTATGATGCATCTAATCAACTAACAGTGTTGAACCTTTGTACTGACAGAGCAGTTTGAAACACTTTTTTTTTGGAATCTGCAAGTGGATATTTGGATCACTTTGAGGATTTCGTTGGAAACGGGAGGCAATATAAAACGTACACAGCAGCATACTCAGAAAATACTTTGCCATGTTTCCATTCAAGTCACAGAGTGGAACATTCCCATTCATAGAGCAGGTTGGAAACACTCTTTTTGGAGTATCTGGAAGTGGACATTTGGAGCGCTTTTTGAACTATGGTGAAAAAGGAAATATCTTCCAATGAAAACAAGACAGAAGCATTCTGAGAAACTTATTTGTGATGTGTGTCCTCAACAAACGGACTTGAACCTTTCGTTTCATGCAGTACTTCTGGAACACTCTTTTTGAAGATTCTGCATGCGGATATTTGGATAGCTTTGAGGATTTCGTTGGAAACGGGCTTACATGTAAAAATTAGACAGCAGCATTCTCAGAAACTTCTTTGTGGTGTCTGCATTCAAGTCACAGAATTGAACATCCCCTCACATAGAGCAGTTGTGCAGCACTCTATTTCTAGTATCTGGAAGTGGACATTTGGAGGGCTTTGTAGCCTATGTGGAAAAAGGAAATATCTTCCCATGAATGCGAGATAGAAGTAATCTCAGAAACATGTTTATGCTGTATCTACTCAACTAACTGTGCTGAACATTTCTATTGATAGAGCAGTTTTGAGACACTCTTCTTTTGGAATCTGCAAGTGGATATTTGGATAGATTTGAGGATTTCGTTGGAAACGGGATTATATATAAAAAGTAGACAGCAGCATTCTCAGAAACTTCTTTGTGATGTTTGCATCCAGCTCTCAGAGTTGAACATTCCCTTTCATAGAGTAGGTTTGAAACCCTCTTTTTATAGTGTCTGGAAGCGGGCATTTGGAGCGCTTTCAGGCCTATGCTGAAAAAGGAAATATCTACCTATAGAAACTAGACAGAAGCATTCTGAGAATCACGTTTGTGATGTGGGTACTCAACTAACAGTGTTGATCCATTCTTTTGATACAGCAGTTTTGAACCACACTTTTTGTAGAATCTGCAAGTGGATATTTGGATAGCTGTGAGGATTTCGTTGGAAACGGGAATGTCTTCATAGAAAATTTAGACAGAAGCATTCTCAGAACCTTGATTGTGATGTGTGTTCTCCACTAACAGAGTTGAACCTTTCTTTTGACAGAACTGTTCTGAAACATTCTTTTTATAGAATCTGGAAGTGGATATTTGGAAAGCTTTGAGGATTTCGTTGGAAACGGGAATATCTTCAAATAAAATCTAGCCAGAAGCATTCTAAGAAACATCTTAGGGATGTTTACATTCAAGTCACAGAGTTGAACATTCCCTTTCACAGAGCAGGTTTGAAACAATCTTCTCGTACTATCTGGCAGTGGACATTTTGAGCTCCTTGGGGCCTATGCTGAAAAAGGAAATATCTTCCGACAAAAACTAGACAGAAGCATTCGCAGAATCACGTTTGTGATGTGTGCACTCAACTGTCAGAATTGAACCTTGGTTTGGACAGAGCACTTTTGAAACACTCTTTTTGTAGAATCTGCAGGTGGATATTTGGCTAGCTTTGAGGATTTCGTTGGAAACGGTAATGTCTTCAAAGAAAATCTAGACAGAAGCATTCTCAGAAACACCTTCGTGATGTTTGCAATCAAGTCACAGAGTTGAACCTTCCGTTTCATAGAGCAGGTTGGAAACACTCTTTGTAGTATCTGGAAGTGGACATTTGGAGGGCTTTGTAGCCTATCTGGAAAAAGGAAATATCTTCCCATGAATGCGAGATAGAAGTAATCTCAGAAACATGTTTATGCTGTATCTACTCAACTAACTGTGCTGAACATTTCTATTGATAGAGCAGTTTTGAGACACTCTTCTTTTGGAATCTGCAAGTGGATATTTGGATAGATTTGAGGATTTCGTTGGAAACGGGATTATATATCAAAAGTAGACAGCAGCATTCTCAGAAACTTCTTTGTGATGTTTGCATCCAGCTCTCAGAGTTGAACATTCCCTTTCATAGAGTAGGTTTGAAACCCTCTTTTTATAGTGTCTGGAAGCGGGCATTTGGAGCGCTTTCAGGCCTATGCTGAAAAAGGAAATATCTACCTATAGAAACTAGACAGAAGCATTCTGAGAATCACGTTTGTGATGTGGGTACTCAACTAACAGTGTTGATCCATTCTTTTGATACAGCAGTTTTGAACCACACTTTTTGTAGAATCTGCAAGTGGATATTTGGATAGCTGTGAGGATTTCGTTGGAAACGGGAATGTCTTCATAGAAAATTTAGACAGAAGCATTCTCAGAACCTTGATTGTGATGTGTGTTCTCCACTAACAGAGTTGAACCTTTCTTTTGACAGAACTGTTCTGAAACATTCTTTTTATAGAATCTGGAAGTGGATATTTGGAAAGCTTTGAGGATTTCGTTGGAAACGGGAATATCTTCAAATCAAATCTAGCCAGAAGCATTCTAAGAAACATCTTAGGGATGTTTACATTCAAGTCACAGAGTTGAACATTCCCTTTCACAGAGCAGGTTTGAAACAATCTTCTCGTACTATCTGGAAGTGGACATTTTGAGCTCCTTGGGGCCTATGCTGAAAAAGGAAATATCTTCCGACAAAAACTAGACAGAAGCATTCGCAGAATCACGTTTGTGATGTGTGCACTCAACTGTCAGAATTGAACCTTGGTTTGGACAGAGCACTTTTGAAACACTCTTTTTGTAGAATCTGCAGGTGGATATTTGGCTAGCTTTGAGGATTTCGTTGGAAACGGTAATGTCTTCAAAGAAAATCTACACAGAAGCATTCTCAGAAACACCTTCGTGATGTTTGCAATCAAGTCACAGAGTTGAACCTTCCGTTTCATAGAGCAGGTTGGAAACACTCTTTTTGTAGTATCTGGAAGTGGACATTTGGAGGGCTTTGTAGCCTATCTGGAAAAAGGAAATATCTTCCCATGAATGCGAGATAGAAGTAATCTCAGAAACATGTTTATGCTGTATCTACTCAACTAACTGTGCTGAACATTTCTATTGATAGAGCAGTTTTGAGACACTCTTCTTTTGGAATCTGCAAGTGGATATTTGGATAGATTTGAGGATTTCGTTGGAAACGGGATTATATATAAAAAGTAGACAGCAGCATTCTCAGAAACTTCTTTGTGATGTTTGCATCCAGCTCTCAGAGTTGAACATTCCCTTTCATAGAGTAGGTTTGAAACCCTCTTTTTATAGTGTCTGGAAGCGGGCATTTGGAGCGCTTTCAGGCCTATGCTGAAAAAGGAAATATCTACCTATAGAAACTAGACAGAAGCATTCTGAGAATCACGTTTGTGATGTGGGTACTCAACTAACAGTGTTGATCCATTCTTTTGATACAGCAGTTTTGAACCACACTTTTTGTAGAATCTGCAAGTGGATATTTGGATAGCTGTGAGGATTTCGTTGGAAACGGGAATGTCTTCATAGAAAATTTAGACAGAAGCATTCTCAGAACCTTGATTGTGATGTGTGTTCTCCACTAACAGAGTTGAACCTTTCTTTTGACAGAACTGTTCTGAAACATTCTTTTTATAGAATCTGGAAGTGGATATTTGGAAAGCTTTGAGGATTTCGTTGGAAACGGGAATATCTTCAAATCAAATCTAGCCAGAAGCATTCTAAGAAACATCTTAGGGATGTTTACATTCAAGTCACAGAGTTGAACATTCCCTTTCACAGAGCAGGTTTGAAACAATCTTCTCGTACTATCTGGCAGTGGACATTTTGAGCTCCTTGGGGCCTATGCTGAAAAAGGAAATATCTTCCGACAAAAACTAGACAGAAGCATTCGCAGAATCACGTTTGTGATGTGTGCACTCAACTGTCAGAATTGAACCTTGGTTTGGACAGAGCACTTTTGAAACACTCTTTTTGTAGAATCTGCAGGTGGATATTTGGCTAGCTTTGAGGATTTCGTTGGAAACGGTAATGTCTTCAAAGAAAATCTAGACAGAAGCATTCTCAGAAACACCTTCGTGATGTTTGCAATCAAGTCACAGAGTTGAACCTTCCGTTTCATAGAGCAGGTTGGAAACACTCTTTTTGTAGTATCTGGAAGTGGACATTTGGAGGGCTTTGTAGCCTATCTGGAAAAAGGAAATATCTTCCCATGAATGCGAGATAGAAGTAATCTCAGAAACATGTTTATGCTGTATCTACTCAACTAACTGTGCTGAACATTTCTATTGATAGAGCAGTTTTGAGACACTCTTCTTTTGGAATCTGCAAGTGGATATTTGGATAGATTTGAGGATTTCGTTGGAAACGGGATTATATATAAAAAGTAGACAGCAGCATTCTCAGAAACTTCTTTGTGATGTTTGCATCCAGCTCTCAGAGTTGAACATTCCCTTTCATAGAGTAGGTTTGAAACCCTCTTTTTATAGTGTCTGGAAGCGGGCATTTGGAGCGCTTTCAGGCCTATGCTGAAAAAGGAAATATCTACCTATAGAAACTAGACAGAAGCATTCTGAGAATCAAGTTTGTGATGTGGGTACTCAACTAACAGTGTTGATCCATTCTTTTGATACAGCAGTTTTGAACCACACTTTTTGTAGAATCTGCAAGTGGATATTTGGATAGCTGTGAGGATTTCGTTGGAAACGGGAATGTCTTCATAGAAAATTTAGACAGAAGCATTCTCAGAACCTTGATTGTGATGTGTGTTCTCCACTAACAGAGTTGAACCTTTCTTTTGACAGAACTGTTCTGAAACATTCTTTTTATAGAATCTGGAAGTGGATATTTGGAAAGCTTTGAGGATTTCGTTGGAAACGGGAATATCTTCAAATAAAATCTAGCCAGAAGCATTCTAAGAAACATCTTAGGGATGTTTACATTCAAGTCACAGAGTTGAACATTCCCTTTCACAGAGCAGGTTTGAAACAATCTTCTCGTACTATCTGGCAGTGGACATTTTGAGCTCTTTGGGGCCTATGCTGAAAAAGGAAATATCTTCCGACAAAAACTAGTCAGAAGCATTCGCAGAATCACGTTTGTGATGTGTGCACTCAACTGTCAGAAGTGAACCTTGGTTTGGAGAGAGCACTTTTGAAACACACTTTTTGTAGAATCTGCAGGTGGATATTTGGCTAGCTTTGAGGATTTCGTTGGAAACGGTAATGTCTTCAAAGAAAATCTAGACAGAAGCATTCTCAGAAACACCTTCGTGATGTTTGCAATCAAGTCACAGAGTTGAACCTTCCGTTTCATAGAGCAGGTTGGAAACACACTTTTTGTAGTATCTGGAAGTGGACATTTGGAGGGCTTTGTAGCCTATCTGGAAAAAGGAAATATCTTCCCATGAATGCGAGATAGATGTAATCTCAGAAACATGTTTATGCTGTATCTACTCAACTAACTGTGCTGAACATTTCTATTGATAGAGCAGTTTTGAGACACTCTTCTTTTGGAATCTGCAAGTGGATATTTGGATAGATTTGAGGATTTCGTTGGAAACGGGATTATATATAAAAAGTAGACAGCAGCATTCTCAGAAACTTCTTTGTGATGTTTGCATCCAGCTCTCAGAGTTGAACATTCCCTTTCATAGAGTAGGTTTGAAACCCTCTTTTTATAGTGTCTGGAAGCGGGCATTTGGAGCGCTTTCAGGCCTATGCTGAAAAAGGAAATATCTACCTATAGAAACTAGACAGAAGCATTCTGAGAATCACGTTTCTGATGTGGGTACTCAACTAACAGTGTTGATCCATTCTTTTGATACAGCAGTTTTGAACCACACTTTTTGTAGAATCTGCAAGTGGATATTTGGATAGCTGTGAGGATTTCGTTGGAAACGGGAATGTCTTCATAGAAAATTTAGACAGAAGCATTCTCAGAACCTTGATTGTGATGTGTGTTCTCCACTAACAGAGTTGAACCTTTCTTTTGACAGAACTGTTCTGAAACATTCTTTTTATAGAATCTGGAAGTGGATATTTGGAAAGCTTTGAGGATTTCGTTGGAAACGGGAATATCTTCAAATCAAATCTAGCCAGAAGCATTCTAAGAAACATCTTAGGGATGTTTACATTCAAGTCACAGAGTTGAACATTCCCTTTCACAGAGCAGGTTTGAAACAATCTTCTCGTACTATCTGGAAGTGGACATTTTGAGCTCCTTGGGGCCTATGCTGAAAAAGGAAATATCTTCCGACAAAAACTAGACAGAAGCATTCGCAGAATCACGTTTGTGATGTGTGCACTCAACTGTCAGAATTGAACCTTGGTTTGGACAGAGCACTTTTGAAACACTCTTTTTGTAGAATCTGCAGGTGGATATTTGGCTAGCTTTGAGGATTTCGTTGGAAACGGTAATGTCTTCAAAGAAAATCTAGACAGAAGCATTCTCAGAAACACCTTCGTGATGTTTGCAATCAAGTCACAGAGTTGAACCTTCCGTTTCATAGAGCAGGTTGGAAACACTCTTTTTGTAGTATCTGGAAGTGGACATTTGGAGGGCTTTGTAGCCTATGTGGAAAAAGGAAATATCTTCCCATGAATGCGAGATAGAAGTAATCTCAGAAACATGTTTATGCTGTATCTACTCAACTAACTGTGCTGAACATTTCTATTGATAGAGCAGTTTTGAGACACTCTTCTTTTGGAATCTGCAAGTGGATATTTGGATAGATTTGAGGATTTCGTTGGAAACGGGATTATATATCAAAAGTAGACAGCAGCATTCTCAGAAACTTCTTTGTGATGTTTGCATCCAGCTCTCAGAGTTGAACATTCCCTTTCATAGAGTAGGTTTGAAACCCTCTTTTTATAGTGTCTGGAAGCGGGCATTTGGAGCGCTTTCAGGCCTATGCTTAAAATAGGAAATATCTACCTACAGAAACTAGACAGAAGCATTCTGAGAATCACGTTTGTGATGTGGGTACTCAACTAACAGTGTTGATCCATTCTTTTGATACAGCAGTTTTGAACCACACTTTTTGTAGAATCTGCAAGAGGATATTTGGATAGCTGTGAGGATTTCGTTGGAAACGGGAATGTCTTCAAAGAAAATCTAGACAGAAGCATTCTCAGAAACACCTTCGTGATGTTTGCAATCAAGTCACAGAGTTGAACCTTCCGTTTCATAGAGCAGGTTGGAAACACTCTTATTGTAGTATCTGGAAGTGGACATTTGGAGCGCTTTCAGGCCTATGGTGAAAAAGGAAATATCTTCCCATAAAAACGACATAGAAGCTATCTCAGGAACTTGTTTATGATGCATCTAATCAACTAACAGTGTTGAACCTTTGTACTGACAGAGCACTTTGAAACACTCTTTTTTTGGAATCTGCAAGTGGATATTTGGATCGCTTTGAGGATTTCGTTGGAAACGGGATGCAATATAAAACGTACACAGCAGCATACTCAGAAAATACTTTGCCATATTTCCATTCAAGTCACAGAGTGGAACATTCCCATTCATAGAGCAGGTTTGAAACACTCTTTTTGGAGTATCTGGAAGTGGACATTTGGAGCGCTTTCTGAACTATGGTGAAAAAGGAAATATCTTCCAATGAAAACAAGACAGAAGCATTCTGAGAAACTTATTTGTGATGTGTGTCCTCAACAAACGGACTTGAACCTTTCGTTTCATGCAGTACTTCTGGAACACTCTTTTTGAAGATTCTGCATGCGGATATTTGGATAGCTTTGAGGATTTCGTTGGAAACGGGCTTACATGTAAAAATTAGACAGCAGCATTCTCAGAAACTTCTTTGTGGTGTCTGCATTCAAGTCACAGAATTGAACTTCCCCTCACATAGAGCAGTTGTGCAGCACTATATTTGTAGTATCTGGAAGTGGACATTTGGAGGGCTTTGTAGCCTATCTGGAAAAAGGAAATATCTTCCCATGAATGCGAGATAGAAGTAATCTCAGAAACATGTTTATGCTGTATCTACTCAACTAACTGTGCTGAACATTTCTATTGATAGAGCAGTTTTGAGACACTCTTCTTTTGGAATCTGCAAGTGGATATTTGGATAGATTTGAGGATTTCGTTGGAAACGGGATTATATATAAAAAGTAGACAGCAGCATTCTCAGAAACTTCTTTGTGATGTTTGCATCCAGCTCTCAGAGTTGAACATTCCCTTTCATAGAGTAGGTTTGAAACCCTCTTTTTATAGTGTCTGGAAGCGGGCATTTGGAGCGCTTTCAGGCCTATGCTGAAAAAGGAAATATCTACCTATAGAAACTAGACAGAAGCATTCTGAGAATCACGTTTGTGATGTGGGTACTCAACTAACAGTGTTGATCCATTCTTTTGATACAGCAGTTTTGAACCACACTTTTTGTAGAATCTGCAAGTGGATATTTGGATAGCTGTGAGGATTTCGTTGGAAACGGGAATGTCTTCATAGAAAATTTAGACAGAAGCATTCTCAGAACCTTGATTGTGATGTGTGTTCTCCACTAACAGAGTTGAACCTTTCTTTTGACAGAACTGTTCTGAAACATTCTTTTTATAGAATCTGGAAGTGGATATTTGGAAAGCTTTGAGGATTTCGTTGGAAACGGGAATATCTTCAAATAAAATCTAGCCAGAAGCATTCTAAGAAACATCTTAGGGATGTTTACATTCAAGTCACAGAGTTGAACATTCCCTTTCACAGAGCAGGTTTGAAACAATCTTCTCGTACTATCTGGCAGTGGACATTTTGAGCTCTTTGGGGCCTATGCTGAAAAAGGAAATATCTTCCGACAAAAACTAGTCAGAAGCATTCGCAGAATCACGTTTGTGATGTGTGCACTCAACTGTCAGAATTGAACCTTGGTTTGGAGAGAGCACTTTTGAAACACACTTTTTGTAGAATCTGCAGGTGGATATTTGGCTAGCTTTGAGGATTTCGTTGGAAACGGTAATGTCTTCAAAGAAAATCTAGACAGAAGCATTCTCAGAAACACCTTCGTGATGTTTGCAATCAAGTCACAGAGTTGAACCTTCCGTTTCATAGAGCAGGTTGGAAACACACTTTTTGTAGTATCTGGAAGTGGACATTTGGAGGGCTTTGTAGCCTATCTGGAAAAAGGAAATATCTTCCCATGAATGCGAGATAGATGTAATCTCAGAAACATGTTTATGCTGTATCTACTCAACTAACTGTGCTGAACATTTCTATTGATAGAGCAGTTTTGAGACACTCTTCTTTTGGAATCTGCAAGTGGATATTTGGATAGATTTGAGGATTTCGTTGGAAACGGGATTATATATAAAAAGTAGACAGCAGCATTCTCAGAAACTTCTTTGTGATGTTTGCATCCAGCTCTCAGAGTTGAACATTCCCTTTCATAGAGTAGGTTTGAAACCCTCTTTTTATAGTGTCTGGAAGCGGGCATTTGGAGCGCTTTCAGGCCTATGCTGAAAAAGGAAATATCTACCTATAGAAACTAGACAGAAGCATTCTGAGAATCACGTTTGTGATGTGGGTACTCAACTAACAGTGTTGATCCATTCTTTTGATACAGCAGTTTTGAACCACACTTTTTGTAGAATCTGCAAGTGGATATTTGGATAGCTGTGAGGATTTCGTTGGAAACGGGAATGTCTTCATAGAAAATTTAGACAGAAGCATTCTCAGAACCTTGATTGTGATGTGTGTTCTCCACTAACAGAGTTGAACCTTTCTTTTGACAGAACTGTTCTGAAACATTCTTTTTATAGAATCTGGAAGTGGATATTTGGAAAGCTTTGAGGATTTCGTTGGAAACGGGAATATCTTCAAATCAAATCTAGCCAGAAGCATTCTAAGAAACATCTTAGGGATGTTTACATTCAAGTCACAGAGTTGAACATTCCCTTTCACAGAGCAGGTTTGAAACAATCTTCTCGTACTATCTGGCAGTGGACATTTTGAGCTCCTTGGGGCCTATGCTGAAAAAGGAAATATCTTCCGACAAAAACTAGACAGAAGCATTCGCAGAATCACGTTTGTGATGTGTGCACTCAACTGTCAGAATTGAACCTTGGTTTGGACAGAGCACTTTTGAAACACTCTTTTTGTAGAATCTGCAGGTGGATATTTGGCTAGCTTTGAGGATTTCGTTGGAAACGGTAATGTCTTCAAAGAAAATCTAGACAGAAGCATTCTCAGAAACACCTTCGTGATGTTTGCAATCAAGTCACAGAGTTGAACCTTCCGTTTCATAGAGCAGGTTGGAAACACTCTTTTTGTAGTATCTGGAAGTGGACATTTGGAGGGCTTTGTAGCCTATCTGGAAAAAGGAAATATCTTCCCATGAATGCGAGATAGAAGTAATCTCAGAAACATGTTTATGCTGTATCTACTCAACTAACTGTGCTGAACATTTCTATTGATAGAGCAGTTTTGAGACACTCTTCTTTTGGAATCTGCAAGTGGATATTTGGATAGATTTGAGGATTTCGTTGGAAACGGGATATATATAAAAAGTAGACAGCAGCATTCTCAGAAACTTCTTTGTGATGTTTGCATCCAGCTCTCAGAAGTTGAACATTCCCTTTCATAGAGTAGGTTTGAAACCCTCTTTTTATAGTGTCTGCAAGCGGGCATTTGGAGCGCTTTCAGGCCTATGCTTAAAATAGGAAATATCTACCTACAGAAACTAGACAGAAGCATTCTGAGAATCACGTTTGTGATGTGGGTACTCAACTAACAGTGTTGATCCATTCTTTTGATACAGCAGTTTTGAACCACACTTTTTGTAGAATCTGCAAGAGGATATTTGGATAGCTGTGAGGATTTCGTTGGAAACGGGAATGTCTTCAAAGAAAATCTAGACAGAAGCATTCTCAGAAACACCTTCGTGATGTTTGCAATCAAGTCACAGAGTTGAACCTTCCGTTTCATACAGCAGGTTGGAAACACTCTTATTGTAGTATCTGGAAGGGGACATTTGGAGCGCTTTCAGGCCTATGGTGAAAAAGGAAATATCTTCCCATAAAAACGACATAGAAGCTGTCTCAGGAACTTGTTTATGATGCATCTAATCAACTAACAGTGTTGAACCTTTGTACTGACAGAGCAGTTTGAAACACTCTTTTTTTGGAATCTGCAAGTGGATATTTGGATCGCTTTGAGGATTTCGTTGGAAACGGGATGCAATATAAAACGTACACAGCAGCATACTCAGAAAATACTTTGCCATATTTCCATTCAAGTCACAGACTGGAACATTCCCATTCATAGAGCAGGTTGGAAACACTCTTTTTGGAGTATCTGGAAGTGGACATTTGGAGCGCTTTCTGAACTATGGTGAAAAAGGAAATATCTTCCAATGAAAACAAGAATGAAGCATTCTGAGAAACTTATTTGTGATGTGTGTCCTCAACAAACGGACTTGAACCTTTCGTTTCATGCAGTACTTCTGGAACACTCTTTTTGAAGATTCTGCATGCGGATATTTGGATAGCTTTGAGGATTTCGTTGGAAACGGGCTTACATGTAAAAATTAGACAGCAGCATTCTCAGAAACTTCTTTGTGGTGTCTGCATTCAAGTCACAGAATTGAACTTCCCCTCACATAGAGCAGTTGTGCAGCACTCTATTTGTAGTATCTGGAAGTGGACATTTGGAGGGCTTTGTAGCCTATCTGGAAAAAGGAAATATCTTCCCATGAATGCGAGATAGAAGTAATCTCAGAAACATGTTTATGCTGTATCTACTCAACTAACTGTGCTGAACATTTCTATTGATAGAGCAGTTTTGAGACACTCTTCTTTTGGAATCTGCAAGTGGATATTTGGATAGATTTGAGGATTTCGTTGGAAACGGGATTATATATAAAAAGTAGACAGCAGCATTCTCAGAAACTTCTTTGTGATGTTTGCATCCAGCTCTCAGAGTTGAACATTCCCTTTCATAGAGTAGGTTTGAAACCCTCTTTTTATAGTGTCTGGAAGCGGGCATTTGGAGCGCTTTCAGGCCTATGCTGAAAAAGGAGACATCTACCTATAGAAACTAGACAGAAGCATTCTGAGAATCACGTTTGTGATGTGGGTACTCAACTAACAGTGTTGATCCATTCTTTTGATACAGCAGTTTTGAACCACACTTTTTGTAGAATCTGCAAGTGGATATTTGGATAGCTGTGAGGATTTCCTTGGAAACGGGAATGCCTTCATAGAAAATTTAGACAGAAGCATTCTCAGAACCTTGATTGTGATGTGTGTTCTCCACTAACAGAGTTGAACCTTTCTTTTGACAGAACTGTTCTGAAACATTCTTTTTATAGAATCTGGAAGTGGATATTTGGAAAGCCTTGAGGATTTCGTTGGAAACGGGAATATCTTCAAATCAAATCTAGCCAGAAGCATTCTAAGAAACATCTTAGGGGTGTTTACATTCAAGTCACAGAGTTGAACATTCCCTTTCACAGAGCAGGTTTGAAACAATCTTCTCGTACTATCTGGAAGTGGACATTTTGAGCTCCTTGGGGCCTATGCTGAAAAAGGAAATATCTTCCGACAAAAACTAGACAGAAGCATTCGCAGAATCACGTTTGTGATGTGTGCACTCAACTGTCAGAATTGAACCTTTGTTTGGACAGAGCACTTTTGAAACACTCTTTTTGTAGAATCTGCAGGTGGATATTTGGCTAGCTTTGAGGATTTCGTTGGAAACGGTAATGTCTTCAAAGAAAATCTAGACAGAAACATCCTCAGAAACACCTTCGTGATGTTTGCAATCAAGTCACAGAGTTGAACCTTCCGTTTCATAGAGTAGGTTGGAAACACTCATTTTGTAGTATCTGGAAGTGGACATTTGGAGCGCTTTCAGGCCTATGGTGTAAAAGGAAATATCTTCCCATAAAAGCGACATAGAAGCTATCTCAGGAACTTGTTTATGATGCCTCTAATCAACTAACAGTGTTGAACCTTTGTACTGACAGAGCAGTTTGAAACACTCTTTTTTTGGAATCTGCAAGTGGATATTTGGATCGCTTTGAGGATTTCGTTGGAAACGGGATGCAATATAAAACGTACACAGCAGCATACTCAGAAAATACTTTGCCATATTTCCATTCAAGTCACAGAGTGGAACATTCCCATTCATAGAGCAGGTTTGAAACACTCTTTTTGGAGTATCTGGAAGTGGACATTTGGAGCGCTTTCTGAACTATGGTGAAAAAGGAAATATCTTCCAATGAAAACAAGACAGAAGCATTCTGAGAAACTTATTTGTGATGCGTGTCCTCAACTAACGGACTCGAACCTTTCGTTTCATGCAGTACTTCTGGAACACTCTTTTTGAAGATTCTGCATGCGGATATTTGGATAGGTGTGAGGATTTCGTTGGAAACGGGCTTACATATAAAAATTAGACAGCAGCATTCTCAGAAACTTCTTTGTGGTGTCTGCATTCAAGTCACAGAATTGAACATCCCCTCACATAGAGCAGTTGTGCAGCACTCTATTTGTAGTATCTCGAAGTGGACATTTGGAGGGCTTTGTAGCCTATCTGGAAAAAGGAAATATCTTCCCATGAATGCGAGATAGAAGTAATCTCAGAAACATGTTTATGCTGTATCTACTCAACTAACTGTGCTGAACATTTCTATTGATAGAGCAGTTTTGAGACACTCTTCTTTTGGAATCTGCAAGTGGATATTTGGATAGATTTGAGGATTTCGTTGGAAACGGGATTATATATCAAAAGTAGACAGCAGCATTCTCAGAAACTTCTTTGTGATGTTTGCATCCAGCTCTCAGAGTTGAACATTCCCTTTCATAGAGTAGGTTTGAAACCCTCTTTTTATAGTGTCTGGAAGCGGGCATTTGGAGCGCTTTCAGGCCTATGCTGAAAAAGGAAATATCTACCTATAGAAACTAGACAGAAGCATTCTGAGAATCACGTTTGTGATGTGGGTACTCAACTAACAGTGTTGATCCATTCTTTTGATACAGCAGTTTTGAACCACACTTTTTGTAGAATCTGCAAGTGGATATTTGGATAGCTGTGAGGATTTCGTTGGAAACGGGAATGTCTTCATAGAAAATTTAGACAGAAGCATTCTCAGAACCTTGATTGTGATGTGTGTTCTCCACTAACAGAGTTGAACCTTTCTTTTGACAGAACTGTTCTGAAACATTCTTTTTATAGAATCTGGAAGTGGATATTTGGAAAGCTTTGAGGATTTCGTTGGAAACGGGAATATCTTCAAATAAAATCTAGCCAGAAGCATTCTAAGAAACATCTTAGGGATGTTTACATTCAAGTCACAGAGTTGAACATTCCCTTTCACAGAGCAGGTTTGAAACAATCTTCTCGTACTATCTGGCAGTGGACATTTTGAGCTCCTTTGGGCCTATGATGAAAAAGGAAATATCTTCCGACAAAAACTAGACAGAAGCATTCGCAGAATCACGTTTGTGATGTGTGCACTCAACTGTCAGAATTGAACCTTGGTTTGGACAGAGCACTTTTGAAACACTCTTTTTGTAGAATCTGCAGGTGGATATTTGGCTAGCTTTGAGGATTTCGTTGGAAACGGTAATGTCTTCAAAGAAAATCTAGACAGAAGCATTCTCAGAAACACCTTCGTGATGTTTGCAATCAAGTCACAGAGTTGAACCTTCCGTTTCATAGAGCAGGTTGGAAACACTCTTTTTGTAGTATCTGGAAGTGGACATTTGGAGGGCTTTGTAGCCTATCTGGAAAAAGGAAATATCTTCCCATGAATGCGAGATAGAAGTAATCTCAGAAACATGTTTATGCTGTATCTACTCAACTAACTGTGCTGAACATTTCTATTGATAGAGCAGTTTTGAGACACTCTTCTTTTGGAATCTGCAAGTGGATATTTGGATAGATTTGAGGATTTCGTTGGAAACGGGATTATATATCAAAAGTAGACAGCAGCATTCTCAGAAACTTCTTTGTGATGTTTGCATCCAGCTCTCAGAGTTGAACATTCCCTTTCATAGAGTAGGTTTGAAACCCTCTTTTTATAGTGTCTGGAAGCGGGCATTTGGAGCGCTTTCAGGCCTATGCTGAAAAAGGAAATATCTACCTATAGAAACTAGACAGAAGCATTCTGAGAATCACGTTTGTGATGTGGGTACTCAACTAACAGTGTTGATCCATTCTTTTGATACAGCAGTTTTGAACCACACTTTTTGTAGAATCTGGAAGTGGATATTTGGAAAGCTTTGAGGATTTCGTTGGAAACGGGAATATCTTCAAATAAAATCTAGCCAGAAGCATTCTAAGAAACATCTTAGGGATGTTTACATTCAAGTCACAGAGTTGAACATTCCCTTTCACAGAGCAGGTTTGAAACAATCTTCTCGTACTATCTGGCAGTGGACATTTTGAGCTCCTTGGGGCCTATGCTGAAAAAGGAAATATCTTCCGACAAAAACTAGACAGAAGCATTCGCAGAATCACGTTTGTGATGTGTGCACTCAACTGTCAGAATTGAACCTTGGTTTGGACAGAGCACTTTTGAAACACTCTTTTTGTAGAATCTGCAGGTGGATATTTGGCTAGCTTTGAGGATTTCGTTGGAAACGGTAATGTCTTCAAAGAAAATCTAGACAGAAGCATTCTCAGAAACACCTTCGTGATGTTTGCAATCAAGTCACAGAGTTGAACCTTCCGTTTCATAGAGCAGGTTGGAAACACTCTTTTTGTAGTATCTGGAAGTGGACATTTGGAGGGCTTTGTAGCCTATCTGGAAAAAGGAAATATCTTCCCATGAATGCGAGATAGAAGTAATCTCAGAAACATGTTTATGCTGTATCTACTCAACTAACTGTGCTGAACATTTCTATTGATAGAGCAGTTTTGAGACACTCTTCTTTTGGAATCTGCAAGTGGATATTTGGATAGATTTGAGGATTTCGTTGGAAACGGGATTATATATAAAAAGTAGACAGCAGCATTCTCAGAAACTTCTTTGTGATGTTTGCATCCAGCTCTCAGAGTTGAACATTCCCTTTCATAGAGTAGGTTTGAAACCCTCTTTTTATAGTGTCTGGAAGCGGGCATTTGGAGCGCTTTCAGGCCTATGCTGAAAAAGGAAATATCTACCTATGGAAACTAGACAGAAGCATTCTGAGAATCACGTTTGTGATGTGGGTACTCAACTAACAGTGTTGATCCATTCTTTTGATACAGCAGTTTTGAACCACACTTTTTGTAGAATCTGCAAGTGGATATTTGGATAGCTGTGAGGATTTCGTTGGAAACGGGAATGTCTTCATAGAAAATTTAGACAGAAGCATTCTCAGAACCTTGATTGTGATGTGTGTTCTCCACTAACAGAGTTGAACCTTTCTTTTGACAGAACTGTTCTGAAACATTCTTGTTATAGAATCTGGAAGTGGATATTTGGAAAGCTTTGAGGATTTCGTTGGAAACGGGAATATCTTCAAATCAAATCTAGCCAGAAGCATTCTAAGAAACATCTTAGGGATGTTTACATTCAAGTCACAGAGTTGAACATTCCCTTTCACAGAGCAGGTTTGAAACAATCTTCTCGTACTATCTGGCAGTGGACATTTTGAGCTCCTTGGGGCCTATGCTGAAAAAGGAAATATCTTCCGACAAAAACTAGACAGAAGCATTCGCAGAATCGCGTTTGTGATGTGTGCACTCAACTGTCAGAATTGAACCTTGGTTTGGACAGAGCACTTTTGAAACACTCTTTTTGTAGAATCTGCAGGTGGATATTTGGCTAGCTTTGAGGATTTCGTTGGAAACGGTAATGTCTTCAAAGAAAATCTAGACAGAAGCATTCTCAGAAACACCTTCGTGATGTTTGCAATCAAGTCACAGAGTTGAACCTTCCGTTTCATAGAGCAGGTTGGAAACACTCTTTTTGTAGTATCTGGAAGTGGACATTTGGAGGGCTTTGTAGCCTATGTGGAAAAAGGAAATATCTTCCCATGAATGCGAGATAGAAGTAATCTCAGAAACATGTTTATGCTGTATCTACTCAACTAACTGTGCTGAACATTTCTATTGATAGAGCAGTTTTGAGACACTCTTCTTTTGGAATCTGCAAGTGGATATTTGGATAGATTTGAGGATTTCGTTGGAAACGGGATTATATATCAAAAGTAGACAGCAGCATTCTCAGAAACTTCTTTGTGATGTTTGCATCCAGCTCTCAGAGTTGAACATTCCCTTTCATAGAGTAGGTTTGAAACCCTCTTTTTATAGTGTCTGGAAGCGGGCATTTGGAGCGCTTTCAGGCCTATGCTGAAAAAGGAAATATCTACCTATAGAAACTAGACAGAAGCATTCTGAGAATCACGTTTGTGATGTGGGTACTCAACTAACAGTGTTGATCCATTCTTTTGATACAGCAGTTTTGAACCACACTTTTTGTAGAATCTGCAAGTGGATATTTGGATAGCTGTGAGGATTTCGTTGGAAACGGGAATGTCTTCATAGAAAATTTAGACAGAAGCATTCTCAGAACCTTGATTGTGATGTGTGTTCTCCACTAACAGAGTTGAACCTTTCTTTTGACAGAACTGTTCTGAAACATTCTTTTTATAGAATCTGGAAGTGGATATTTGGAAAGCTTTGAGGATTTCGTTGGAAACGGGAATATCTTCAAATCAAATCTAGCCAGAAGCATTCTAAGAAACATCTTAGGGATGTTTACATTCAAGTCACAGAGTTGAACATTCCCTTTCACAGAGCAGGTTTGAAACAATCTTCTCGTACTATCTGGCAGTGGACATTTTGAGCTCCTTGGGGCCTATGCTGAAAAAGGAAATATCTTCCGACAAAAACTAGACAGAAGCATTCGCAGAATCACGTTTGTGATGTGTGCACTCAACTGTCAGAATTGAACCTTGGTTTGGACAGAGCACTTTTGAAACACTCTTTTTGTAGAATCTGCAGGTGGATATTTGGCTAGCTTTGAGGATTTCGTTGGAAACGGTAATGTCTTCAAAGAAAATCTAGACAGAAGCATTCTCAGAAACACCTTCGTGATGTTTGCAATCAAGTCACAGAGTTGAACCTTCCGTTTCATAGAGCAGGTTGGAAACACTCTTTTTGTAGTATCTGGAAGTGGACATTTGGAGGGCTTTGTAGCCTATCTGGAAAAAGGAAATATCTTCCCATGAATGCGAGATAGAAGTAATCTCAGAAACATGTTTATGCTGTATCTACTCAACTAACTGTGCTGAACATTTCTATTGATAGAGCAGTTTTGAGACACTCTTCTTTTGGAATCTGCAAGTGGATATTTGGATAGATTTGAGGATTTCGTTGGAAACGGGATTATATATAAAAAGTAGACAGCAGCATTCTCAGAAACTTCTTTGTGATGTTTGCATCCAGCTCTCAGAGTTGAACATTCCCTTTCATAGAGTAGGTTTGAAACCCTCTTTTTATAGTGTCTGGAAGCGGGCATTTGGAGTGCTTTCAGGCCTATGCTTAAAATAGGAAATATCTACCTACAGAAACTAGACAGAAGCATTCTGAGAATCACGTTTGTGATGTGGGTACTCAACTAACAGTGTTGATCCATTCTTTTGATACAGCAGTTTTGAACCACACTTTTTGTAGAATCTGCAAGAGGATATTTGGATAGCTGTGAGGATTTCGTTGGAAACGGGAATGTCTTCAAAGAAAATCTAGACAGAAGCATTCTCAGAAACACCTTCGTGATGTTTGCAATCAAGTCACAGAGTTGAACCTTCCGTTTCATAGAGCAGGTTGGAAACACTCTTATTGTAGTATCTGGAAGTGGACATTTGGAGCGCTTTCAGGCCTATGGTGAAAAAGGAAATATCTTCCCATAAAAACGACATAGAAGCTATCTCAGGAACTTGTTTATGATGCATCTAATCAACTAACAGTGTTGAACCTTTGTACTGACAGAGCAGTTTGAAACACTCTTTTTTTGGAATCTGCAAGTGGATATTTGGATCGCTTTGAGGATTTCGTTGGAAACGGGATGCAATATAAAACGTACACAGCAGCATACTCAGAAAATACTTTGCCATATTTCCATTCAAGTCACAGAGTGGAACATTCCCATTCATAGAGCAGGTTGGAAACACTCTTTTTGGAGTATCTGGAAGTGGACATTTGGAGCGCTTTCTGAACTATGGTGAAAAAGGAAATATCTTCCAATGAAAACAAGACAGAAGCATTCTGAGAAACTTATTTGTGATGTGTGTCCTCAACAAACGGACTTGAACCTTTCGTTTCATGCAGTACTTCTGGAACACTCTTTTTGAAGATTCTGCATGCGGATATTTGGATAGCTTTGAGGATTTCGTTGGAAACGGGCTTACATGTAAAAATTAGACAGCAGCATTCTCAGAAACTTCTTTGTGGTGTCTGCATTCAAGTCACAGAATTGAACATCCCCTCACATAGAGCAGTTGTGCAGCACTCTATTTGTAGTATCTGGAAGTGGACATTTGGAGGGCTTTGTAGCCTATCTGGAAAAAGGAAATATCTTCCCATGAATGCGAGATAGAAGTAATCTCAGAAACATGTTTATGCTGTATCTACTCAACTAACTGTGCTGAACATTTCTATTGATAGAGCAGTTTTGAGACACTCTTCTTTTGGAATCTGCAAGTGGATATTTGGATAGATTTGAGGATTTCGTTGGAAACGGGATTATATATAAAAAGTAGACAGCAGCATTCTCAGAAACTTCTTTGTGATGTTTGCATCCAGCTCTCAGAGTTGAACATTCCCTTTCATAGAGTAGGTTTGAAACCCTCTTTTTATAGTGTCTGGAAGCGGGCATTTGGAGCGCTTTCAGGCCTATGCTGAAAAAGGAAATATCTACCTATAGAAACTAGACAGAAGCATTCTGAGAATCACGTTTGTGATGTGGGTACTCAACTAACAGTGTTGATCCATTCTTTTGATACAGCAGTTTTGAACCACACTTTTTGTAGAATCTGCAAGTGGATATTTGGATAGCTGTGAGGATTTCGTTGGAAACGGGAATGTCTTCATAGAAAATGTAGACAGAAGCATTCTCAGAACCTTGATTGTGATGTGTGTTCTCCACTAACAGAGTTGAACCTTTCTTTTGACAGAACTGTTCTGAAACATTCTTTTTATAGAATCTGGAAGTGGATATTTGGAAAGCTTTGAGGATTTCGTTGGAAACGGGAATATCTTCAAATAAAATCTAGCCAGAAGCATTCTAAGAAACATCTTAGGGATGTTTACATTCAAGTCACAGAGTTGAACATTCCCTTTCACAGAGCAGGTTTGAAACAATCTTCTCGTACTATCTGGCAGTGGACATTTTGAGCTCCTTGGGGCCTATGCTGAAAAAGGAAATATCTTCCGACAAAAACTAGACAGAAGCATTCGCAGAATCACGTTTGTGATGTGTGCACTCAACTGTCAGAATTGAACCTTGGTTTGGACAGAGCACTTTTGAAACACTCTTTTTGTAGAATCTGCAGGTGGATATTTGGCTAGCTTTGAGGATTTCGTTGGAAACGGTAATGTCTTCAAAGAAAATCTAGACAGAAGCATTCTCAGAAACACCTTCGTGATGTTTGCAATCAAGTCACAGAGTTGAACCTTCCGTTTCATAGAGCAGGTTGGAAACACTCTTTTTGTAGTATCTGGAAGTGGACATTTGGAGGGCTTTGTAGCCTATCTGGAAAAAGGAAATATCTTCCCATGAATGCGAGATAGAAGTAATCTCAGAAACATGTTTATGCTGTATCTACTCAACTAACTGTGCTGAACATTTCTATTGATAGAGCAGTTTTGAGACACTCTTCTTTTGGAATCTGCAAGTGGATATTTGGAGAGATTTGAGGATTTCGTTGGAAACGGGATTATATATAAAAAGTAGACAGCAGCATTCTCAGAAACTTCTTTGTGATGTTTGCATCCAGCTCTCAGAGTTGAACATTCCCTTTCATAGAGTAGGTTTGAAACCCTCTTTTTATAGTGTCTGCAAGCGGGCATTTGGAGCGCATTCAGGCCTGTGCTTAAAATAGGAAATATCTACCTACAGAAACTAGACAGAAGCATTCTGAGAATCACGTTTGTGATGTGGGTACTCAACTAACAGTGTTGATCCATTCTTTTGATACAGCAGTTTTGAACCACACTTTTTGTAGAATCTGCAAGAGGATATTTGGATAGCTGTGAGGATTTCGTTGGAAACGGGAATGTCTTCAAAGAAAATCTAGACAGAAACATTCTCAGAAACACCTTCGTGATGTTTGCAATCAAGTCACAGAGTTGAACCTTCCGTTTCATAGAGCAGGTTGGAAACACTCTTATTGTAGTATCTGGAAGTGGACATTTGGAGCGCTTTCAGGCCTATGGTGAAAAAGGAAATATCTTCCCATAAAAGCGACATAGAAGCTATCTCAGGAACTTGTTTATGAGGCATCTAATCAACTAACAGTGTTGAACCTTTGTACTGACAGAGCAGTTTGAAACACTCTTTTTTTGGAATCTGCAAGTGGATATTTGGATCGCTTTGAGGATTTCGTTGGAAACGGGATGCAATATAAAACGTACACAGCAGCATACTCAGAAAATTCTTTGCCATATTTCCATTCAAGTCACAGAGTGGAACATTCCCATTCATAGAGCAGGTTGGAAACACTCTTTTTGGAGTATCTGGAAGTGGACATTTGGAGCGCTTTCTGAACTATGGTGAAAAAGGAAATATCTTCCAATGAAAACAAGACAGAAGCATTCTGAGAAACTTATTTGTGATGTGTGTCCTCAACAAACGGACTTGAACCTTTCGTTTCATGCAGTACTTCTGGAACACTCTTTTTGAAGATTCTGCATGCGGATATTTGGATAGCTTTGAGGATTTCGTTGGAAACGGGCTTACATGTAAAAATTAGACAGCAGCATTCTCAGAAACTTCTTTGTGGTGTCTGCATTCAAGTCACAGAATTGAACATCCCCTCACATAGAGCAGTTGTGCAGCACTCTATTTGTAGTATCTGGAAGTGGACATTTGGAGGGCTTTGTAGCCTATGTGGAAAAAGGAAATATCTTCCCATGAATGCGAGATAGAAGTAATCTCAGAAACATGTTTATGCTGTATCTACTCAACTAACTGTGCTGAACATTTCTATTGATAGAGCAGTTTTGAGACACTCTTCTTTTGGAATCTGCAAGTGGATATTTGGATAGATTTGAGGATTTCGTTGGAAACGGGATTATATATAAAAAGTAGACAGCAGCATTCTCAGAAACTTCTTTGTGATGTTTGCATCCAGCTCTCAGAGTTGAACATTCCCTTTCATAGAGTAGGTTTGAAACCCTCTTTTTATAGTGTCTGGAAGCGGGCATTTGGAGCGCTTTCAGGCCTATGCTGAAAAAGGAAATATCTACCTATAGAAACTAGACAGAAGCATTCTGAGAATCACGTTTGTGATGTGGGTACTCAACTAACAGTGTTGATCCATTCTTTTGATACAGCAGTTTTGAACCACACTTTTTGTAGAATCTGCAAGAGGATATTTGGATAGCTGTGAGGATTTCGTTGGAAACGGGAATGTCTTCATAGAAAATTTAGACAGAAGCATTCTCAGAACCTTGAATAGTGATGTGTGTTCTCCACTAACAGAGTTGAACCTTTCTTTTGACAGAACTGTTCTGAAACATTCTTTTTATAGAATCTGGAAGTGGATATTTGGAAAGCTTTGAGGATTTCGTTGGAAACGGGAATATCTTCAAATAAAATCTAGCCAGAAGCATTCTAAGAAACATCTTAGGGATGTTTACATTCAAGTCACAGAGTTGAACATTCCCTTTCACAGAGCAGGTTTGAAACAATCTTCTCGTACTATCTGGCAGTGGACATTTTGAGCTCCTTGGGGCCTATGCTGAAAAAGGAAATATCTTCCGACAAAAACTAGACAGAAGCATTCGCAGAATCACGTTTGTGATGTGTGCACTCAACTGTCAGAATTGAACCTTGGTTTGGACAGAGCACTTTTGAAACACTCTTTTTGTAGAATCTGCAGGTGGATATTTGGCTAGCTTTGAGGATTTCGTTGGAAACGGTAATGTCTTCAAAGAAAATCTAGACAGAAGCATTCTCAGAAACACCTTCGTGATGTTTGCAATCAAGTCACAGAGTTGAACCTTCCGTTTCATAGAGCAGGTTGGAAACACTCTTTTTGTAGTATCTGGAAGTGGACATTTGGAGGGCTTTGTAGCCTATGTGGAAAAAGGAAATATCTTCCCATGAATGCGAGATAGAAGTAATCTCAGAAACATGTTTATGCTGTATCTACTCAACTAACTGTGCTGAACATTTCTATTGATAGAGCAGTTTTGAGACACTCTTCTTTTGGAATCTGCAAGTGGATATTTGGATAGATTTGAGGATTTCGTTGGAAACGGGATTATATATCAAAAGTAGACAGCAGCATTCTCAGAAACTTCTTTGTGATGTTTGCATCCAGCTCTCAGAGTTGAACATTCCCTTTCATAGAGTAGGTTTGAAACCCTCTTTTTATAGTGTCTGGAAGCGGGCATTTGGAGCGCTTTCAGGCCTATGCTGAAAAAGGAAATATCTACCTATGGAAACTAGACAGAAGCATTCTGAGAATCACCGTTTGTGATGTGGGTACTCAACTAACAGTGTTGATCCATTCTTTTGATACAGCAGTTTTGAACCACACTTTTTGTAGAATCTGCAAGTGGATATTTGGATAGCTGTGAGGATTTCGTTGGAAACGGGAATGTCTTCATAGAAAATTTAGACAGAAGCATTCTCAGAACCTTGATTGTGATGTGTGTTCTCCACTAACAGAGTTGAACCTTTCTTTTGACAGAACTGTTCTGAAACATTCTTTTTATAGAATCTGGAAGTGGATATTTGGAAAGCTTTGAGGATTTCGTTGGAAACGGGAATATCTTCAAATCAAATCTAGCCAGAAGCATTCTAAGAAACATCTTAGGGATGTTTACATTCAAGTCACAGAGTTGAACATTCCCTTTCACAGAGCAGGTTTGAAACAATCTTCTCGTACTATCTGGAAGTGGACAGTTTGAGCTCCTTGGGGCCTATGCTGAAAAAGGAAATAAATTCTGACAAAAACTAGACAGAAGCATTCGCAGAATCACGTTTGTGATGTGTGCACTCAACTGTCAGAATTGAACCTTGGTTTGGACAGAGCACTTTTGAAACACTCTTTTTGTAGAATCTTCAGGTGGATATTTGGCTAGCTTTGAGGATTTCGTTGTAAACGGTAATGTCTTCAAAGAAAATCTAGACAGAAACATTCTCAGAAACACCTTCGTGATGTTTGCAATCAAGTCACAGAGCTGAACCTTCCGTTTCATAGAGCAGGTTGGAAACACTCTTTTTGTAGTATCTGGAAGTGGACATTTGGAGCGCTTTCACGCCTATGGTGAAAAAGGAAATATCTTCCCATAAAAACGACATAGAAGCTATCTCAGGAACTTGTTTATGATGCATCCAATCAACTAACAGTGTTGAACCTTTGTACTGACAGAGCAGTGTGAAACACTCTTTTTTTTGGAATCTGCAAGTGGATATTTGGATCGCTTTGAGGATTTCGTTGGAAACGGGATGCAATATAAAACGTACACAGCAGCATACTCAGAAAATACTTTGCCATATTTCCATTCAAGTCACAGAGTGGAACATTCCCATTCATAGAGCAGGTTTGACACACTCTTTTTGTAGTATCTGGAAGTGGATATTTGGAGCGCTTTCTGAACTATGGTGAAAAAGGAAATATCTTCCAATGAAAACAAGACAGAAGCATTCTGAGAAACTTATTTGTGATGTGTGTCCTCAACTAACGGACTTGAACCTTTCGTTTCATGCAGTACTTCTGGAACACTCTTTTTGAAGATTCTGCATGCGGATATTTGGATAGCTTTGAGGATTTCGTTGGAAACGGGCTTACATATAAAAACTAGACAGCAGCATTCTCAGAAACTTCTCTGTGGTGTCTGCATCCAAGTCACAGAATTGAACATCCCCTCACATAGAGCAGTTGTGCAGCACTCTATTTGTAGTATCTCGAAGTGGACATTTGGAGGGCTTTGTAGCCTATCTGGAAAAAGGAAATATCTTCCCATGAATGCGAGATAGAAGTAATCTCAGAAACATGTTTATGCTGTATCTACTGAACTAACTGTGCTGAACATTTCTATTGATAGAGCAGTTTTGAGACACTCTTCTTTTGGAATCTGCAAGTGGATATTTGGATAGATTTGAGGATTTCGTTGGCAACGGGATTATATATAAAAAGTAGACAGCCGCATTCTCAGAAACTTCTTTGTGATGTTTGCATCCAGCTCTCAGAGTTGAACATTCCCTTTCGTAGAGTAGGTTTGAAACCCTCTTTTTATAGTGTCTGGAAGCGGGCATTTGGAGCGCTTTCAGGCCTATGCTGAAAAAGGAAATATCTACCTATAGAAACTAGACAGAAGCATTCTGAGAATCACGTTTGTGATGTGGGTACTCAAGTAACAGTGTTGATCCATTCTTTTGATACAGCAGTTTTGAACCACACTTTTTGTAGAATCTGCAAGTGGATATTTGGATAGCTGTGAGGATTTCCTTGGAAACGGGAATGTCTTCATAGAAAATTTAGACAGAAACATTCTCAGAACCTTGATTGTGATGTGTGTTCTCCACTAACAGGGTTGAACCTTTCTTTTGACAGAACTGTTCTGAAACATTCTTTGTATAGAATCTGGAAGTGGATATTTGGAAAGCTTTGAGGATTTCGTTTGAAACGGGAATATCTTCAAATCAAATCTAGCCAGAAGCATTCTAAGAAACATCTTAGGGATGTTTACATTCAAGTCACAGAGTTGAACATTCCCTTTCACAGAGCAGGTTTGAAACAATCTTCTCGTAGTATCTGGAAGTGGACATTTTGAGCTCCTTGGGGCCTATGCTGAAAAAGGAAATATCTTCCGACAAAAACTAGACAGAAGCATTCGCAGAATCACGTTTGTGTTGTGTGCACTCAACTGTCGGAATTGAACCTTTGTTTGGACAGAGCACTTCTGAAACACTCTTTTTGTAGAATCTGCAGGTGGATATTTGGCTAGCTTTGAGGATTTCGTTGGAAACGGTAATGTCTTCAAAGAAAATCTAGACAGAAACATTCTCAGAAACACCTTCGTGATGTTTGCAATCAAGTCACAGAGTTGAACCTTCCGTTTCATAGAGCAGGTTGGAAACACTCTTTTTGTAGTATCTGGAAGTGGACATTTGGAGCGCTTTCAGGCCTATGGTGAAAAAGGAAATATCTTCCCATAAAAACGACATAGAAGCTATCTCAGGAACTTGTTTATGATGCATCCAATCAACTAACAGTTTTGAACCTTTGTACTGACAGAGCAGTGTGAAACACTCTTTTTTTTGGAATCTGCAAGTGGATATTTGGATCGCTTTGAGGATTTCGTTGGAAACGGGATGCAATATAGAAGTACACAGCAGCATACTCAGAAAATACTTTGCCATATTTCCATTCAAGTCACAGAGTGGAACATTCCCATTCATAGAGCAGGTTTGACACACTCTTTTTGTAGTATCTGGAAGTGGACATTTGGAGCGCTTTCTGAACTATGGTGAAAAAGGAAATATCTTCCAATGAAAACAAGACAGAAGCATTCTGAGAAACTTATTTGTGATGTGTGTCCTCAACTAACGGACTTGAACCTTTCGTTTCATGCAGTACTTCTGGAACACTCTTTTTGAAGATTCTGCATGCGGATATTTGGATAGCTTTGAGGATTTCGTTGGAAAAGGGCTTACATATAAAAATTAGACAGCAGCATTCTCAGAAACTTCTCTGTGGTGTCTGCATCCAAGTCACAGAATTGAACATCCCCTCACATAGAGCAGTTGTGCAGCACTCTATTTGTAGTATCTCGAAGTGGACATTTGGAGGGCTTTGTAGCCTATCTGGAAAAAGGAAATATCTTCCCAAGAATGCGAGATAGAAGTAATCTCAGAAACATGTTTATGCTGTATCTACTCAACTAACTGTGCTGAACATTTCTATTGATAGAGCAGTTTTGAGACACTCTTCTTTTGGAATCTGCAAGTGGATATTTGGAAAGATTTGAGGGTTTCTTTGACAACGGGATTATATATAAAAAGTAGACAGCCGCATTCTCAGAAACTTCTTTGTGATGTTTGCATCCAGCTCTCAGAGTTGAACATTCCTTTTCGTAGAGTAGGTTTGAAACCCTCTTTTTATAGTGTCTGGAAGCGGGCATTTGGAGCGCTTTCAGGCCTATGCTGAAAAAGGAAATATCTACCTATAGAAACTAGACAGAAGCATTCTGAGAATCACGTTTGTGATGTGGGTACTCAACTAACAGTGTTGATCCATTCTTTTGATACAGCAGATTTGAACCACACTTTTTGTAGAATCTGCAAGTGGATATTTGGATAGCTGTGAGGATTTCCTTGGAAACGGGAATGCCTTCATAGAAAATTTAGACAGAAGCATTCTCAGAACCTTGATTGTGATGTGTGTTCTCCACTAACAGAGTTGAACCTTTCTTTTGACAGAACTGTTCTGAAACATTCTTTTTATAGAATCTGGAAGTGGATATTTGGAAAGCCTTGAGGATTTCGTTGGAAACGGGAATATCTTCAAATCAAATCTAGCCAGAAGCATTCTAAGAAACATCTTAGGGATGTTTACATTCAAGTCACAGAGTTCAACATTCCCTTTCACAGGGCAGGTTTGAAACAATCTTCTCGTACTATCTGGAAGTGGACATTTTGAGCTCTTTGGGGCCTATGCTGAAAAAGGAAATATCTTCCGACAAAAACTAGACAGAAGCATTCGCAGAATCACGTTTGTGATGTGTGCACTCAACTGTCAGAATTGAACCTTTGTTTGGACAGAGCACTTTTGAAACACTCTTTTTGTAGAATCTGCAGGTGGATATTTGGCTAGCTTTGAGGATTTCGTTGGAAACGGTAATGTCTTCAAAGAAAATCTAGACAGAAACATCCTCAGAAACACCTTCGTGATGTTTGCAATCAAGTCACAGAGTTGAACCTTCCGTTTCATAGAGCAGGTTGGAAACACTCATTTTGTAGTATCTGGAAGTGGACATTTGGAGCGCTTTCAGGCCTATGGTGTAAAAGGAAATATCTTCCCATAAAAGCGACATAGAAGCTATCTCAGGAACTTGTTTATGATGCATCTAATCAACTAACAGTGTTGAACCTTTGTACTGACAGAGCAGTTTGAAACACTCTTTTTTTGGAATCTGCAAGTGGATATTTGGATCGCTTTGAGGATTTCGTTAGAAACGGGATGCAATATAAAACGTACTCAGCAGCATACTCAGAAAATACTTTGCCATATTTCCATTCAAGTCACAGAGTGGAACATTCCCATTCATAGAGCAGGTTTGAAACACTCTTTTTGGAGTATCTGGAAGTGGACATTTGGAGCGCTTTCTGAACTATGGTGAAAAAGGAAATATGTTCCAATGAAAACAAGACAGAAGCATTCTGAGAAACTTATTTGTGATGCGTGTCCTCAACTAACGGACTCGAAGCTTTGGTTTCATGCAGTACTTCTGGAACACTCTTTTTGAAGATTCTGCATGCGGATATTTGGATAGCTTTGAGGATTTCGTTGGAAACGGGCTTACATATAAAAATTAGACAGCAGCATTCTCAGAAACTTCTTTGTGGTGTCTGCATTCAAGTCACAGAATTGAACATCCCCTCACATAGAGCAGTTGTGCAGCACTCTATTTGTAGTATCTCGAAGTGGACATTTGGAGGGCTTTGTAGCCTATCTGGAAAAAGGAAATATCTTCCCATGAATGCGAGATAGAAGTAATCTCAGAAACATGTTTATGCTGTATCTACTCAACTAACTGTGCTGAACATTTCTATTGATAGAGCAGTTTTGAGACACTCTTCTTTTGGAATCTGCAAGTGGATATTTGGATAGATTTGAGGATTTCGTTGGAAACGGGATTATATATAAAAAGTAGACAGCAGCATTCTCAGAAACTTCTTTGTGATGTTTGCATCCAGCTCTCAGAGTTGAACATTCCCTTTCACAGAGTAGGTTTGAAACCCCCTTTTTATAGTGTCTGGAAGCGGGCATTTGGAATGCTTTCAGGGATATGCTGAAAAAGGAAATATCTACCTACAGAAACTAGACAGAAGCATTCTGAGAATCACGTTTGTGATGTGGGTACTCAACTAACAGTGTTGATCCATTCTTTTGATACAGCAGTTTTGAACCACCCTTTTTGAAGAATCTGCAAGTGGATATTTGGATAGCTGTGAGGATTTCGTTGGAAACGGGAATGTCTTCATAGAAAATTTAGACAGAAGCATTCTCAGAACCTGGATTGTGATGTGTGTTCTCCACTAACAGAGTTGAACCTTTCTTTGGACAGAACTGTTTTGAAACATTCTTTTTATAGAATCTGGAAGTGGATATTTGGAAAGCTTTTAGGATTTCGTTGGAAACGGGAATATCTTCAAATAAAATCTAGCCAGAAGCATTCTAAGAAACATCTTAGGGATGTGTACATTCAAGTCACAGAGTTGAACATTCCCCTTTCTCAGAGCAGGTTTGAAACAATCTTCTCGTACTATCTGGAAGTGGACATTTTGAGCTCCTTGGGGCCTATGCTGAAAAAGGAAATATCTTCCGACAAAAACTAGACAGAAGCATTCGCAGAATCACGTTTGTGATGTGTGCACTCAACTGTCAGAATTGAACCTTTGTTTGGACAGAGCACTTTTGAAACACTCTTTTTGTAGAATCTGCAGGTGGATATTTGGCTAGCTTTGAGGATTTCGTTGGAAACGGTAATGTCTTCAAAGAAAATCTAGACAGAAACATTCTCAGAAACACCTTCGTGATGTTTGCAATCAAGTCACAGAGTTGAACCTTCCGTTTCTAGAGCAGGTTGGAAACACTCTTTTTGTAGTATCTGGAAGTGGACATTTGGAGCGCTTTCAGGCCTATGGTGAAGAAGGAAATATCTTCCCATAAAAACGACATAGAAGCTATCTCAGGAACTTGTTTATGATGCATCCAATCAACTAACAGTGTTGAACCTTTGTACTGACAGAGCAGTGTGAAACACTCTTTTTTTTGGAATCTGCAAGTGGATATTTGGATCGCTTTGAGGATTTCGTTGGAAACGGGATGCAATATAAAACGTACACAGCAGCATACTCAGAAAATACTTTGCCATATTTCCATTCAAGTCACAGAGTGGAACATTCCCATTCATAAAGCAGGTTGGAAACACTCCTTTTGTAGTATCTGGAAGTGGACATTTGGAGCGCTTTCTGAACTATGGTGAAAAAGGAAATATCTTCCAATGAAAACAAGACAGAAGCATTCTGAGAAACTTATTTGTGATGTGTGTCCTCAACTAACGGACTTGAAACTTTCGTTTCATGCAGTACTTCTGGAACACTCTTTTTGAAGATTCTGCATGCGGATATTTGGATAGCTTTGAGGATTTCGTTGGAAACGGGCTTACATATAAAAATTAGACAGCAGCATTCTCAGAAACTTCTTTGTGGTGTCTGCATTCAAGTCACAGAATTGAACATCCCCTCACATAGAGCAGCTGTGCAGCACTCTATTTGTAGTATCTCGAAGTGGACATTTGGAGGGCTTTGTAGCCTATCTGGAAAAAGGAAATATCTTCCCATGAATGCGAGATAGAAGTAATCTCAGAAACATGTTTATGCTGTATCTACTCAACTAACTGTGCTGAACATTTCTATTGATAGAGCAGTTTTGAGACACTCTTCTTTTGGAATCTGCAAGTGGATATTTGGATAGATTTGAGGATTTCGTTGGAAACGGGATTATATATAAAAAGTAGACAGCAGCATTCTCAGAAACTTCTTTGTGATGTTTGCATCCAGCTCTCAGAGTTGAACATTCCCTTTCGTAGAGTAGGTTTGAAACCCTCTTTTTATAGTGTCTGGAAGCGGGCATTTGGAGCGCTTTCAGGCCTATGCTGAAAAAGGAAATATCTACCTATAGAAAGTAGACAGAAGCATTCTGAGAATCACGTTTGTGATGTGGGTACTCAACTAACAGTGTTGATCCATTCTTTTGATACAGCAGTTTTGAACCACACTTTTTGTAGAATCTGCAAGTGGATATTTGGATAGCTGTGAGGATTTCCTTTGAAACGGGAATGTCTTCATAGAAAATTTAGACAGAAGCATTCTCAGAACCTTGATTGTGATGTGTGTTCTCCACTAACAGGGTTGAACCTTTCTTTTGACAGAACTGTTTTGAAACATTCTTTTTATAGAATCTGGAAGTGGATATTTGGAAAGCTTTGAGGATTTCATTGGAAACGGGAATATCTTCAAATCAAATCTAGCCAGAAGCATTCTAAGAAACATCTTAGGGATGTTTACATTCAAGTCACAGAGTTGAACATTCCCTTTCACAGAGCAGGGTTGAAACAATCTTCTCGTACTATCTGGAAGTGGACATTTTGAGCTCCTTGGGGCCTATGCTGAGAAAGGAAATATCTTCCGACAAAAACTAGACAGAAGCATTCGCAGAATCACGTTTGTGATGTGTGCACTCAACTGTCAGAATTGAACCTTTGTTTGGACAGAGCACTTTTGAAACACTCTTTTTGTAGAATCTGCAGGTGGATATTTGGCTAGCTTTGAGGATTTCGTTGGAAACGGTAATGTCTTCAAAGAAAATCTAGACAGAAACATTCTCAGAAACACCTTCGTGATGTTTGCAATCAAGTCACAGAGTTGAACCTTCCGTTTCATAGAGCAGGTTGGAAACACTCTTTTTGTAGTATCTGGAAGTGGACATTTGGAGCGCTTTCAGGCCTATGGTGAAAAAGGAAATATCTTCCCATAAAAACGACATAGAAGCTATCTCAGGAACTTGTTTATGATGCATCCAATCAACTAACAGTGTTGAACCTTTGTACTGACAGAGCAGTGTGAAACACTCTTTTTTTTGGAATCTGCAAGTGGATATTTGGATCGCTTTGAGGATTTCGTTGGAAACGGGATGCAATATAAAACGTACACAGCAGCATACTCAGAAAATACTTTGCCATATTTCCATTCAAGTCACAGAGTGGAACATTCCCATTCATAAAGCAGGTTGGAAACACTCCTTTTGTAGTATCTGGAAGTGGACATTTGGAGCGCTTTCTGAACTATGGTGAAAAAGGAAATATCTTCCAATGAAAACAAGACAGAAGCATTCTGAGAAACTTATTTGTGATGTGTGTCCTCAACTAACGGACTTGAACCTTTCGTTTCATGCAGTACTTCTGGAACACTCTTTTTGAAGATTCTGCATGCGGATATTTGGATAGCTTTGAGGATTTCGTTGGAAACGGGCTTACATATAAAAATTAGACAGCAGCATTCTCAGAAACTTCTTTGTGGTGTCTGCATTCAAGTCACAGAATTGAACATCCCCTCACATAGAGCAGTTGTGCAGCACTCTATTTGTAGTATCTCGAAGTGGACATTTGGAGGGCTTTGTAGCCTATCTGGAAAAAGGAAATATCTTCCCATGAATGCGAGATAGAAGTAATCTCAGAAACATGTTTATGCTGTATCTACTCAACTAACTGTGCTGAACATTTCTATTGATAGAGCAGTTTTGAGACACTCTCCTTTTGGAATCTGCAAGTGGATATTTGGATAGATTTGAGGATTTCCTTGGAAACGGGATTATATATCAAAAGTAGACAGCAGCATTCTCAGAAACTTCTTTGTGATGTTTGCATCCAGCTCTCAGAGTTGAACATTCCCTTTCGTAGAGTAGGTTTGAAACCCTCTTTTTATAGTGTCTGGAAGCGGGCATTTGGAGCGCTTTCAGGCCTATGCTGAAAAAGGAAATATCTACCTATAGAAACTAGACAGAAGCATTCTGAGAATCACGTTGGTGATGTGGGTACTCAACTAACAGTGTTGATCCATTCTTTTGATACAGCAGTTTTGAACCACACTTTTTGTAGAATCTGCAAGTGGATATTTGGATAGCTGTGAGGATTTCCTTGGAAACGGGAATGTCTTCATAGAAAATTTAGACAGAAGCATTCTCAGAACCTTGATTGTGATGTGTGTTCTCCACTAACAGGGTTGAACCTTTCTTTTGACAGAACTGTTCTGAAACATTCTTTTTATAGAATCTGGAAGTGGATATTTGGAAAGCTTTGAGGATTTCGTTTGAAACGGGAATATCTTCAAATCAAATCTAGCCAGAAGCATTCTAAGAAACATCTTAGGGATGTTTACATTCAAGTCACAGAGTTGAACATTCCCTTTCACAGAGCAGGTTTGAAACAATCTTCTCGTACTCTCTGGAAGTGGACATTTTGTGCTCCTTGGGGCCTATGCTGAAAAAGGAAATATCTTCCGACAAAAACTAGACAGAAGCATTCGCAGAATCACGTTTGTGATGTGTGCACTCAACTGTCAGAATTGAACCTTTGTTTGGACAGAGCACTTTTGAAACACTCTTTTTGTAGAATCTGCAGGTGGATATTTGACTAGCTTTGAGGATTTCGTTGGAAACGGTAATGTCTTCAAAGAAAATCTAGACAGAAACATTCTCAGAAACACCTTCGTGATGTTTGCAATCAAGTCACAGAGTTGAACCTTCCGTTTCATAGAGCAGGTTGGAAACACTCTTTTTGTAGTATCTGGAAGTGGACATTTGGAGCGCTTTCAGGCCTATGGTGAAGAAGGAAATATCTTCCCATAAAAACGACATAGAAGCTATCTCAGGAACTTGTTTATGATGCATCCAATCAACTAACAGTGTTGAACCTTTGTACTGAGAGAGCAGTGTGAAACACTCTTTTTTTTGGAATCTGCAAGTGGATATTTGGATCGCTTTGAGGATTTCGTTGGAAACGGGATGCAATATAAAACGTACACAGCAGCATACTCAGAAAATACTTTGCCATATTTCCATTCAAGTCACAGAATGGAACATTCTCATTCATAGAGCAGGTTGGAAACACTCCTTTTGTAGTATCTGGAAGTGGACATTTGGAGCGCTTTCTGAACTATGGTGAAAAAGGAAATATCTTCCAATGAAAACAAGACAGAAGCATTCTGAGAAACTTATGTGTGATGTGTGTCCTCAACTAACGGACTTGAACCTTTCGTTTCATGCAGTACTTCTGGAACACTCTTTTTGAAGATTTTGCATGCGGATATTTGGATAGCTTTGAGGATTTCGTTGGAAACGGGCTTACATATAAAAATTAGACAGCAGCATTCTCAGAAACTTCTTTGTGGTGTCTGCATTCAAGTCACAGAATTGAACATCCCCTCACATAGAGCAGTTGTGCAGCACTCTATTTGTAGTATCTCGAAGTGGACATTTGGAGGGCTTTGTAGCCTATCTGGAAAAAGGAAATATCTTCCCATGAATGCGAGATAGAAGTAATCTCAGAAACACGTTTATGCTGTATCTACTCAACTAACTGTGCTGAACATTTCTATTGATAGAGCAGTTTTGAGACACTCTCCTTTTGGAATCTGCAAGTGGATATTTGGATAGATTTGAGGATTTCCTTGGAAACGGGATTATATATCAATAGTAGACAGCAGCATTCTCAGAAACTTCTTTGTGATGTTTGCATCCAGCTCTCAGAGTTGAACATTCCCTTTCGTAGAGTAGGTTTGAAACCCTCTTTTTATAGTGTCTGGAAGCGGGCATTTGGAGCGCTTTCAGGCCTATGCTGAAAAAGGAAATATCTACCTATAGAAACTAGACAGAAGCATTCTGAGAATCACGTTGGTGATGTGGGTACTCAACTAACAGTGTTGATCCATTCTTTTGATACAGCAGTTTTGAACCACACTTTTTGTAGAATCTGCAAGTGGATATTTGGATAGCTGTGAGGATTTCCTTGGAAACGGGAATGTCTTCATAGAAAATTTAGACAGAAGCATTCTCAGAACCTTGATTGTGATGTGTGTTCTCCACTAACAGAGTTGAACCTTTCTTTTGACAGAACTGTTCTGAAACATTCTTTTTATAGAATCTGGAAGTGGATATTTGGAAAGCTTTGAGGATTTCGTTGGAAACGGGAATATCTTCAAATAAAATCTAGCCAGAAGCATTCTAAGAAACATCTTAGGGATGTTTACATTCAAGTCACAGAGTTGAACATTCCCTTTCACAGAGCAGGTTTGAAACAATCTTCTCGTACTATCTGGCAGTGGACATTTTGAGCTCCTTGGGGCCTATGCTGAAAAAGGAAATATCTTCCGACAAAAACTAGACAGAAGCATTCGCAGAATCACGTTTGTGATGTGTGCACTCAACTGTCAGAATTGAACCTTGGTTTGGACAGAGCACTTTTGAAACACTCTTTTTGTAGAATCTGCAGGTGGATATTTGGCTAGCTTTGAGGATTTCGTTGGAAACGGTAATGTCTTCAAAGAAAATCTAGACGGAAGCATTCTCAGAAACACCTTCGTGATGTTTGCAATCAAGTCACAGAGTTGAACCTTCCGTTTCATAGAGCAGGTTGGAAACACTCTTTTTGTAGTATCTGGAAGTGGACATTTGGAGGGCTTTGTAGCCTATCTGGAAAAAGGAAATATCTTCCCATGAATGCGAGATAGAAGTAATCTCAGAAACATGTTTATGCTGTATCTACTCAACTAACTGTGCTGAACATTTCTATTGATAGAGCAGTTTTGAGACACTCTTCTTTTGGAATCTGCAAGTGGATATTTGGATAGATTTGAGGATTTCGTTGGAAACGGGATTATATATCAAAAGTAGACAGCAGCATTCTCAGAAACTTCTTTGTGATGTTTGCATCCAGCTCTCAGAGTTGAACATTCCCTTTCATAGAGTAGGTTTGAAACCCTCTTTTTATAGTGTCTGGAAGCGGGCATTTGGAGCGCTTTCAGGCCTATGCTGAAAAAGGAAATATCTACCTATAGAAACTAGACAGAAGCATTCTGAGAATCACGTTTGTGATGTGGGTACTCAACTAACAGTGTTGATCCATTCTTTTGATACAGCAGTTTTGAACCACACTTTTTGTAGAATCTGCAAGTGGATATTTGGATAGCTGTGAGGATTTCGTTGGAAACGGGAATGTCTTCATAGAAAATTTAGACAGAAGCATTCTCAGAACCTTGATTGTGAAGTGTGTTCTCCACTAACAGAGTTGAACCTTTCTTTTGACAGAACTGTTCTGAAACATTCTTTTTATAGAATCTGGAAGTGGATATTTGGAAAGCTTTGAGGATTTCGTTGGAAACGGGAATATCTTCAAATAAAATCTAGCCAGAAGCATTCTAAGAAACATCTTAGGGATGTTTACATTCAAGTCACAGAGTTGAACATTCCCTTTCACAGAGCAGGTTTGAAACAATCTTCTCGTACTATCTGGCAGTGGACATTTTGAGCTCCTTGGGGCCTATGCTGAAAAAGGAAATATCTTCCGACAAAAACTAGACAGAAGCATTCGCAGAATCACGTTTGTGATGTGTGCACTCAACTGTCAGAATTGAACCTTGGTTTGGACAGAGCACTTTTGAAACACTCTTTTTGTAGAATCTGCAGGTGGATATTTGGCTAGCTTTGAGGATTTCGTTGGAAACGGTAATGTCTTCAAAGAAAATCTAGACAGAAGCATTCTCAGAAACAACTTCGTGATGTTTGCAATCAAGTCACAGAGTTGAACCTTCCGTTTCATAGAGCAGGTTGGAAACACTCTTTTTGTAGTATCTGGAAGTGGACATTTGGAGGGCTTTGTAGCCTATCTGGAAAAAGGAAATATCTTCCCATGAATGCGAGATAGAAGTAATCTCAGAAACATGTTTATGCTGTATCTACTCAACTAACTGTGCTGAACATTTCTATTGATAGAGCAGTTTTGAGACACTCTTCTTTTGGAATCTGCAAGTGGATATTTGGATAGATTTGAGGATTTCGTTGGAAACGGGATTATATATAAAAAGTAGACAGCAGCATTCTCAGAAACTTCTTTGTGATGTTTGCATCCAGCTCTCAGAGTTGAACATTCCCTTTCATAGAGTAGGTTTGAAACCCTCTTTTTATAGTGTCTGGAAGCGGGCATTTGGAGCGCTTTCAGGCCTATGCTTAAAATAGGAAATATCTACCTACAGAAACTAGACAGAAGCATTCTGAGAATCACGTTTGTGATGTGGGTACTCAACTAACAGTGTTGATCCATTCTTTTGATACAGCAGTTTTGAACCACACTTTTTGTAGAATCTGCAAGAGGATATTTGGATAGCTGTGAGGATTTCGTTGGAAACGGGAATGTCTTCAAAGAAAATCTAGACAGAAGCATTCTCAGAAACACCTTCGTGATGTTTGCAATCAAGTCACAGAGTTGAACCTTCCGTTTCATAGAGCAGGTTGGAAACACTCTTTTTGTAGTATCTGGAAGTGGACATTTGGAGCGCTTTCAGGCCTATGGTGAAAAAGGAAATATCTTCCCATAAAAACGACATAGAAGCTATCTCAGGAACTTGTTTATGATGCATCTAATCAACTAACAGTGTTGAACCTTTGTACTGACAGAGCAGTTTGAAACACTCTTTTTTTGGAATCTGCAAGTGGATATTTGGATCGCTTTGAGGATTTCGTTGGAAACGGGATTCAATAAAAAACGTACACAGCAGCATACTCAGAAAATACTTTGCCATATTTCCATTCAAGTCACAGAGTGGAACATTCCCATTCATAGAGCAGGTTTGAAACACTCTTTTTGGAGTATCTGGAAGTGGACATTTGGAGCGCTTTCTGAACTATGGTGAAAAAGGAAATATCTTCCAATGAAAACAAGACAGAAGCATTCTGAGAAACTTATTTGTGATGTGTGTCCTCAACAAACGGACTTGAACCTTTCGTTTCATGCAGTACTTCTGGAACACTCTTTTTGAAGATTCTGCATGCGGATATTTGGATAGCTTTGAGGATTTCGTTGGAAACGGGCTTACATGTAAAAATTAGACAGCAGCATTCTCAGAAACTTCTTTGTGGTGTCTGCATTCAAGTCACAGAATTGAACATCCCCTCACATAGAGCAGTTGTGCAGCACTCTATTTGTAGTATCTGGAAGTGGACATTTGGAGGGCTTTGTAGCCTATCTGGAAAAAGGAAATATCTTCCCATGAATGCGAGATAGAAGTAATCTCAGAAACATGTTTATGCTGTATCTACTCAACTAACTGTGCTGAACATTTCTATTGATAGAGCAGTTTTGAGACACTCTTCTTTTGGAATCTGCAAGTGGATATTTGGATAGATTTGAGGATTTCGTTGGAAACGGGATTATATATCAAAAGTAGACAGCAGCATTCTCAGAAACTTCTTTGTGATGTTTGCATCCAGCTCTCAGAGTTGAACATTCCCTTTCATAGAGTAGGTTTGAAACCCTCTTTTTATAGTGTCTGGAAGCGGGCATTTGGAGCGCTTTCAGGCCTATGCTGAAAAAGGAAATATCTACCTACAGAAACTAGACAGAAGCATTCTGAGAATCACGTTTGTGATGTGGGTACTCAACTAACAGTGTTGATCCATTCTTTTGATACAGCAGTTTTGAACCACACTTTTTGTAGAATCTGCAAGTGGATATTTGGATAGCTGTGAGGATTTCGTTGGAAACGGGAATGTCTTCATAGAAAATTTAGACAGAAGCATTCTCAGAACCTTGATTGTGATGTGTGTTCTCCACTAACAGAGTTGAACCTTTCTTTTGACAGAACTGTTCTGAAACATTCTTTTTATAGAATCTGGAAGTGGATATTTGGAAAGCTTTGAGGATTTCGTTGGAAACGGGAATATCTTCAAATCAAATCTAGCCAGAAGCATTCTAAGAAACATCTTAGGGATGTTTACATTCAAGTCACAGAGTTGAACATTCCCTTTCACAGAGCAGGTTTGAAACAATCTTCTCGTACTATCTGGCAGTGGACATTTTGAGCTCCTTGGGGCCTATGCTGAAAAAGGAAATATCTTCCGACAAAAACTAGACAGAAGCATTCGCAGAATCACGTTTGTGATGTGTGCACTCAACTGTCAGAATTGAACCTTGGTTTGGACAGAGCACTTTTGAAACACTCTTTTTGTAGAATCTGCAGGTGGATATTTGGCTAGCTTTGAGGATTTCGTTGGAAACGGTAATGTCTTCAAAGAAAATCTAGACAGAAGCATTCTCAGAAACACCTTCGTGATGTTTGCAATCAAGTCACAGAGTTGAACCTTCCGTTTCATAGAGCAGGTTGGAAACACTCTTTTTGTAGTATCTGGAAGTGGACATTTGGAGGGCTTTGTAGCCTATCTGGAAAAAGGAAATATCTTCCCATGAATGCGAGATAGAAGTAATCTCAGAAACATGTTTATGCTGTATCTACTCAACTAACTGTGCTGAACATTTCTATTGATAGAGCAGTTTTGAGACACTCTTCTTTTGGAATCTGCAAGTGGATATTTGGATAGATTTGAGGATTTCGTTGGAAACGGGATTATATATCAAAAGTAGACAGCAGCATTCTCAGAAACTTCTTTGTGATGTTTGCATCCAGCTCTCAGAGTTGAGCATTCCCTTTCATAGAGTAGGTTTGAAACCCTCTTTTTATAGTGTCTGGAAGCGGGCATTTGGAGCGCTTTCAGGCCTATGCTTAAAATAGGAAATATCTACCTACAGAAACTAGACAGAAGCATTCTGAGAATCACGTTTGTGATGTGGGTACTCAACTAACAGTGTTGATCCATTCTTTTGATACAGCAGTTTTGAACCACACTTTTTGTAGAATCTGCAAGAGGATATTTGGATAGCTGTGAGGATTTCGTTGGAAACGGGAATGTCTTCAAAGAAAATCTAGACAGAAGCATTCTCAGAAACACCTTCGTGATGTTTGCAATCAAGTCACAGAGTTGAACCTTCCGTTTCATAGAGCAGGTTGGAAACACTCTTTTTGTAGTATCTGGAAGTGGACATTTGGAGGGCTTTGTAGCCTATCTGGAAAAAGGAAATATCTTCCCATGAATGCGAGATAGAAGTAATCTCAGAAACATGTTTATGCTGTATCTACTCAACTAACTGTGCTGAACATTTCTATTGATAGAGCAGTTTTCAGACACTCTTCTTTTGGAATCTGCAAGTGGATATTTGGATAGATTTGAGGATTTCGTTGGAAACGGGATTATATATAAAAAGTAGACAGCAGCATTCTCAGAAACTTCTTTGTGATGTTTGCATCCAGCTCTCAGAGTTGAACATTCCCTTTCATAGAGTAGGTTTGAAACCCTCTTTTTATAGTGTCTAGAAGCGGGCATTTGGAGCGCTTACAGGCCTATGCTTAAAATAGGAAATATCCACCTACAGAAACTAGACAGAAGCATTCTGAGAATCACGTTTGTGATGTGGGTACTCAACTAACAGTGTTGATCCATTCTTTTGATACAGCAGTTTTGAACCACACTTTTTGTAGAATCTGCAAGTGGATATTTGGATAGCTGTGAGGATTTCGTTGGAAACGGGAATGTCTTCATAGAAAATTTAGACAGAAGCATTCTCAGAACCTTGATTGTGATGTGTGTTCTCCACTAACAGAGTTGAACCTTTCTTTTGACAGAACTGTTCTGAAACATTCTTTTTATAGAATCTGAAAGTGGATATTTGGAAAGCTTTGAGGATTTCGTTGGAAACGGGAATATCTTCAAATCAAATCTAGCCAGAAGCATTCTAAGAAACATCTTAGGGATGTTTACATTCAAGTCACAGAGTTGAACATTCCCTTTCACAGAGCAGGTTTGAAACAATCTTCTCGTACTATCTGGAAGTGGACATTTTGAGCTCCTTGGGGCCTATGCTGAAAAAGGAAATATCTTCCGACAAAAACTAGACAGAAGCATTCGCAGAATCACGTTTGTGATGTGTGCACTCAACTGTCAGAATTGAACCTTGGTTTGGACAGAGCACTTTTGAAACACTCTTTTTGTAGAATCTGCAGGTGGATATTTGGCTAGCTTTGAGGATTTCGTTGGAAACGGTAATGTCTTCAAAGAAAATCTAGACAGAAGCATTCTCAGAAACACCTTCGTGATGTTTGCAATCAAGTCACAGAGTTGAACCTTCCGTTTCATAGAGCAGGTTGGAAACACTCTTTTTGTAGTATCTGGAAGTGGACATTTGGAGGGCTTTGTAGCCTATCTGGAAAAAGGAAATATCTTCCCATGAATGCGAGATAGAAGTAATCTCAGAAACATGTTTATGCTGTATCTACTCAACTAACTGTGCTGAACATTTCTATTGATAGAGCAGTTTTGAGACACTCTTCTTTTGGAATCTGCAAGTGGATATTTGGATAGATTTGAGGATTTCGTTGGAAACGGGATTATATATAAAAAGTAGACAGCAGCATTCTCAGAAACTTCTTTGTGATGTTTGCATCCAGCTCTCAGAGTTGAACATTCCCTTTCATAGAGTAGGTTTGAAACCCTCTTTTTATAGTGTCTGGAAGCGGGCATTTGGAGCGCTTTCAGGCCTATGCTTACAATAGGAAATATCTACCTACAGAAACTAGACAGAAGCATTCTGAGAATCACGTTTGTGATGTGGGTACTCAACTAACAGTGTTGATCCATTCTTTTGATACAGCAGTTTTGAACCACACTTTTTGTAGAATCTGCAAGAGGATATTTGGATAGCTGTGAGGATTTCGTTGGAAACGGGAATGTCTTCAAAGAAAATCTAGACAGAAGCATTCTCAGAAACACCTTCGTGATGTTTGCAATCAAGTCACAGAGTTGAACCTTCCGTTTCATAGAGCAGGTTGGAAACACTCTTATTGTAGTATCTGGAAGTGGACATTTGGAGCGCTTTCAGGCCTATGGTGAAAAAGGAAATATCTTCCCATAAAAACGACATAGAAGCTATCTCAGGAACTTGTTTATGATGCATCTAATCAACTAACAGTGTTGAACCTTTGTACTGACAGAGCAGTTTGAAACACTCTTTTTTTGGAATCTGCAAGTGGATATTTGGATCGCTTTGAGGATTTCGTTGGAAACGGGATGCAATATAAAACGTACACAGCAGCATACTCAGAAAATACTTTGCCATATTTCCATTCAAGTCACAGAGTGGAACATTCCCATTCATAGAGCAGGTTTGAAACACACTTTTTGGAGTATCTGGAAGTGGACATTTGGAGCGCTTTCTGAACTATGGTGAAAAAGGAAATATCTTCCAATGAAAACAAGACAGAAGCATTCTGAGAAACTTATTTGTGATGTGTGTCCTCAACAAACGGACTTGAACCTTTCGTTTCATGCAGTACTTCTGGAACACTCTTTTTGAAGATTCTGCATGCGGATATTTGGATAGCTTTGAGGATTTCGTTGGAAACGGGCTTACATGTAAAAATTAGACAGCAGCATTCTCACAAACTTCTTTGTGGTGTCTGCATTCAAGTCACAGAATTGAACTTCCCCTCACATAGAGCAGTTGTGCAGCACTCTATTTGTAGTATCTCGAAGTGGACATTTGGAGGGCTTTGTAGCCTATCTGGAAAAAGGAAATATCTTCCCATGAATGCGAGATAGAAGTAATCTCAGAAACATGTTTATGCTGTATCTACTCAACTAACTGTGCTGAACATTTCTATTGATAGAGCAGTTTTGAGACACTCTTCTTTTGGAATCTGCAAGTGGATATTTGGATAGATTTGAGGATTTCGTTGGAAACGGGATTATATATCAAAAGTAGACAGCAGCATTCTCAGAAACTTCTTTGTGATGTTTGCATTAAGCTCTCAGAGTTGAACATTCCCTTTCATAGAGTAGGTTTGAAACCCTCTTTTTATAGTGTCTGGAAGCGGGCATTTGGAGCGCTTTCAGGCCTATGCTGAAAAAGGAAATATCTACCTATAGAAACTAGACAGAAGCATTCTGAGAATCACGTTTGTGATGTGGGTACTCAACTAACAGTGTTGATCCATTCTTTTGATACAGCAGTTTTGAACCACACTTTTTGTAGAATCTGCAAGTGGATATTTGGATAGCTGTGAGGATTTCGTTGGAAACGGGAATGTCTTCATAGAAAATTTAGACAGAAGCATTCTCAGAACCTTGATTGTGATGTGTGTTCTCCACTAACAGAGTTGAACCTTTCTTTTGACAGAACTGTTCTGAAACATTCTTTTTATAGAATCTGGAAGTGGATATTTGGAAAGCTTTGAGGATTTCGTTGGAAACGGGAATATCTTCAAATAAAATCTAGCCAGAAGCATTCTAAGAAACATCTTAGGGATGTTTACATTCAAGTCACAGAGTTGAACATTCCCTTTCACAGAGCAGGTTTGAAACAATCTTCTCGTACTATCTGGCAGGGGACATTTTGAGCTCCTTGGGGCCTATGCTGAAAAAGGAAATATCTTCCGACAAAAACTAGACAGAAGCATTCGCAGAATCACGTTTGTGATGTGTGCACTCAACTGTCAGAATTGAACCTTGGTTTGGACAGAGCACTTTTGAAACACTCTTTTTGTAGAATCTGCAGGTGGATATTTGGCTAGCTTTGAGGATTTCGTTGGAAACGGTAATGTCTTCAAAGAAAATCTAGACAGAAGCATTCTCAGAAACACCTTCGTGATGTTTGCAATCAAGTCACAGAGTTGAACCTTCCGTTTCATAGAGCAGGTTGGAAACACTCTTTTTGTAGTATCTGGAAGTGGACATTTGGAGGGCTTTGTAGCCTATCTGGAAAAAGGAAATATCTTCCCATGAATGCGAGATAGAAGTAATCTCAGAAACATGTTTATGCTGTATCTACTCAACTAACTGTGCTGAACATTTCTATTGATAGAGCAGTTTTGAGACACTCTTCTTTTGGAATCTGCAAGTGGATATTTGGATAGATTTGAGGATTTCGTTGGAAACGGGATTATATATAAAAAGTAGACAGCAGCATTCTCAGAAACTTCTTTGTGATGTTTGCATCCAGCTCTCAGAATTGAACATTCCCTTTCATAGAGTAGGTTTGAAACCCTCTTTTTATAGTGTCTGGAAGCGGGCATTTGGAGCGCTTTCAGGCCTATGCTTAAAATAGGAAATATCTACCTACAGAAACTAGACAGAAGCATTCTGAGAATCACGTTTGTGATGTGGGTACTCAACTAACAGTGTTGATCCATTCTTTTGATACAGCAGTTTTGAACCACACTTTTTGTAGAATCTGCAAGAGGATATTTGGATAGCTGTGAGGATTTCGTTGGAAACGGGAATGTCTTCAAAGAAAATCTAGACAGAAGCATTCTCAGAAACACCTTCGTGATGTTTGCAATCAAGTCACAGAGTTGAACCTTCCGTTTCATAGAGCAGGTTGGAAACACTCTTATTGTAGTATCTGGAAGTGGACATTTGGAGCGCTTTCAGGCCTATGGTGAAAAAGGAAATATCTTCCATAAAAACGACATAGAAGCTATCTCAGGAACTTGTTTATGATGCATCTAATCAACTAACAGTGTTGAACCTTTGTACTGACAGAGCACTTTGAAACACTCTTTTTTTGGAATCTGCAAGTGGATATTTGGATCGCTTTGAGGATTTCGTTGGAAACGGGATGCAATATAAAACGTACACAGCAGCATACTCAGAAAATACTTTGCCATATTTCCATTCAAGTCACAGAGTGGAACATTCCCATTCATAGAGCAGGTTGGAAACACTCTTTTTGGAGTATCTGGAAGTGGACATTTGGAGCGCTTTATGAACTATGGTGAAAAAGGAAATATCTTCCAATGAAAACAAGACAGAAGCATTCTGAGAAACTTATTTGTGATGTGTGTCCTCAACAAACGGACTTGAACCTTTCGTTTCATGCAGTACTTCTGGAACACTCTTTTTGAAGATTCTGCATGCGGATATTTGGATAGCTTTGAGGATTTCGTTGGAAACGGGCTTACATGTAAAAATTAGACAGCAGCATTCTCAGAAACTTCTTTGTGGTGTCTGCATTCAAGTCACAGAATTGAACTTCCCCTCACATAGAGCAGTTGTGCAGCACTCTATTTGTAGTATCTGGAAGTGGACATTTGGAGGGCTTTGTAGCCTATCTGGAAAAAGGAAATATCTTCCCATGAATGCGAGATAGAAGTAATCTCAGAAACATGTTTATGCTGTATCTACTCAACTAACTGTGCTGAACATTTCTATTGATAGAGCAGTTTTGAGACACTCTTCTTTTGGAATCTGCAAGTGGATATTTGGATAGATTTGAGGATTTCGTTGGAAACGGGATTATATATAAAAAGTAGACAGCAGCATTCTCAGAAACTTCTTTGTGATGTTTGCATCCAGCTCTCAGAGTTGAACATTCCCTTTCATAGAGTAGGTTTGAAACCCTCTTTTTATAGTGTCTGGAAGCGGGCATTTGGAGCGCTTTCAGGCCTATGCTGAAAAAGGAAATATCTACCTATAGAAACTAGACAGAAGCATTCTGAGAATCACGTTTGTGATGTGGGTACTCAACTAACAGTGTTGATCCATTCTTTTGATACAGCAGTTTTGAACCACACTTTTTGTAGAATCTGCAAGTGGATATTTGGATAGCTGTGAGGATTTCGTTGGAAACGGGAATGTCTTCATAGAAAATTTAGACAGAAGCATTCTCAGAACCTTGATTGTGATGTGTGTTCTCCACTAACAGAGTTGAACCTTTCTTTTGACAGAACTGTTCTGAAACATTCTTTTTGTAGAATCTGGAAGTGGATATTTGGAAAGCTTTGAGGATTTCGTTGGAAACGGGAATATCTTCAAATCAAATCTAGCCAGAAGCATTCTAAGAAACATCTTAGGGATGTTTACATTCAAGTCACAGAGTTGAACATTCCCTTTCACAGAGCAGGTTTGAAACAATCTTCTCGTACTATCTGGCAGTGGACATTTTGAGCTCCTTGGGGCCTATGCTGAAAAAGGAAATATCTTCCGACAAAAACTAGACAGAAGCATTCGCAGAATCACGTTTGTGATGTGTGCACTCAACTGTCAGCAATTGAACCTTGGTTTGGAGAGAGCACTTTTGAAACACTCTTTTTGTAGAATCTGCAGGTGGATATTTGGCTAGCTTTGAGGATTTCGTTGGAAACGGTAATGTCTTCAAAGAAAATCTAGACAGAAGCATTCTCAGAAACACCTTCGTGATGTTTGCAATCAAGTCACAGAGTTGAACCTTCCGTTTCATAGAGCAGGTTGGAAACACTCTTTTTGTAGTATCTGGAAGTGGACATTTGGAGGGCTTTGTAGCCTATCTGGAAAAAGGAAATATCTTCCCATGAATGCGAGATAGAAGTAATCTCAGAAACATGTTTATGCTGTATCTACTCAACTAACTGTGCTGAACATTTCTATTGATAGAGCAGTTTTGAGACACTCTTCTTTTGGAATCTGCAAGTGGATATTTGGATAGATTTGAGGATTTCGTTGGAAACGGGATTATATATCAAAAGTAGACAGCAGCATTCTCAGAAACTTCTTTGTGATGTTTGCATCCAGCTCTCAGAGTTGAACATTCCCTTTCATAGAGTAGGTTTGAAACCCTCTTTTTATAGTGTCTGGAAGCGGGCATTTGGAGCGCTTTCGGGCCTATGCTGAAAAAGGAAATATCTACCTATAGAAACTAGACAGAAGCATTCTGAGAATCACGTTTGTGATGTGGGTACTCAACTAACAGTGTTGATCCATTCTTTTGATACAGCAGTTTTGAACCACACTTTTTGTAGAATCTGCAAGTGGATATTTGGATAGCTGTGAGGATTTCGTTGGAAACGGGAATGTCTTCATAGAAAATTTAGACAGAAGCATTCTCAGAACCTTGATTGTGAAGTGTGTTCTCCACTAACAGAGTTGAACCTTTCTTTTGACAGAACTGTTCTGAAACATTCTTTTTATAGAATCTGGAAGTGGATATTTGGAAAGCTTTGAGGATTTCGTTGGAAACGGGAATATCTTCAAATCAAATCTAGCCAGAAGCATTCTAAGAAACATCTTAGGGATGTTTACATTCAAGTCACAGAGTTGAACATTCCCTTTCACAGAGCAGGTTTGAAACAATCTTCTCGTACTATCTGGCAGTGGACATTTTGAGCTCCTTGGGGCCTATGCTGAAAAAGGAAATATCTTCCGACAAAAACTAGACAGAAGCATTCGCAGAATCACGTTTGTGATGTGTGCACTCAACTGTCAGAATTGAACCTTGGTTTGGACAGAGCACTTTTGAAACACTCTTTTTGTAGAATCTGCAGGTGGATATTTGGCTAGCTTTGAGGATTTCGTTGGAAACGGTAATGTCTTCAAAGAAAATCTAGACAGAAGCATTCTCAGAAACACCTTCGTGATGTTTGCAATCAAGTCACAGAGTTGAACCTTCCGTTTCATAGAGCAGGTTGGAAACACTCTTTTTGTAGTATCTGGAAGTGGACATTTGGAGGGCTTTGTAGCCTATCTGGAAAAAGGAAATATCTTCCCATGAATGCGAGATAGAAGTAATCTCAGAAACATGTTTATGCTGTATCTACTCAACTAACTGTGCTGAACATTTCTATTGATAGAGCAGTTTTGAGACACTCTTCTTTTGGAATCTGCAAGTGGATATTTGGATAGATTTGAGGATTTTCGTTGGAAACGGGATTATATATCAAAAGTAGACAGCAGCATTCTCAGAAACTTCTTTGTGATGTTTGCATCCAGCTCTCAGAGTTGAACATTCCCTTTCATAGAGTAGGTTTGAAACCCTCTTTTTATAGTGTCTGGAAGCGGGCATTTGGAGCGCTTTCAGGCCTATGCTTAAAATAGGAAATATCTACCTACAGAAACTAGACAGAAGCATTCTGAGAATCACGTTTGTGATGTGGGTACTCAACTAACAGTGTTGATCCATTCTTTTGATACAGCAGTTTTGAACCACACTTTTTGTAGAATCTGCAAGAGGATATTTGGATAGCTGTGAGGATTTCGTTGGAAACGGGAATGTCTTCAAAGAAAATCTACACAGAAGCATTCTCAGAACCTTGATTGTGATGTGTGTTCTCAACCAACAGGGTTGAACCTTTCTTTGGACAGAACTGTTTTGAAACATTCTTTTTATAGAATCTGGAAGTGGATATTTGGAAAGCTTTGAGGATTTCGTTGGAAACGGGAATATCTTCAAATAAAATCTAGCCAGAAGCATTCTAAGAAACATCTTAGGGATGTTTACATTCAAGTCACAGAGTTGAACATTCCCTTTCACAGAGCAGGTTTGAAACAATCTTCTCGTACTATCTGGCAGTGGACATTTTGAGCTCCTTGGGGCCTATGCTGAAAAAGGAAATATCTTCCGACAAAAACTAGACAGAAGCATTCGCAGAATCACGTTTGTGATGTGTGCACTCAACTGTCAGAATTGAACCTTGGTTTGGACAGAGCACTTTTGAAACACTCTTTTTGTAGAATCTGCAGGTGGATATTTGGCTACTTTGAGGATTTCGTTGGAAACGGTAATGTCTTCAAAGAAAATCTAGACAGAAGCATTCTCAGAAACACCTTCGTGATGTTTGCAATCAAGTCACAGAGTTGAACCTTCCGTTTCATAGAGCAGGTTGGAAACACTCTTTTTGTAGTATCTGGAAGTGGACATTTGGAGGGCTTTGTAGCCTATCTGGAAAAAGGAAATATCTTCCCATGAATGCGAGATAGAAGTAATCTCAGAAACATGTTTATGCTGTATCTACTCAACTAACTGTGCTGAACATTTCTATTGATAGAGCAGTTTTGAGACACTCTTCTTTTGGAATCTGCAAGTGGATATTTGGATAGATTTGAGGATTTCGTTGGAAACGGGATTATATATCAAAAGTAGACAGCAGCATTCTCAGAAACTTCTTTGTGATGTTTGCATCCAGCTCTCAGAGTTGAACATTCCCTTTCATAGAGTAGGTTTGAAACCCTCTTTTTATAGTGTCTGGAAGCGGGCATTTGGAGCGCTTTCAGGCCTATGCTGAAAAAGGAAATATCTACCTATGGAAACTAGACAGAAGCATTCTGAGAATCACGTTTGTGATGTGGGTACTCAACTAACAGTGTTGATCCATTCTTTTGATACAGCAGTTTTGAACCACACTTTTTGTAGAATCTGCAAGTGGATATTTGGATAGCTGTGAGGATTTCGTTGGAAACGGGAATGTCTTCATAGAAAATTTAGACAGAAGCATTCTCAGAACCTTGATTGTGATGTGTGTTCTCCACTAACAGAGTTGAACCTTTCTTTTGACAGAACTGTTCTGAAACATTCTTGTTATAGAATCTGGAAGTGGATATTTGGAAAGCTTTGAGGATTTCGTTGGAAACGGGAATATCTTCAAATCAAATCTAGCCAGAAGCATTCTAAGAAACATCTTAGGGATGTTTACATTCAAGTCACAGAGTTGAACATTCCCTTTCACAGAGCAGGTTTGAAACAATCTTCTCGTACTATCTGGCAGTGGACATTTTGAGCTCCTTGGGGCCTATGCTGAAAAAGGAAATATCTTCCGACAAAAACTAGACAGAAGCATTCGCAGAATCACGTTTGTGATGTGTGCACTCAACTGTCAGAATTGAACCTTGGTTTGGACAGAGCACTTTTGAAACACTCTTTTTGTAGAATCTGCAGGTGGATATTTGGCTAGCTTTGAGGATTTCGTTGGAAACGGTAATGTCTTCAAAGAAAATCTAGACAGAAGCATTCTCAGAAACACCTTCGTGATGTTTGCAATCAAGTCACAGAGTTGAACCTTCCGTCTCATAGAGCAGGTTGGAAACACTCTTTTTGTAGTATCTGGAAGTGGACATTTGGAGGGCTTTGTAGCCTATCTGGAAAAAGGAAATATCTTCCCATGAATGCGAGATAGAAGTAATCTCAGAAACATGTTTATGCTGTATCTACTCAACTAACTGTGCTGAACATTTCTATTGATAGAGCAGTTTTGAGACACTCTTCTTTTGGAATCTGCAAGTGGATATTTGGATAGATTTGAGGATTTCGTTGGAAACGGGATTATATATAAAAAGTAGACAGCAGCATTCTCAGAAACTTCTTTGTGATGTTTGCATCCAGCTCTCAGAGTTGAACATTCCCTTTCATAGAGTAGGTTTGAAACCCTCTTTTTATAGTGTCTGGAAGCGGGCATTTGGAGCGCTTTCAGGCCTATGCTTAAAATAGGAAATATCTACCTACAGAAACTAGACAGAAGCATTCTGAGAATCACGTTTGTGATGTGGGTACTCAACTAACAGTGTTGATCCATTCTTTTGATACAGCAGTTTTGAACCACACTTTTTGTAGAATCTGCAAGTGGATATTTGGATAGCTGTGAGGATTTCGTTGGAAACGGGAATGTCTTCATAGAAAATTTAGACAGAAGCATTCTCAGAACCTTGATTGTGATGTGTGTTCTCCACTAACAGGGTTGAACCTTTCTTTTGACAGAACTGTTCTGAAACATTCTTTGTATAGAATCTGGAAGTGGATATTTGGAAAGCTTTGAGGATTTCGTTGGAAACGGGAATATCTTGAAATCAAATCTAGCCAGAAGCATTCTAAGAAACATCTTAGGGATGTTTACATTCAAGTCACAGAGTTGAACATTCCCTTTCACAGAGCAGGTTTGAAACAATCTTCTCGTACTATCTGGAAGTGGACATTTTGAGCTCCTTGGGGCCTATGCTGAAAAAGGAAATATCTTCTGACAAAAACTAGACAGAAGCATTCGCAGAATCACGTTTGTGATGTGTGCACTCAACTGTCAGAATTGAACCTTGGTTTGGACAGAGCACTTTTGAAACACTCTTTTTGTAGAATCTGCAGGTGGATATTTGGCTAGCTTTGAGGATTTCGTTGGAAACGGTAATGTCTTCAAAGAAAATCTAGACAGAAGCATTCTCAGAAACAACTTCGTGATGTTTGCAATCAAGTCACAGAGTTGAACCTTCCGTTTCATAGAGCAGGTTGGAAACACTCTTTTTGTAGTATCTGGAAGTGGACATTTGGAGGGCTTTGTAGCCTATCTGGAAAAAGGAAATATCTTCCCATGAATGCGAGATAGAAGTAATCTCAGAAACATGTTTATGCTGTATCTACTCAACTAACTGTGCTGAACATTTCTATTGATAGAGCAGTTTTGAGACACTCTTCTTTTGGAATCTGCAAGTGGATATTTGGATAGATTTGAGGATTTCGTTGGAAACGGGATTATATATAAAAAGTAGACAGCAGCATTCTCAGAAACTTCTTTGTGATGTTTGCATCCAGCTCTCAGAGTTGAACATTCCCTTTCATAGAGTAGGTTTGAAACCCTCTTTTTATAGTGTCTGGAAGCGGGCATTTGGAGCGCTTTCAGGCCTATGCTGAAAAAGGAAATATCTACCTATAGAAACTAGACAGAAGCATTCTGAGAATCACGTTTGTGATGTGGGTACTCAACTAACAGTGTTGATCCATTCTTTTGATACAGCAGTTTTGAACCACACTTTTTGTAGAATCTGCAAGTGGATATTTGGATAGCTGTGAGGATTTCGTTGGAAACGGGAATGTCTTCATAGAAAATTTAGACAGAAGCATTCTCAGAACCTTGATTGTGATGTGTGTTCTCCACTAACAGAGTTGAACCTTTCTTTTGACAGAACTGTTCTGAAACATTCTTTTTATAGAATCTGGAAGTGGATATTTGGAAAGCTTTGAGGATTTCGTTGGAAACGGGAATATCTTCAAATCAAATCTAGCCAGAAGCATTCTAAGAAACATCTTAGGGATGTTTACATTCAAGTCACAGAGTTGAACATTCCCTTTCACAGAGCAGGTTTGAAACAATCTTCTCGTACTATCTGGCAGTGGACATTTTGAGCTCCTTGGGGCCTATGCTGAAAAAGGAAATATCTTCCGACAAAAACTAGACAGAAGCATTCGCAGAATCACGTTTGTGATGTGTGCACTCAACTGTCAGAATTGAACCTTGGTTTGGACAGAGCACTTTTGAAACACTCTTTTTGTAGAATCTGCAGGTGGATATTTGGCTAGCTTTGAGGATTTCGTTGGAAACGGTAATGTCTTCAAAGAAAATCTAGACAGAAGCATTCTCAGAAACACCTTCGTGATGTTTGCAATCAAGTCACAGAGTTGAACCTTCCGTTTCATAGAGCAGGTTGGAAACACTCTTTTTGTAGTATCTGGAAGTGGACATTTGGAGGGCTTTGTAGCCTATGTGGAAAAAGGAAATATCTTCCCATGAATGCGAGATAGAAGTAATCTCAGAAACATGTTTATGCTGTATCTACTCAACTAACTGTGCTGAACATTTCTATTGATAGAGCAGTTTTGAGACACTCTTCTTTTGGAATCTGCAAGTGGATATTTGGATAGATTTGAGGATTTCGTTGGAAACGGGATTATATATCAAAAGTAGACAGCAGCATTCTCAGAAACTTCTTTGTGATGTTTGCATCCAGCTCTCAGAGTTGAACATTCCCTTTCATAGAGTAGGTTTGAAACCCTCTTTTTATAGTGTCTGGAAGCGGGCATTTGGAGCGCTTTCAGGCCTGTGCTGAAAAAGGAAATATCTACCTATAGAAACTAGACAGAAGCATTCTGAGAATCACGTTGGTGATGTGGGTTCTCAACTAACAGTGTTGATCCATTCTTTTGATACAGCAGTTTTGAACCACACTTTTTGTAGAATCTGCAAGTGGATATTTGGATAGCTGTGAGGATTTCCTTGGAAACGGGAATGTCTTCATAGAAAATTTAGACAGAAGCATTCTCAGAACCTTGATTGTGATGTGCTGTTCTCCACTAACAGAGTTGAACCTTTCTTTTAACAGCAACTGTTCTGAAACATTCTTTTTATAGAATCTGGAAGTGGATATTTGGAAAGCTTTGAGGATTTCGTTGGAAACGGGAATATCTTCAAATAAAATCTAGCCAGAAGCATTCTAAGAAACATCTTAGGGATGTTTACATTCAAGTCACAGAGTTGAACATTCCCTTTCACAGAGCAGGTTTGAAACAATCTTCTCGTACTATCTGGCAGTGGACATTTTGAGCTCCTTGGGGCCTATGCTGAAAAAGGAAATATCTTCCGACAAAAACTAGACAGAAGCATTCGCAGAATCACGTTTGTGATGTGTGCACTCAACTGTCAGAATTGAACCTTGGTTTGGACAGAGCAATTTTGAAACACTCTTTTTGTAGAATCTGCAGGTGGATATTTGGCTAGCTTTGAGGATTTCGTTGGAAACGGTAATGTCTTCAAAGAAAATCTAGACAGAAGCATTCTCAGAAACACCTTCGTGATGTTTGCAATCAAGTCACAGAGTTGAACCTTCCGTTTCATAGAGCAGGTTGGAAACACTCTTTTTGTAGTATCTGGAAGTGGACATTTGGAGCGCTTTCAGGCCTATGGTGAAAAAGGAAATATCTTCCCATAAAAACGACATAGAAGCTATCTCAGGAACTTGTTTATGATGCATCTAATCAACTAACAGTGTTGAACCTTTGTACTGACAGAGCAGTTTGAAACACTCTTTTTTTGGAATCTGCAAGTGGATATTTGGATCGCTTTGAGGATTTCGTTGGAAACGGGATGCAATATAAAACGTACACAGCAGCATACTCAGAAAATACTTTGCCATATTTCCATTCAAGTCACAGAGTGGAACATTCCCATTCATAGAGCAGGTTTGAAACACTCTTTTTGGAGTATCTGGAAGTGGACATTTGGAGCGCTTTCTGAACTATGGTGAAAAAGGAAATATCTTCCAATGAAAACAAGACAGAAGCATTCTGAGAAACTTATTTGTGATGTGTGTCCTCAACAAACGGACTTGAACCTTTCGTTTCATGCAGTACTTCTGGAACACTCTTTTTGAAGATTCTGCATGCGGATATTTGGATAGCTTTGAGGATTTCGTTGGAAACGGGCTTACATGTAAAAATTAGACAGCAGCATTCTCAGAAACTTCTTTGTGGTGTCTGCATTCAAGTCACAGAATTGAACTTCCCCTCACATAGAGCAGTTGTGCAGCACTCTATTTGTAGTATCTGGAAGTGGACATTTGGAGGGCTTTGTAGCCTATCTGGAAAAAGGAAATATCTTCCCATGAATGCGAGATAGAAGTAATCTCAGAAACATGTTTATGCTGTATCTACTCAACTAACTGTGCTGAACATTTCTATTGATAGAGCAGTTTTGAGACACTCTTCTTTTGGAATCTGCAAGTGGATATTTGGATAGATTTGAGGATTTCGTTGGAAACGGGATTATATATCAAAAGTAGACAGCAGCATTCTCAGAAACTTCTTTGTGATGTTTGCATCCAGCTCTCAGAGTTGAACATTCCCTTTCATAGAGTAGGTTTGAAACCCTCTTTTTATAGTGTCTGGAAGCGGGCATTTGGAGCGCTTTCAGGCCTATGCTTAAAATAGGAAATATCTACCTACAGAAACTAGACAGAAGCATTCTGAGAATCACGTTTGTGATGTGGGTACTCAACTAACAGTGTTGATCCATTCTTTTGATACAGCAGTTTTGAACCACACTTTTTGTAGAATCTGCAAGAGGATATTTGGATAGCTGTGAGGATTTCGTTGGAAACGGGAATGTCTTCAAAGAAAATCTAGACAGAAGCATTCTCAGAAACACCTTCGTGATGTTTGCAATCAAGTCACAGAGTTGAACCTTCCGTTTCATAGAGCAGGTTGGAAACACTCTTATTGTAGTATCTGGAAGTGGACATTTGGAGCGCTTTCAGGCCTATGGTGAAAAAGGAAATATCTTCCCATAAAAACGACATAGAAGCTATCTCAGGAACTTGTTTATGATGCATCTAATCAACTAACAGTGTTGAACCTTTGTACTGACAGAGCAGTTTGAAACACTCTTTTTTTGGAATCTGCAAGTGGATATTTGGATCGCTTTGAGGATTTCGTTGGAAACGGGATGCAATATAAAACGTACACAGCAGCATACTCAGAAAATACTTTGCCATATTTCCATTCAAGTCACAGAGTGGAACATTCCCATTCATAGAGCAGGTTTGAAACACACTTTTTGGAGTATCTGGAAGTGGACATTTGGAGCGCTTTCTGAACTATGGTGAAAAAGGAAATATCTTCCAATGAAAACAAGACAGAAGCATTCTGAGAAACTTATTTGTGATGTGTGTCCTCAACAAACGGACTTGAACCTTTCGTTTCATGCAGTACTTCTGGAACACTCTTTTTGAAGATTCTGCATGCGGATATTTGGATAGCTTTGAGGATTTCGTTGGAAACGGGCTTACATGTAAAAATAGACAGCCAGCATTCTCAGAAACTTCTTTGTGGTGTCTGCATTCAAGTCACAGAATTGAACTTCCCCTCACATAGAGCAGTTGTGCAGCACTCTATTTGTAGTATCTGGAAGTGGACATTTGGAGGGCTTTGTAGCCTATCTGGAAAAAGGAAATATCTTCCCATGAATGCGAGATAGAGTAATCTCAGAAACATGTTTATGCTGTATCTACTCAACTAACTGTGCTGAACATTTCTATTGATAGAGCAGTTTTGAGACACTCTTCTTTTGGAATCTGCAAGTGGATATTTGGATAGATTTGAGGATTTCGTTGGAAACGGGATTATATATAAAAAGTAGACAGCAGCATTCTCAGAAACTTCTTTGTGATGTTTGCATCTAGCTCCCAGAGTTGAACATTCCCTTTCATAGAGTAGTTTTGAAACCCTCTTTTTATAGTGTCTGGAAGCGGGCATTTGGAGCGCTTTCAGGCCTATGCTGAAAAAGGAAATATCTACCTATAGAAACTAGACAGAAGCATTCTGAGAATCACGTTTGTGATGTGGGTACTCAACTAACAGTGTTGATCCATTCTTTTGATACAGCAGTTTTGAACCACACTTTTTGTAGAATCTGCAAGTGGATATTTGGATAGCTGTGAGGATTTCGTTGGAAACGGGAATGTCTTCATAGAAAATTTAGACAGAAGCATTCTCAGAACCTTGATTGTGATGTGTGTTCTCCACTAACAGCAGTTGAACCTTTCTTTTGACAGAACTGTTCTGAAACATTCTTTTTATAGAATCTGGAAGTGGATATTTGGAAAGCTTTGAGGATTTCGTTGGAAACGGGAATATCTTCAAATCAAATCTAGCCAGAAGCATTCTAAGAAACATCTTAGGGATGTTTACATTCAAGTCACAGAGTTGAACATTCCCTTTCACAGAGCAGGTTTGAAACAATCTTCTCGTACTATCTGGCAGTGGACATTTTGAGCTCCTTGGGGCCTATGCTGAAAAAGGAAATATCTTCCGACAAAAACTAGACAGAAGCATTCGCAGAATCACGTTTGTGATGTGTGCACTCAACTGTCAGAATTGAACCTTGGTTTGGACAGAGCACTTTTGAAACACTCTTTTTGTAGAATCTGCAGGTGGATATTTGGCTAGCTTTGAGGATTTCGTTGGAAACGGTAATGTCTTCAAAGTAAATCTAGACAGAAGCATTCTCAGAAACACCTTCGTGATGTTTGCAATCAAGTCACAGAGTTGAACCTTCCGTTTCATAGAGCAGGTTGGAAACACTCTTTTTGTAGTATCTGGAAGTGGACATTTGGAGGGCTTTGTAGCCTATGTGGAAAAAGGAAATATCTTCCCATGAATGCGAGATAGAAGTAATCTCAGAAACATGTTTATGCTGTATCTACTCAACTAACTGTGCTGAACATTTCTATTGATAGAGCAGTTTTGAGACACTCTTCTTTTGGAATCTGCAAGTGGATATTTGGAGAGATTTGAGGATTTCGTTGGAAACGGGATTATATATAAAAAGTAGACAGCAGCATTCTCAGAAACTTCTTTGTGATGTTTGCATCCAGCTCTCAGAGTTGAACATTCCCTTTCATAGAGTAGGTTTGAAACCCTCTTTTTATAGTGTCTGGAAGCGGGCATTTGGAGCGCTTTCAGGCCTATGCTTAAAATAGGAAATATCTACCTACAGAAACTAGACAGAAGCATTCTGAGAATCACGTTTGTGATGTGGGTACTCAACTAACAGTGTTGATCCATTCTTTTGATACAGCAGTTTTGAACCACACTTTTTGTAGAATCTGCAAGAGGATATTTGGATAGCTGTGAGGATTTCGTTGGAAACGGGAATGTCTTCAAAGAAAATCTAGACAGAAGCATTCTCAGAAACACCTTCGTGATGTTTGCAATCAAGTCACAGAGTTGAACCTTCCGTTTCATAGAGCAGGTTGGAAACACTCTTATTGTAGTATCTGGAAGTGGACATTTGGAGCGCTTTCAGGCCTATGGTGAAAAAGGAAATATCTTCCCATAAAAACGACATAGAAACTATCTCAGGAACTTGTTTATGATGCATCTAATCAACTAACAGTGTTGAACCTTTGTACTGACAGAGCAGTTTGAAACACTCTTTTTTTGGAATCTGCAAGTGGATATTTGGATCGCTTTGAGGATTTCGTTGGAAACGGGATGCAATATAAAACGTACACAGCAGCATACTCAGAAAATACTTTGCCATATTTCCATTCAAGTCACAGAGTGGAACATTCCCATTCATAGAGCAGGTTTGAAACACTCTTTTTGGAGTATCTGGAAGTGGACATTTGGAGCGCTTTCTGAACTATGGTGAAAAAGGAAATATCTTCCAATGAAAACAAGACAGAAGCATTCTGAGAAACTTATTTGTGATGTGTGTCCTCAACAAACGGACTTGAACCTTTCGTTTCATGCAGTACTTCTGGAACACTCTTTTTGAAGATTCTGCATGCGGATATTTGGATAGCTTTGAGGATTTCGTTGGAAACGGGCTTACATGTAAAAATTAGACAGCAGAATTCTCAGAAACTTCTTTGTGGTGTCTGCATTCAAGTCACAGAATTGAACTTCCCCTCACATAGAGCAGTTGTGCAGCACTCTATTTGTAGTATCTGGAAGTGGACATTTGGAGGGCTTTGTAGCCTATCTGGAAAAAGGAAATATCTTCCCATGAATGCGAGATAGAAGTAATCTCAGAAACATGTTTATGCTGTATCTACTCAACTAACTGTGCTGAACATTTCTATTGATAGAGCAGTTTTGAGACACTCTTCTTTTGGAATCTGCAAGTGGATATTTGGATAGATTTGAGGATTTCGTTGGAAACGGGATTATATATAAAAAGTAGACAGCAGCATTCTCAGAAACTTCTTTGTGATGTTTGCATCCAGCTCTCAGAGTTGAACATTCCCTTTCATAGAGTAGGTTTGAAACCCTCTTTTTATAGTGTCTGGAAGCGGGCATTTGGAGCGCTTTCAGGCCTATGCTTAAAATAGGAAATATCTACCTACAGAAACTAGACAGAAGCATTCTGAGAATCACGTTTGTGATGTGGGTACTCAACTAACAGTGTTGATCCATTCTTTTGATACAGCAGTTTTGAACCACACTTTTTGTAGAATCTGCAAGAGGATATTTGGATAGCTGTGAGGATTTCGTTGGAAACGGGAATGTCTTCAAAGAAAATCTAGACAGAAGCATTCTCAGAAACACCTTCGTGATGTTTGCAATCAAGTCACAGAGTTGAACCTTCCGTTTCATAGAGCAGGTTGGAAACACTCTTATTGTAGTATCTGGAAGTGGACATTTGGAGCGCTTTCAGGCCTATGGTGAAAAAGGAAATATCTTCCCATAAAAACGACATAGAAGCTATCTCAGGAACTTGTTTATGAGGCATCTAATCAACTAACAGTGTTGAACCTTTGTACTGACAGAGCAGTTTGAAACACTCTTTTTTTGGAATCTGCAAGTGGATATTTGGATCGCTTTGAGGATTTCGTTGGAAACGGGATGCAATATAAAACGTACACAGCAGCATACTCAGAAAATTCTTTGCCATATTTCCATTCAAGTCACAGAGTGGAACATTCCCATTCATAGAGCAGGTTGGAAACACTCTTTTTGGAGTATCTGGAAGTGGACATTTGGAGCGCTTTCTGAACTATGGTGAAAAAGGAAATATCTTCCAATGAAAACAAGACAGAAGCATTCTGAGAAACTTATTTGTGATGTGTGTCCTCAACAAACGGACTTGAACCTTTCGTTTCATGCAGTACTTCTGGAACACTCTTTTTGAAGATTCTGCATGCGGATATTTGGATAGCTTTGAGGATTTCGTTGGAAACGGGCTTACATGTAAAAATTAGACAGCAGCATTCTCAGAAACTTCTTTGTGGTGTCTGCATTCAAGTCACAGAATTGAACATCCCCTCACATAGAGCAGTTGTGCAGCACTCTATTTGTAGTATCTGGAAGTGGACATTTGGAGGGCTTTGTAGCCTATGTGGAAAAAGGAAATATCTTCCCATGAATGCGAGATAGAAAGTAATCTCAGCAAACATGTTTATGCTGTATCTACTCAACTAACTGTGCTGAACATTTCTATTGATAGAGCAGTTTTGAGACACTCTTCTTTTGGAATCTGCAAGTGGATATTTGGATAGATTTGAGGATTTCGTTGGAAACGGGATTATATATCAAAAGTAGACAGCAGCATTCTCAGAAACTTCTTTGTGATGTTTGCATCCAGCTGTCAGAGTTGAGCATTCCCTTTCATAGAGTAGGTTTGAAACCCTCTTTTTATAGTGTCTGGAAGCGGGCATTTGGAGCGCTTTCAGGCCTATGCTTAAAATAGGAAATATCTACCTACAGAAACTAGACAGAAGCATTCTGAGAATCACGTTTGTGATGTGGGTACTCAACTAACAGTGTTGATCCATTCTTTTGATACAGCAGTTTTGAACCACACTTTTTGTAGAATCTGCAAGTGGATATTTGGATAGCTGTGAGGATTTCGTTGGAAACGGGAATGTCTTCATAGAAAATTTAGACAGAAGCATTCTCAGAACCTTGATTGTGATGTGTGTTCTCCACTAACAGAGTTGAACCTTTCTTTTGACAGAACTGTTCTGAAACATTCTTTTTATAGAATCTGGAAGTGGATATTTGGAAAGCTTTGAGGATTTCGTTGGAAACGGGAATATCTTCAAATCAAATCTAGCCAGAAGCATTCTAAGAAACATCTTAGGGATGTTTACATTCAAGTCACAGAGTTGAACATTCCCTTTCACAGAGCAGGTTTGAAACAATCTTCTCGTACTATCTGGCAGTGGACATTTTGAGCTCCTTGGGGCCTATGCTGAAAAAGGAAATATCTTCCGACAAAAACTAGACAGAAGCATTCGCAGAATCACGTTTGTGATGTGTGCACTCAACTGTCAGAATTGAACCTTGGTTTGGACAGAGCACTTTTGAAACACTCTTTTTGTAGAATCTGCAGGTGGATATTTGGCTAGCTTTGAGGATTTCGTTGGAAACGGTAATGTCTTCAAAGAAAATCTAGACAGAAGCATTCTCAGAAACACCTTCGTGATGTTTGCAATCAAGTCACAGAGTTGAACCTTCCGTTTCATAGAGCAGGTTGGAAACACTCTTTTTGTAGTATCTGGAAGTGGACATTTGGAGGGCTTTGTAGCCTATGTGGAAAAAGGAAATATCTTCCCATGAATGCGAGATAGAAGTAATCTCAGAAACATGTTTATGCTGTATCTACTCAACTAACTGTGCTGAACATTTCTATTGATAGAGCAGTTTTGAGACACTCTTCTTTTGGAATCTGCAAGTGGATATTTGGAGAGATTTGAGGATTTCGTTGGAAACGGGATTATATATAAAAAGTAGACAGCAGCATTCTCAGAAACTTCTTTGTGATGTTTGCATCCAGCTCTCAGAGTTGAACATTCCCTTTCATAGAGTAGGTTTGAAACCCTCTTTTTATAGTGTCTGGAAGCGGGCATTTGGAGCGCTTTCAGGCCTATGCTTAAAATAGGAAATATCTACCTACAGAAACTAGACAGAAGCATTCTGAGAATCTCGTTTGTGATGTGGGTACTCAACTAACAGTGTTGATCCATTCTTTTGATACAGCAGTTTTGAACCACACTTTTTGTAGAATCTGCAAGAGGATATTTGGATAGCTGTGAGGATTTCGTTGGAAACGGGAATGTCTTCAAAGAAAATCTAGACAGAAGCATTCTCAGAAATACCTTCGTGATGTTTGCAATCAAGTCACAGAGTTGAACCTTCCGTTTCATAGAGCAGGTTGGAAACACTCTTATTGTAGTATCTGGAAGTGGACATTTGGAGCGCTTTCAGGCCTATGGTGAAAAAGGAAATATCTTCCCATAAAAACGATATAGAAGCTATCTCAGGAACTTGTTTATGATGCATCTAATCAACTAACAGTGTTGAACCTTTGTACTGACAGAGCAGTTTGAAACACTCTTTTTTTGGAATCTGCAAGTGGATATTTGGATCGCTTTGAGGATTTCGTTGGAAACGGGATGCAATATAAAACGTACACAGCAGCATACTCAGAAAATACTTTGCCATATTTCCATTCAAGTCACAGAGTGGAACATTCCCATTCATAGAGCAGGTTGGAAACACTCTTTTTGGAGTATCTGGAAGTGGACATTTGGAGCGCTTTCTGAACTATGGTGAAAAAGGAAATATCTTCCAATGAAAACAAGACAGAAGCATTCTGAGAAACTTATTTGTGATGTGTGTCCTCAACAAACGGACTTGAACCTTTCGTTTCATGCAGTACTTCTGGAACACTCTTTTTGAAGATTCTGCATGCGGATATTTGGATAGCTTTGAGGATTTCGTTGGAAACGGGCTTACATGTAAAAATTAGACAGCAGCATTCTCAGAAACTTCTTTGTGGTGTCTGCATTCAAGTCACAGAATTGAACATCCCCTCACATAGAGCAGTTGTGCAGCACTCTATTTGTAGTATCTGGAAGTGGACATTTGGAGGGCTTTGTAGCCTATCTGGAAAAAGGAAATATCTTCCCATGAATGCGAGATAGAAGTAATCTCAGAAACATGTTTATGCTGTATCTACTCAACTAACTGTGCTGAACATTTCTATTGATAGAGCAGTTTTCAGACACTCTTCTTTTGGAATCTGCAAGTGGATATTTGGATAGATTTGAGGATTTCGTTGGAAACGGGATTATATATAAAAAGTAGACAGCAGCATTCTCAGAAACTTCTTTGTGATGTTTGCATCCAGCTCTCAGAGTTGAACATTCCCTTTCATAGAGTAGGTTTGAAACCCTCTTTTTATAGTGTCTGGAAGCGGGCATTTGGAGCGCTTTCAGGCCTATGCTGAAAAAGGAAATATCTACCTATAGAAACTAGACAGAAGCATTCTGAGAATCACGTTTGTGATGTGGGTACTCAACTAACAGTGTTGATCCATTCTTTTGATACAGCAGTTTTGAACCACACTTTTTGTAGAATCTGCAAGTGGATATTTGGATAGCTGTGAGGATTTCGTTGGAAACGGGAATGTCTTCATAGAAAATTTAGAGAGAAGCATTCTCAGAACCTTGATTGTGATGTGTGTTCTCCACTAACAGAGTTGAACCTTTCTTTTGACAGAACTGTTCTGAAACATTCTTTTTATAGAATCTGGAAGTGGATATTTGGAAAGCTTTGAGGATTTCGTTGGAAACGGGAATATCTTCAAATAAAATCTAGCCAGAAGCATTCTAAGAAACATCTTAGGGATGTTTACATTCAAGTCACAGAGTTGAACATTCCCTTTCACAGAGCAGGTTTGAAACAATCTTCTCGTACTATCTGGCAGTGGACATTTTGAGCTCTTTGGGGCCTATGCTGAAAAAGGAAATATCTTCCGACAAAAACTAGACAGAAGCATTCGCAGAATCACGTTTGTGATGTGTGCACTCAACTGTCAGAATTGAACCTTGGTTTGGAGAGAGCACTTTTGAAACACTCTTTTTGTAGAATCTGCAGGTGGATATTTGGCTAGCTTTGAGGATTTCGTTGGAAACGGTAATGTCTTCAAAGAAAATCTAGACAGAAGCATTCTCAGAAACACCTTCGTGATGTTTGCAATCAAGTCACAGAGTTGAACCTTCCGTTTCATAGAGCAGGTTGGAAACACTCTTTTTGTAGTATCTGGAAGTGGACATTTGGAGGGCTTTGTAGCCTATCTGGAAAAAGGAAATATCTTCCCATGAATGCGAGATAGAAGTAATCTCAGAAACATGTTTATGCTGTATCTACTCAACTAACTGTGCTGAACATTTCTATTGATAGAGCAGTTTTCAGACACTCTTCTTTTGGAATCTGCAAGTGGATATTTGGATAGATTTGAGGATTTCGTTGGAAACGGGATTATATATAAAAAGTAGACAGCAGCATTCTCAGAAACTTCTTTGTGATGTTTGCATCCAGCTCTCAGAGTTGAACATTCCCTTTCATAGAGTAGGTTTGAAACCCTCTTTTTATAGTGTCTGGAAGCGGGCATTTGGAGCGCTTTCAGGCCTATGCTGAAAAAGGAAATATCTACCTATAGAAACTAGACAGAAGCATTCTGAGAATCACGTTTGTGATGTGGGTACTCAACTAACAGTGTTGATCCATTCTTTTGATACAGCAGTTTTGAACCACACTTTTTGTAGAATCTGCAAGTGGATATTTGGATAGCTGTGAGGATTTCGTTGGAAACGGGAATGTCTTCATAGAAAATTTAGACAGAAGCATTCTCAGAACCTTGATTGTGATGTGTGTTCTCCACTAACAGAGTTGAACCTTTCTTTTGACAGAACTGTTCTGAAACATTCTTTTTATAGAATCTGGAAGTGGATATTTGGAAAGCTTTGAGGATTTCGTTGGAAACGGGAATATCTTCAAATCAAATCTAGCCAGAAGCATTCTAAGAAACATCTTAGGGATGTTTACATTCAAGTCACAGAGTTGAACATTCCCTTTCACAGAGCAGGTTTGAAACAATCTTCTCGTACTATCTGGCAGTGGACATTTTGAGCTCCTTGGGACCTATGCTGAAAAAGGAAATATCTTCCGACAAAAACTAGACAGAAGCATTCGCAGTAATCACGTTTGTGATGTGTGCACTCAACTGTCAGAATTGAACCTTGGTTTGGACAGAGCACTTTTGAAACACTCTTTTTGTAGAATCTGCAGGTGGATATTTAGCTAGCTTTGAGGATTTCGTTGGAAACGGTAATGTCTTCAAAGAAAATCTAGACAGAAGCATTCTCAGAAACACCTTCGTGATGTTTGCAATCAAGTCACAGAGTTGAACCTTCCGTTTCATAGAGCAGGTTGGAAACACTCTTTTTGTAGTATCTGGAAGTGGACATTTGGAGGGCTTTGTAGCCTATCTGGAAAAAGGAAATATCTTCCCATGAATGCGAGATAGAAGTAATCTCAGAAACATGTTTATGCTGTATCTACTCAACTAACTGTGCTGAACATTTCTATTTATAGAGCAGTTTTGAGACACTCTTCTTTTGGAATCTGCAAGTGGATATTTGGATAGATTTGAGGATTTCGTTGGAAACGGGATTATATATAAAAAGTAGACAGCAGCATTCTCAGAAACTTCTTTGTGATGTTTGCATCCAGCTCTCAGAGTTGAACATTCCCTTTCATAGAGTAGGTTTGAAACCCTCTTTTTATAGTGTCTGGAAGCGGGCATTTGGAGCGCTTTCAGGCCTATGCTTAAAATAGGAAATATCTACCTACAGAAACTAGACAGAAGCCTTCTGAGAATCACGTTTGTGATGTGGGTACTCAACTAACAGTGTTGATCCATTCTTTTGATACAGCAGTTTTGAACCACACTTTTTGTAGAATCTGCAAGAGGATATTTGGATAGCTGTGAGGATTTCGTTGGAAACGGGAATGTCTTCAAAGAAAATCTAGACAGAAGCATTCTCAGAAACACCTTCGTGATGTTTGCAATCAAGTCACAGAGTTGAACCTTCCGTTTCATAGAGCAGGTTGGAAACACTCTTTTTGTAGTATCTGGAAGTGGACATTTGGAGGGCTTTGTAGCCTATCTGGAAAAAGGAAATATCTTCCCATGAATGCGAGATAGAAGTAATCTCAGAAACATGTTTATGCTGTATCTACTCAACTAACTGTGCTGAACATTTCTATTGATAGAGCAGTTTTGAGACACTCTTCTTTTGGAATCTGCAAGTGGATATTTGGATAGATTTGAGGATTTCGTTGGAAACGGGATTATATATCAAAAGTAGACAGCAGCATTCTCAGAAACTTCTTTGTGATGTTTGCATCCAGCTCTCAGAGTTGAACATTCCCTTTCATAGAGTAGGTTTGAAACCCTCTTTTTATAGTGTCTGGAAGCGGGCATTTGGAGCGCTTTCAGGCCTATGCTGAAAAAGGAAATATCTACCTATAGAAACTAGACAGAAGCATTCTGAGAATCACGTTTGTGATGTGGGTACTCAACTAACAGTGTTGATCCATTCTTTTGATACAGCAGTTTTGAACCACACTTTTTGTAGAATCTGCAAGTGGATATTTGGATAGCTGTGAGGATTTCGTTGGAAACGGGAATGTCTTCATAGAAAATTTAGACAGAAGCATTCTCAGAACCTTGATTGTGATGTGTGTTCTCCACTAACAGAGTTGTACCTTTCTTTTGACAGAACTGTTCTGAAACATTCTTTTTATAGAATCTGGAAGTGGATATTTGGAAAGCTTTGAGGATTTCGTTGGAAACGGGAATATCTTCAAATCAAATCTAGCCAGAAGCATTCTAAGCAAACATCTTAGGGATGTTTACATTCAAGTCACAGAGTTGAACATTCCCTTTCACAGAGCAGGTTTGAAACAATCTTCTCGTACTATCTGGCAGTGGACATTTTGAGCTCCTTGGGGCCTATGCTGAAAAAGGAAATATCTTCCGACAAAAACTAGACAGAAGCATTCGCAGAATCACGTTTGTGATGTGTGCACTCAACTGTCAGAATTGAACCTTGGTTTGGACAGAGCACTTTTGAAACACTCTTTTTGTAGAATCTGCAGGTGGATATTTGGCTAGCTTTGAGGATTTCGTTGGAAACGGTAATGTCTTCAAAGAAAATCTAGACAGAAGCATTCTCAGAAACACCTTCGTGATGTTTGCAATCAAGTCACAGAGTTGAACCTTCCGTTTCATAGAGCAGGTTGGAAACACTCTTTTTGTAGTATCTGGAAGTGGACATTTGGAGGGCTTTGTAGCCTATCTGGAAAAAGGAAATATCTTCCCATGAATGCGAGATAGAAGTAATCTCAGAAACATGTTTATGCTGTATCTACTCAACTAACTGTGCTGAACATTTCTATTGATAGAGCAGTTTTGAGACACTCTTCTTTTGGAATCTGCAAGTGGATATTTGGATAGATTTGAGGATTTCGTTGGAAACGGGATTATATATAAAAAGTAGACAGCAGCATTCTCAGAAACTTCTTTGTGATGTTTGCATCCAGCTCTCAGAGTTGAACATTCCCTTTCATAGAGTAGGTTTGAAACCCTCTTTTTATAGTGTCTGGAAGCGGGCATTTGGAGCGCTTTCAGGCCTATGCTGAAAAAGGAAATATCTACCTATAGAAACTAGACAGAAGCATTCTGAGAATCACGTTTGTGATGTGGGTACTCAACTAACAGTGTTGATCCATTCTTTTGATACAGCAGTTTTGAACCACACTTTTTGTAGAATCTGCAAGTGGATATTTGGATAGCTGTGAGGATTTCGTTGGAAACGGGAATGTCTTCATAGAAAATTTAGACAGAAGCATTCTCAGAACCTTGATTGTGATGTGTGTTCTCCACTAACAGAGTTGAACCTTTCTTTTGACAGAACTGTTCTGAAACATTCTTTTTATAGAATCTGGAAGTGGATATTTGGAAAGCTTTGAGGATTTCGTTGGAAACGGGAATATCTTCAAATCAAATCTAGCCAGAAGCATTCTAAGAAACATCTTAGGGATGTTTACATTCAAGTCACAGAGTTGAACATTCCCTTTCACAGAGCAGGTTTGAAACAATCTTCTCGTACTATCTGGCAGTGGACATTTTGAGCTCCTTGGGGCCTATGCTGAAAAAGGAAATATCTTCCGACAAAAACTAGACAGAAGCATTCGCAGAATCACGTTTGTGATGTGTGCACTCAACTGTCAGAATTGAACCTTGGTTTGGACAGAGCACTTTTGAAACACTCTTTTTGTAGAATCTGCAGGTGGATATTTGGCTAGCTTTGAGGATTTCGTTGGAAACGGTAATGTCTTCAAAGAAAATCTAGACAGAAGCATTCTCAGAAACACCTTCGTGATGTTTGCAATCAAGTCACAGAGTTGAACCTTCCGTTTCATAGAGCAGGTTGGAAACACTCTTTTTGTAGTATCTGGAAGTGGACATTTGGAGGGCTTTGTAGCCTATCTGGAAAAAGGAAATATCTTCCCATGAATGCGAGATAGAAGTAATCTCAGAAACATGTTTATGCTGTATCTACTCAACTAACTGTGCTGAACATTTCTATTGATAGAGCAGTTTTGAGACACTCTTCTTTTGGAATCTGCAAGTGGATATTTGGATAGATTTGAGGATTTCGTTGGAAACGGGATTATATATAAAAAGTAGACAGCAGCATTCTCAGAAACTTCTTTGTGATGTTTGCATCCAGCTCTCAGAGTTGAACATTCCCTTTCATAGAGTAGGTTTGAAACCCTCTTTTTATAGTGTCTGGAAGCGGGCATTTGGAGCGCTTTCAGGCCTATGCTTAAAATAGGAAATATCTACCTACAGAAACTAGACAGAAGCATTCTGAGAATCACGTTTGTGATGTGGGTACTCAACTAACAGTGTTGATCCATTCTTTTGATACAGCAGTTTTGAACCACACTTTTTGTAGAATCTGCAAGAGGATATTTGGATAGCTGTGAGGATTTCGTTGGAAACGGGAATGTCTTCAAAGAAAATCTAGACAGAAGCATTCTCAGAAACACCTTCGTGATGTTTGCAATCAAGTCACAGAGTTGAACCTTCCGTTTCATAGAGCAGGTTGGAAACACTCTTATTGTAGTATCTGGAAGTGGACATTTGGAGCGCTTTCAGGCCTATGGTGAAAAAGGAAATATCTTCCCATAAAAACGACATAGAAGCTATCTCAGGAACTTGTTTATGATGCATCTAATCAACTAACAGTGTTGAACCTTTGTACTGACAGAGCAGTTTGAAACACTCTTTTTTTGGAATCTGCAAGTGGATATTTGGATCGCTTTGAGGATTTCGTTGGAAACGGGATGCAATATAAAACGTACACAGCAGCATACTCAGAAAATACTTTGCCATATTTCCATTCAAGTCACAGAGTGGAACATTCCCATTCATAGAGCAGGTTTGAAACACTCTTTTTGGAGTATCTGGAAGTGGACATTTGGAGCGCTTTCTGAACTATGGTGAAAAAGGAAATATCTTCCAATGAAAACAAGACAGAAGCATTCTGAGAAACTTATTTGTGATGTGTGTCCTCAACAAACGGACTTGAACCTTTCGTTTCATGCAGTACTTCTGGAACACTCTTTTTGAAGATTCTGCATGCGGATATTTGGATAGCTTTGAGGATTTCGTTGGAAACGGGCTTACATGGAAAAATTAGACAGCAGCATTCTCAGAAACTTCTTTGTGGTGTCTGCATTCAAGTCACAGAATTGAACATCCCCTCACATAGAGCAGTTGTGCAGCACTCTATTTGTAGTATCTCGATGTGGACATTTGGAGGGCTTTGTAGCCTATCTGGAAAAAGGAAATATCTTCCCATGAATGCGAGATAGAAGTAATCTCAGAAACATGTTTATGCTGTATCTACTCAACTAACTGTGCTGAAGATTTCTATTGATAGAGCAGTTTTGAGACACTCTTCTTTTGGAATCTGCAAGTGGATATTTGGATAGATTTGAGGATTTCGTTGGAAACGGGATTATATATGAAAAGTAGACAGCAGCATTCTCAGAAACTTCTTTGTGATGTTTGCATCCAGCTCTCAGAGTTGAACATTCCCTTTCATAGAGTAGGTTTGAAACCCTCTTTTTATAGTGTCTGGAAGCGGGCATTTGGAGCGCTTTCAGGCCTATGCTTAAAATAGGAAATATCTACCTACAGAAACTAGACAGAAGCATTCTGAGAATCACGTTTGTGATGTGGGTACTCAACTAACAGTGTTGATCCATTCTTTTGATACAGCAGTTTTGAACCACACTTTTTGTAGAATCTGCAAGAGGATATTTGGATAGCTGTGAGGATTTCGTTGGAAACGGGAATGTCTTCAAAGAAAATCTAGACAGAAGCATTCTCAGAAACACCTTCGTGATGTTTGCAATCAAGTCACAGAGTTGAACCTTCCGTTTCATAGAGCAGGTTGGAAACACTCTTATTGTAGTATCTGGAAGTGGACATTTGGAGCGCTTTCAGTCCTATTGTGAAAAAGGAAATATCTTCCCATAAAAACGACATAGAAGCTATCTCAGGAACTTGTTTATGATGCATCTAATCAACTAACAGTGTTGAACCTTTGTACTGACAGAGCAGTTTGAAACACTCTTTTTTTGGAATCTGCAAGTGGATATTTGGATCGCTTTGAGGATTTCGTTGGAAACGGGATGCAATATAAAACGTACACAGCAGCATACTCAGAAAATACTTTGCCATATTTCCATTCAAGTCACAGAGTGGAACATTCCCATTCATAGAGCAGGTTTGAAACACTCTTTTTGGAGTATCTGGAAGTGGACATTTGGAGCGCTTTCTGAACTATGGTGAAAAAGGAAATATCTTCCAATGAAAACAAGACAGAAGCATTCTGAGAAACTTATTTGTGATGTGTGTCCTCAACAAACGGACTTGAACCTTTCGTTTCATGCAGTACTTCTGGAACACTCTTTTTGAAGATTCTGCATGCGGATATTTGGATAGCTTTGAGGATTTCGTTGGAAACGGGCTTACATGTAAAAATTAGACAGCAGCATTCTCAGAAACTTCTTTGTGGTGTCTGCATTCAAGTCACAGAATTGAACTTCCCCTCACATAGAGCAGTTGTGCAGCACTCTATTTGTAGTATCTGGAAGTGGACATTTGGAGGGCTTTGTAGCCTATCTGGAAAAGGAAATATCTTCCCATGAATGCGAGATAGAAGTAATCTCAGAAACATGTTTATGCTGTATCTACTCAACTAACTGTGCTGAACATTTCTATTGATAGAGCAGTTTTGAGACCCTCTTCTTTTGGAATCTGCAAGTGGATATTTGGATAGATTTGAGGATTTCGTTGGAAACGGGATTATATATAAAAAGTAGACAGCAGCATTCTCAGAAACTTCTTTGTGATGTTTGCATCCAGCTCTCAGAGTTGAACATTCCCTTTCATAGAGTAGGTTTGAAACCCTCTTTTTATAGTGTCTGGAAGCGGGCATTTGGAGCGCTTTCAGGCCTATGCTGAAAAAGGAAATATCTACCTATAGAAACTAGACAGAAGCATTCTGAGAATCAAGTTTGTGATGTGGGTACTCAACTAACAGTGTTGATCCATTCTTTTGATACAGCAGTTTTGAACCACACTTTTTGTAGAATCTGCAAGTGGATATTTGGATAGCTGTGAGGATTTCGTTGGAAACGGGAATGTCTTCATAGAAAATTTAGACAGAAGCATTCTCAGAACCTTGATTGTGATGTGTGTTCTCCACTAACAGAGTTGAACCTTTCTTTTGACAGAACTGTTCTGAAACATTCTTTTTATAGAATCTGGAAGTGGATATTTGGAAAGCTTTGAGGATTTCGTTGGAAACGGGAATATCTTCAAATAAAATCTAGCCAGAAGCATTCTAAGAAACATCTTAGGGATGTTTACATTCAAGTCACAGAGTTGAACATTCCCTTTCACAGAGCAGGTTTGAAACAATCTTCTCGTACTATCTGGCAGTGGACATTTTGAGCTCTTTGGGGCCTATGCTGAAAAAGGAAATATCTTCCGACAAAAACTAGTCAGAAGCATTCGCAGAATCACGTTTGTGATGTGTGCACTCAACTGTCAGAATTGAACCTTGGTTTGGAGAGAGCACTTTTGAAACACACTTTTTGTAGAATCTGCAGGTGGATATTTGGCTAGCTTTGAGGATTTCGTTGGAAACGGTAATGTCTTCAAAGAAAATACTAGACAGAAACATCCTCAGAAACACCTTCGTGATGTTTGCAATCAAGTCACAGAGTTGAACCTTCCGTTTCATAGAGCAGGTTGGAAACACTCATTTTGTAGTATCTGGAAGTGGACATTTGGAGCGCTTTCAGGCCTATGGTGTAAAAGGAAATATCTTCCCATAAAAGCGACATAGAAGCTATCTCAGGAACTTGTTTATGATGCATCTAATCAACTAACAGTGTTGAACCTTTGTACTGACAGAGCAGTTTGAAACACTCTTTTTTTGGAATCTGCAAGTGGATATTTGGATCGCTTTGAGGATTTCGTTGGAAACGGGATGAATATCAAACGTACACAGCAGCTTACTCAGAAAATACTTTGCCATATTTCCATTCAAGTCACAGAGTGGAACATTCCCATTCATAGAGCAGGTTGGAAACACTCTTTTTGGAGTATCTGGAAGTGGACATTTGGAGCGCTTTCTGAACTATGGTGAAAAAGGAAATATCTTCCAATGAAAACAAGACAGAAGCATTCTGAGAAACTTATTTGTGATGTGTGTCCTCAACAAACGGACTTGAACCTTTCGTTTCATGCAGTACTTCTGGAACACTCTTTTTGAAGATTCTGCATGCGGATATTTGGATAGCTTTGAGGATTTCGTTGGAAACGGGCTTACATGTAAAAATTAGACAGCAGCATTCTCAGAAACTTCTTTGTGGTGTCTGCATTCAAGTCACAGAATTGAACTTCCCCTCACATAGAGCAGTTGTGCAGCACTCTATTTGTAGTATCTCGAAGTGGACATTTGGAGGGCTTTGTAGCCTATCTGGAAAAAGGAAATATCTTCCCATGAATGCGAGATAGAAGTAATCTCAGAAACATGTTTATGCTGTATCTACTCAACTAACTGTGCTGAACATTTCTATTGATAGAGCAGTTTTGAGACACTCTTCTTTTGGAATCTGCAAGTGGATATTTGGATAGATTTGAGGATTTCGTTGGAAACGGGATTATATATAAAAAGTAGACAGCAGCATTCTCAGAAACTTCTTTGTGATGTTTGCATCCAGCTCTCAGAGTTGAACATTCCCTTTCATAGAGTAGGTTTGAAACCCTCTTTTTATAGTGTCTGGAAGCGGGCATTTGGAGCGCTTTCAGGCCTATGCTGAAAAAGGAAATATCTACCTATAGAAACTAGACAGAAAGCATTCTGAGAATCACGTTTGTGATGTGGGTACTCAACTAACAGTGTTGATCCATTCTTTTGATACAGCAGTTTTGAACCACCCTTTTTGTAGAATCTGCAAGTGGATATTTGGATAGCTGTGAGGATTTCGTTGGAAACGGGAATGTCTTCATAGAAAATTTAGACAGAGCATTCTCAGAACCTTGATTGTGATGTGTGTTCTCCACTAACAGAGTTGAACCTTTCTTTTGACAGAACTGTTCTGAAACATTCTTTTTATAGAATCTGGAAGTGGATATTTGGAAAGCTTTGAGGATTTCGTTGGAAACGGGAATATCTTCAAATAAAATCTAGCCAGAAGCATTCTAAGAAACATCTTAGGGATGTTTACATTCAAGTCACAGAGTTGAACATTCCCTTTCACAGAGCAGGTTTGAAACAATCTTCTCGTACTATCTGGCAGTGGACATTTTGAGCTCCTTGGGGCCTATGCTGAAAAAGGAAATATCTTCCGACAAAAACTAGACAGAAGCATTCGCAGAATCACGTTTGTGATGTGTGCACTCAACTGTCAGAATTGAACCTTGGTTTGGACAGAGCACTTTTGAAACACTCTTTTTGTAGAATCTGCAGGTGGATATTTGGCTAGCTTTGAGGATTTCGTTGGAAACGGTAATGTCTTCAAAGAAAATCTAGACAGAAGCATTCTCAGAAACACCTTCGTGATGTTTGCAATCAAGTCACAGAGTTGAACCTTCCGTTTCATAGAGCAGGTTGGAAACACTCTTTTTGTAGTATCTGGAAGTGGACATTTGGAGGGCTTTGTAGCCTATGTGGAAAAAGGAAATATCTTCCCATGAATGCGAGATAGAAGTAATCTCAGAAACATGTTTATGCTGTATCTACTCAACTAACTGTGCTGAACATTTCTATTGATAGAGCAGTTTTGAGACACTCTTCTTTTGGAATCTGCAAGTGGATATTTGGATAGATTTGAGGATTTCGTTGGAAACGGGATTATATATAAAAAGTAGACTGCCGCATTCTCAGAAACTTCTTTGTGATGTTTGCATCCAGCTCTCAGAGTTGAACATTCCCTTTCGTAGAGTAGGTTTGAAACCCTCTTTTTATAGTGTCTGGAAGCGGGCATTTGGAGCGCTTTCAGGCCTATGCTGAAAAAGGAAATATCTACCTATAGAAACTAGACAGAAGCATTCTGAGAATCACGTTTGTGATGTGGGTACTCAACTAACAGTGTTGATCCATTCTTTTGATACAGCAGTTTTGAACCACACTTTTTGTAGAATCTGCAAGTGGATATTTGGATAGCTGTGAGGATTTCCTTGGAAACGGGAATGCCTTCATAGAAAATTTAGACAGAAGCATTCTCAGAACCTTGATTGTGATGTGTGTTCTCCACTAACAGTGTTGAACCTTTCTTTTGACAGAACTGTTCTGAAACATTCTTTTTATAGAATCTGCAAGTGGATATTTGGATCGCTTTGAGTATTTCGTTGGAAACGGGATGCAATATAAAACGTACACAGCAGAATCCTCAGAAAATACTTTGCCATATTTCCATTCAAGTCACAGAGTGGAACATTCCCATTCATAGAGCAGGTTGGAAACACTCTTTTTGGAGTATCTGGAAGTGGACATTTGGAGCGCTTTCTGAACTATGGTGAAAAAGGAAATATCTTCCAATGAAAACAAGACAGAAGCATTCTGAGAAAATTGTTTGTGATGTTTTTCCTCAACTAACGGACTTGAACCTTTCGTTTCATACAGTACTTCTGGAACACTCTTTTTGAAGATTCTGCATGCGGATATTTGGATAGCTTTGAGGATTTCGTTGGAAACGGGCTTACATATAAAAATTAGACAGCAGCATTCTCAGAAACTTCTCTGTGGTGTCTGCATCCAAGTCACAGAATTGAACATCCCCTCACATAGAGCAGTTGTGCAGCACTCTATTTGTAGTATCTCGAATTGGACATTTGGAGGGCTTTGTAGCCTATCTGGAAAAAGGAAATATCTTCCCATGAATGCGAGATAGAAGTAATCTCAGAAACATGTTTATGCTGTATCTACTCAACTAACTGTGCTCAACATTTCTATTGATAGAGCAGTTTTGAGACACTCTTCTTTTGGAATCTGCAAGTGGATATTTGGATAGATTTGAGGATTTCGTTGGCAACGGGATTATATATAAATAGTAGACAGCCGCATTCTCAGAAACTTCTTTGTGATGTTTGCATCCAGCTCTCAGAGTTGAACATTCCCTTTCGTAGAGTAGGTTTGAAACCCTCTTTTTATAGTGTCTGGAAGCGGGCATTTGGAGCGCTTTCAGGCCTATGCTGAAAAAGGAAATATCTACCTATAGAAACTAGACAGAAGCATTCTGAGAATCACGTTTGTGATGTGGGTACTCAACTAACAGTGTTGATCCATTCTTTTGATACAGCAGTTTTGAACCACACTTTTTGTAGAATCTGCAAGTGGATATTTGGATAGCTGTGAGGATTTCCTTGGAAACGGGAATGTCTTCATAGAAAATTTAGACAGAAGCATTCTCAGAACCTTGATTGTGATGTGTGTTCTCCACTAACAGGGTTGAACCTTTCTTTTGACAGAACTGTTCTGAAACATTCTTTGTATAGAATCTGGAAGTGGATATTTGGAAAGCTTTGAGGATTTCGTTTGAAACGGGAATATCTTCAAATCAAATCTAGCCAGAAGCATTCTAAGAAACATCTTAGGGATGTTTACATTCAAGTCACAGAGTTGAACATTCCCTTTCACAGAGCAGGTTTGAAACAATCTTCTCGTAGTATCTGGAAGTGGACATTTTGAGCTCCTTGGGGCCTATGCTGAAAAAGGAAATATCTTCCGACAAAAACTAGACAGAAGCATTCGCAGAATCACGTTTGTGATGTGTGCACTCAACTGTCGGAATTGAACCTTTGTTTGGACAGAGCACTTTTGAAACACTCTTTTTGTAGAATCTGCAGGTGGATATTTGACTAGCTTTGAGGATTTCGTTGGAAACGGTAATGTCTTCAAAGAAAATCTAGACAGAAACATTCTCAGAAACACCTTCGTGATGTTTGCAATCAAGTCACAGAGTTGAACCTTCCGTTTCATAGAGCAGATTGGAAACACTCTTTTTGTAATATCTGGAAGTGGACATTTGGAGCGCTTTCAGTCCTATGGTGAAGAAGGAAATATCTTCCCATAAAAACGACATAGAAGCTATCTCAGGAACTTGTTTATGATGCATCCAATCAACTAACAGTGTTGAACTTTTGTACTGACAGAGCAGTGTGAAACACTCTTTTTTTTGGAATCTGCAAGTGGATATTTGGATCGCTTTGAGGATTTCGTTGGAAACGGGATGCAATATAAATCGTACACAGCAGCATACTCAGAAAATACTTTGCCATATTTCCATTCAAGTCACAGAGTGGAACATTCCCATTCATAGAGCAGGTTGGAAACACTCTTTTTGGAGTATCTGGAAGTGGACATTTGGAGCGCTTTCTGAACTATGGTGAAAAAGGAAATATCTTCCAATGAAAACAAGACAGAAGCATTCTGAGAAACTTATTTGTGATGTGTGTCCTCAACAAACGGACTTGAACCTTTCGTTTCATGCAGTACTTCTGGAACACTCTTTTTGAAGATTCTGCATGCGGATATTTGGATAGCTTTGAGGATTTCGTTGGAAACGGGCTTACATGTAAAAATTAGACAGCAGCATTCTCAGAAACTACTTTGTGGTGTCTGCATTCAAGTCACAGAATTGAACTTCCCCTCACATAGAGCAGTTGTGCAGCACTCTATTTGTAGTATCTCGAAGTGGACATTTGGAGGGCTTTGTAGCCTATCTGGAAAAAGGAAATATCTTCCCATGAATGCGAGATAGAAGTAATCTCAGAAACATGTTTATGCTGTATCTACTCAACTAACTGTGCTGAACATTTCTATTGATAGAGCAGTTTTGAGACACTCTTCTTTTGGAATCTGCAAGTGGATATTTGGATAGATTTGAGGATTTCGTTGGAAACGGGATTATATATAAAAAGTAGACAGCAGCATTCTCAGAAACTTCTTTGTGATGTTTGCATCCAGCTCTCAGAGTTGAACATTCCCTTTCATAGAGTAGGTTTGAAACCCTCTTTTTATAGTGTCTGGAAGCGGGCATTTGGAGCGCTTTCAGGCCTATGCTTAAAATAGGAAATATCTACCTATAGAAACTAGACAGAAGCATTCTGAGAATCACGTTTGTGATGTGGGTACTCAACTAACAGTGTTGATCCATTCTTTTGATACAGCAGTTTTGAACCACACTTTTTGTAGAATCTGCAAGTGGATATTTGGATAGCTGTGAGGATTTTGTTGGAAACGGGAATGTCTTCATAGAAAATTTAGACAGAAGCATTCTCAGAACCTTGATTGTGATGTGTGTTCTCCACTAACAGAGTTGAACCTTTCTTTTGACAGAACTGTTCTGAAACATTCTTTTTATAGAATCTGGAAGTGGATATTTGGAAAGCTTTGAGGATTTCGTTGGAAACGGGAATATCTTCAAATAAAATCTAGCCAGAAGCATTCTAAGAAACATCTTAGGGATGTTTACATTCAAGTCACAGAGTTGAACATTCCCTTTCACAGAGCAGGTTTGAAACAATCTTCTCGTACTATCTGGCAGTGGACATTTTGAGCTCCTTGGGGCCTATGCTGAAAAAGGAAATATCTTCCGACAAAAACTAGACAGAAGCATTCGCAGAATCACGTTTGTGATGTGTGCACTCAACTGTCAGAATTGAACCTTGGTTTGGACAGAGCACTTTTGAAACACTCTTTTTGTAGAATCTGCAGGTGGATATTTGGCTAGCTTTGAGGATTTCGTTGGAAACGGTAATGTCTTCAAAGAAAATCTAGACAGAAGCATTCTCAGAAACACCTTCGTGATGTTTGCAATCAAGTCACAGAGTTGAACCTTCCGTTTCATAGAGCAGGTTGGAAACACTCTTTTTGTAGTATCTGGAAGTGGACATTTGGAGGGCTTTGTAGCCTATCTGGAAAAAGGAAATATCTTCCCATGAATGCGAGATAGAAGTAATCTCAGAAACATGTTTATGCTGTATCTACTCAACTAACTGTGCTGAACATTTCTATTGATAGAGCAGTTTTGAGACACTCTTCTTTTGGAATCTGCAAGTGGATATTTGGATAGATTTGAGGATTTCGTTGGAAACGGGATTATATATAAAAAGTAGACAGCAAGCATTCTCAGAAACTTCTTTGTGATGTTTGCATCCAGCTCTCAGAGTTGAACATTCCCTTTCATAGAGTAGGTTTGAAACCTTCTTTTTATAGTGTCTGGAAGCGGGCATTTGGAGCGCTTTCAGGCCTATGCTGAAAAAGGAAATATCTACCTATAGAAACTAGACAGAAGCATTCTGAGAATCACGTTTGTGATGTGGGTACTCAACTAACAGTGTTGATCCATTCTTTTGATACAGCAGTTTTGAACCACACTTTTTGTAGAATCTGCAAGTAGATATTTGGATAGCTGTGAAGATTTCGTTGGAAACGGGAATGTCTTCATAGAAAATTTAGACAGAAGCATTCTCAGAACCTTGATTGTGATGTGTGTTCTCCACTAACAGAGTTGAACCTTTCTTTTGACAGAACTGTTCTGAAACATTCTTTTTATAGAATCTGGAAGTGGATATTTGGAAAGCTTTGAGGATTTCGTTGGAAACGGGAATATCTTCAAATAAAATCTAGCCAGAAGCATTCTAAGAAACATCTCAGGGATGTTTACATTCAAGTCACAGAGTTGAACATTCCCTTTCACAGAGCAGGTTTGAAACAATCTTCTCGTACTATCTGGCAGTGGACATTTTGAGCTCTTTGGGGCCTATGCTGAAAAAGGAAATATCTTCCGACAAAAACTAGACAGAAGCATTCGCAGAATCACGTTTGTGATGTGTGCACTCAACTCTCAGAATTGAACCTTGGTTTGGACAGAGCACTTTTGAAACACTCTTTTTGTAGAATCTGCAGGTGGATATTTGGCTAGCTTTGAGGATTTCGTTGGAAACGGTAATGTCTTCAAAGAAAATCTAGACAGAAGCATTCTCAGAAACACCTTCGTGATGTTTGCAATCAAGTCACAGAGTTGAACCTTCCGTTTCATAGAGCAGGTTGGAAACACTCTTTTTGTAGTATCTGGAAGTGGACATTGGGAGGGCTTTGTAGCCTTTCTGGAAAAAGGAAATATCTTCCCATGAATACGAGATAGAAGCTATCTCAGGAACTTGTTTATGATGCATCTAATCAACTAACAGTGTTGAACCTTTGTACTGACAGAGCACTTTGAAACACTCTTTTTTTGGAATCTGCAAGTGGATATTTGGATCGCTTTGAGGATTTCGTTGGAAACGGGATGCAATATAAAACGTACACAGCAGCATACTCAGAAAATACTTTGCCATGTTTCCATTCAAGTCACAGAGTGGAACATTCCCATTCATAGAGCAGGTTGGAAACACTCTTTTTGGAGTATCTGGAAGTGGACATTTGGAGCGCTTTCTGAACTATGGTGAAAAAGGAAATATCTTCCAATGAAAACAAGACAGAAGCATTCTGAGAAACTTATTTGTGATGTGTGTCCTCAACAAACGGACTTGAACCTTTCGTTTCATGCAGTACTTCTGGAACACTCTTTTTGAAGATTCTGCATGCGGATATTTGGATAGCTTTGAGGATTTCGTTGGAAACGGGCTTACATGTAAAAATTAGACAGCAGCATTCTCAGAAACTTCTTTGTGGTGTCTGCATTCAAGTCACAGAATTGAACTTCCCCTCACATAGAGCAGTTGTGCAGCACTCTATTTGTAGTATCTGGAAGTGGACATTTGGAGGGCTTTGTAGCCTATCTGGAAAAAGGAAATATCTTCCCATGAATGCGAGATAGAAGTAATCTCAGAAACATGTTTATGCTGTATCTACTCAACTAACTGTGCTGAACATTTCTATTGATAGAGCAGTTTTGAGACACTCTTCTTTTGGAATCTGCAAGTGGATATTTGGATAGATTTGAGGATTTCGTTGGAAACGGGATTATATATAAAAAGTAGACAGCAGCATTCTCAGAAACTTCTTTGTGATGTTTGCATCCAGCTCTCAGAGTTGAACATTCCCTTTCATAGAGTAGGTTTGAAACCCTCTTTTTATAGTGTCTGGAAGCGGGCATTTGGAGCGCTTTCAGGCCTATGCTGAAAAAGGAAATATCTACCTATAGAAACTAGACAGAAGCATTCTGAGAATCACGTTTCTGATGTGGGTACTCAACTAACAGTGTTGATCCATTCTTTTGATACAGCAGTTTTGAACCACACTTTTTGTAGAATCTGCAAGTGGATATTTGGATAGCTGTGAGGATTTCGTTGGAAACGGGAATGTCTTCTTAGAAAACTTAGACAGAAGCATTCTCAGAACCTTGATTGTGATGTGTGTTCTCCACTAACAGAGTTGAACCTTTCTTTTGACAGAACTGTTCTGAAACATTCTTTTTATAGAATCTGGAAGTGGATATTTGGAAAGCTTTGAGGATTTCGTTGGAAACGGGAATATCTTCAAATCAAATCTAGCCAGAAGCATTCTAAGAAACATCTTAGGGATGTTTACATTCAAGTCACAGAGTTGAACATTCCCTTTCACAGAGCAGGTTTGAAACAATCTTCTCGTACTATCTGGAAGTGGACATTTTGAGCTCCTTGGGGCCTATGCTGAAAAAGGAAATATCTTCCGACAAAAACTAGACAGAAGCATTCGCAGAATCACGTTTGTGATGTGTGCACTCAACTGTCACAATTGAACCTTGGTTTGGACAGAGCACTTTTGAAACACTCTTTTTGTAGAATCTGCAGGTGGATATTTGGCTAGCTTTGAGGATTTCGTTGGAAACGGTAATGTCTTCAAAGAAAATCTAGACAGAAGCATTCTCAGAAACACCTTCGTGATGTTTGCAATCAAGTCACAGAGTTGAACCTTCCGTTTCATAGAGCAGGTTGGAAACACTCTTTTTGTAGTATCTGGAAGTGGACATTTGGAGGGCTTTGTAGCCTATCTGGAAAAAGGAAATATCTTCCCATGAATGCGAGATAGAAGTAATCTCAGAAACATGTTTATGCTGTATCTACTCAACTAACTGTGCTGAACATTTCTATTGATAGAGCAGTTTTGAGACACTCTTCTTTTGGAATCTGCAAGTGGATATTTGGATAGATTTGAGGATTTCGTTGGAAACGGGATTATATATAAAAAGTAGACAGCAGCATTCTCAGAAACTTCTTTGTGATGTTTGCATCCAGCTCTCAGAGTTGAACATTCCCTTTCATAGAGTAGGTTTGAAACCCTCTTTTTATAGTGTCTGGAAGTGGGCATTTGGAGCGCTTTCAGGCCTATGCTTAAAATAGGAAATATCTACCTACAGAAACTAGACAGAAGCATTCTGAGAATCACGTTTGTGATGTGGGTACTCAACTAACAGTGTTGATCCATTCTTTTGATACAGCAGTTTTGAACCACACTTTTTGTAGAATCTGCAAGAGGATATTTGGATAGCTGTGAGGATTTCGTTGGAAACGGGAATGTCTTCAAAGAAAATCTAGACAGAAGCATTCTCAGAAACACCTTCGTGATGTTTGCAATCAAGTCACAGAGTTGAACCTTCCGTTTCATAGAGTAGGTTGGAAACACTCTTATTGTAGTATCTGGAAGTGGACATTTGGAGCGCTTTCAGGCCTATGGTGAAAAAGGAAATATCTTCCCATAAAAACGACATAGAAGCTATCTCAGGAACTTGTTTATGATGCATCTAATCAACTAACAGTGTTGAACCTTTGTACTGACAGAGCAGTTTGAAACACTCTTTTTTTGGAATCTGCAAGTGGATATTTGGATCGCTTTGAGGATTTCGTTGGAAACGGGATGCAATATAAAACGTACACAGCAGCTTACTCAGAAAATACTTTGCCATATTTCCATTCAAGTCACAGAGTGGAACATTCCCATTCATAGAGCAGGTTGGAAACACTCTTTTTGGAGTATCTGGAAGTGGACATTTGGAGCGCTTTCTGAACTATGGTGAAAAAGGAAATATCTTCCAATGAAAACAAGACAGAAGCATTCTGAGAAACTTATTTGTGATGTGTGTCCTCAACAAACGGACTTGAACCTTTCGTTTCATGCAGTACTTCTGGAACACTCTTTTTGAAGATTCTGCATGCGGATATTTGGATAGCTTTGAGGATTTCGTTGGAAACGGGCTTACATGTAAAAATTAGACAGCAGCATTCTCAGAAACTTCTTTGTGGTGTCTGCATTCAAGTCACAGAATTGAACTTCCCCTCACATAGAGCAGTTGTGCAGCACTCTATTTGTAGTATCTCGAAGTGGACATTTGGAGGGCTTTGTAGCCTATCTGGAAAAAGGAAATATCTTCCCATGAATGCGAGATAGAAGTAATCTCAGAAACATGTTTATGCTGTATCTACTCAACTAACTGTGCTGAACATTTCTATTGATAGAGCAGTTTTGAGACACTCTTCTTTTGGAATCTGCAAGTGGATATTTGGATAGATTTGAGGATTTTCGTTGGAAACGGGATTATATATCAAAAGTAGACAGCCGCATTCTCAGAAACTTCTTTGTGATGTTTGCATCCAGCTCTCAGAGTTGAACATTCCCTTTCGTAGAGTAGGTTTGAAACCCTCTTTTTATAGTGTCTGGAAGCGGGCATTTGGAGCGCTTTCAGGCCTATGCTGAAAAAGGAAATATCTACCTATAGAAACTAGACAGAAGCATTCTGAGAATCACGTTTGTGATGTGGGTACTCAACTAACAGTGTTGATCCATTCTTTTGATACAGCAGTTTTCAACCACAGTTTTTGTAGAATCTGCAAGTGGATATTTGGATAGCTGTGAGGATTTCCTTGGAAACGGGAATGCCTTCATAGAAAATTTAGACAGAAGCATTCTCAGAACCTTGATTGTGATGTGTGTTCTCCACTAACAGAGTTGAACCTTTCTTTTGACAGAACTGTTCTGAAACATTCTTTTTATAGAATCTGGAAGTGGATATTTGGAAAGCTTTGAGGATTTCGTTGGAAACGGGAATATCTTCAAATAAAATCTAGCCAGAAGCATTCTAAGAAACATCTTAGGGATGTTTACATTCAAGTCACAGAGTTGAACATTCCCTTTCACAGAGCAGGTTTGAAACAATCTTCTCGTACTATCTGGCAGTGGACATTTTGAGCTCCTTGGGGCCTATGCTGAAAAAGGAAATATCTTCCGACAAAAACTAGACAGAAGCATTCGCAGAATCACGTTTGTGATGTGTGCACTCAACTGTCAGCAATTGAACCTTGGTTTGGACAGAGCACTTTTGAAACACTCTTTTTGTAGAATCTGCAGGTGGATATTTGGCTAGCTTTGAGGATTTCGTTGGAAACGGTAATGTCTTCAAAGAAAATCTAGACAGAAGCATTCTCAGAAACACCTTCGTGATGTTTGCAATCAAGTCACAGAGTTGAACCTTCCGTTTCATAGAGCAGGTTGGAAACACTCTTTTTGTAGTATCTGGAAGTGGACATTTGGAGCGCTTTCAGGCCTATGGTGAAAAAGGAAATATCTTCCCATAAAAACGACATGGAAGCTATCTCAGGAACTTGTTTATGATGCATCTAATCAACTAACAGTGTTGAACCTTTGTACTGACAGAGCAGTTTGAAACACTCTTTTTTTGGAATCTGCAAGTGGATATTTGGATCGCTTTGAGGATTTCGTTGGAAACGGGATGCAATATAAAACGTACACAGCAGCATACTCAGAAAATACTTTGCCATATTTCCATTCAAGTCACAGAGTGGAACATTCCCATTCATAGAGCAGGTTGGAAACACTCTTTTTGGAGTATCTGGAAGTGGACATTTGGAGCGCTTTCTGAACTATGGTGAAAAAGGAAATATCTTCCAATGAAAACAAGACAGAAGCATTCTGAGAAACTTATTTGTGATGTGTGTCCTCAACAAACGGACTTGAACCTTTCGTTTCATGCAGTACTTCTGGAACACTCTTTTTGAAGATTCTGCATGCGGATATTTGGATAGCTTTGAGGATTTCGTTGGAAACGGGCTTACATGTAAAAATTAGACAGCAGCATTCTCAGAAACTTCTTTGTGGTGTCTGCATTCAAGTCACAGAATTGAACTTCCCCTCACATAGAGCAGTTGTGCAGCACTCTATTTGTAGTATCTGGAAGTGGACATTTGGAGGGCTTTGTAGCCTATCTGGAAAAAGGAAATATCTTCCCATGAATGCGAGATAGAAGTAATCTCAGAAACATGTTTATGCTGTATCTACTCAACTAACTGTGCTGAACATTTCTATTGATAGAGCAGTTTTGAGACACTCTTCTTTTGGAATCTGCAAGTGGATATTTGGATAGATTTGAGGATTTCGTTGGAAACGGGATTATATATAAAAAGTAGACAGCAGCATTCTCAGAAACTTCTTTGTGATGTTTGCATCCAGCTCTCAGAGTTGAACATTCCCTTTCATAGAGTAGGTTTGAAACCCTCTTTTTATAGTGTCTGGAAGCGGGCATTTGGAGCGCTTTCAGGCCTATGCTGAAAAAGGAAATATCTACCTATAGAAACTAGACAGAAGCATTCTGAGAATCACGTTTGTGATGTGGGTACTCAACTAACAGTGTTGATCCATTCTTTTGATACAGCGGTTTTGAACCACTCTTTTTGTAGAATCTGCAAGTGGATATTTGGATAGCTGTGAGGATTTCGTTGGAAACGGGAATGTCTTCATAGAAAATTTAGACAGAAGCATTCTCAGAACCTGGATTGTGATGTGAGTTCTCCACTAACAGAGTTGAACCTTTCTTTGGACAGAACTGTTTTGAAACATTCTTTTTATAGAATCTGGAAGTGGATATTTGGAAAGCTTTGAGGATTTCGTTGGAAACGGGAATATCTTCAAATAAAATCTAGCCAGAAGCATTCTAAGAAACATCTTAGGGATGTTTACATTCAAGTCACAGAGTTGAACATTCCCCTTTCTCAGAGCAGGTTTGAAACAATCTTCTCGTACTATCTGGCAGTGGACATTTTGAGCTCCTTGGGGCCTATGCTGAAAAAGGAAATATCTTCCGACAAAAACTAGACAGAAGCATTCGCAGAATCACGTTTGTGATGTGTGCACTCAACTGTCAGAATTGAACCTTGGTTTGGACAGAGCACTTTTGAAACACTCTTTTTGTAGAATCTGCAGGTGGATATTTGGCTAGCTTTGAGGATTTCGTTGGAAACGGTAATGTCTTCAAAGAAAATCTAGACAGAAACATCCTCAGAAACACCTTCGTGATGTTTGCAATCAAGTCACAGAGTTGAACCTTCCGTTTCATAGTGCAGGTTGGAAACACTCATTTTGTAGTATCTGGAAGTGGACATTTGGAGCGCTTTCAGGCCTATGGTGTAAAAGGAAATATCTTCCCATAAAAGCGACATAGAAGCTATCTCAGGAACTTGTTTATGATGCATCTAATCAACTAACAGTGTTGAACCTTTGTACTGACAGAGCAGTTTGAAACACTCTTTTTTTGGAATCTGCAAGTGGATATTTGGATCGCTTTGAGGATTTCGTTGGAAACGGGATGCAATATAAAACGTACACAGCAGCACACTCAGAAAATACTTTGCCATATTTCCATTCAAGTCACAGAGTGGAACATTCCCATTCATAGAGCAGGTTTGAAACACTCTTTTTGGAGTATCTGGAAGTGGGCATTTGGAGAGCTTTCTGAACTATGGTGAAAAAGGAAATATCTTCCAATGAAAACAAGACAGAAGCATTCTGAGAAACTTATTTGTGATGCGTGTCCTCAACTAAAGGACTCGAACCTTTCGTTTCATGCAGTACTTCTGGAACACTCTTTTTGAAGATTCTGCATGCGGATATTTGGTTAGCTGTGAGGATTTCGTTGGAAACGAGCTTACATATAAAAATTAGACAGCAGCATTCTCAGAAACTTCTTTGTGGTGTCTGCATTCAAGTCACAGAATTGAACATCCCCTCACATAGAGCAGTTGTGCAGCACTCTATTTGTAGTATCTCGAAGTGGACATTTGGAGGGCTTTGTAGCCTATCTGGAAAAAGGAAATATCTTCCCATGAATGCGAGATAGAAGTAATCTCAGAAACATGTTTATGCTGTATCTACTCAACTAACTGTGCTGAACATTTCTATTGATAGAGCAGTTTTGAGACACTCTTCTTTTGGAATCTGCAAGTGGATATTTGGATAGATTTGAGGATTTCGTTGGAAACGGGATTATATATAAAAAGTAGACAGCAGCATTCTCAGAAACTTCTTTGTGATGTTTGCATCCAGCTCTCAGAGTTGAACATTCCCTTTCATAGAGTAGGTTTGAAACCCTCTTTTTATAGTGTCTGGAAGCGGGCATTTGGAGCGCTTTCAGGCCTATGCTGAAAAAGGAAATATCTACCTATAGAAACTAGACAGAAGCATTCTGAGAATCACGTTTGTGATGTGGGTACTCAACTAACAGTGTTGATCCATTCTTTTGATACAGCAGTTTTGAACCACACTTTTTGTAGAATCTGCAAGTGGATATTTGGATAGCTGTGAGGATTTCGTTGGAAACGGGAATGTCTTCATAGAAAATTAGACAGAAGCATTCTCAGAACCTGGATTGTGATGTGTGTTCTCCACTAACAGAGTTGAACCTTTCTTTTGACAGAACTGTTTTGAAACTTTCTTTTTATAGAATCTGGAAGTGTATATTTGGAAAGCTTTGAGGATTTCGTTGGAAACGGGAATATCTTCAAATAAAATCTAGCCAGAAGCATTCTAAGAAACATCTTAGGGATGTGTACATTCAAGTCACAGAGTTGAAAATTCCCCTTTCTCAGAGCAGGTTTGAAACAATCTTCTCGTACTATCTGGAAGTGGACATTTTGAGCTCCTTGGGGCTATGCTGAAAAAGGAAATATCTTCCGACAAAAAGTAGACAGAAGCATTCGCAGAATCACGTTTGTGATGTGTGCACTCAACTGTCAGAATTGAACCTTGGTTTGGAGAGAGCACTTTTGAAACACTCTTTTTGTAGAATCTGCAGGTGGATATTTGGCTAGCTTTGAGGATTTCGTTGGAAACGGTAATGTCTTCAAAGAAAATCTAGACAGAAGCATTCTCAGAAACACCTTCGTGATGTTTGCAATCAAGTCACAGAGTTGAACCTTCCGTTTCATAGAGCAGGTTGGAAACACACTTTTTGTAGTATCTGGAAGTGGACATTTGGAGGGCTTTGTAGCCTATCTGGAAAAAGGAAATATCTTCCCATGAATGCGAGATAGAAGTAATCTCAGAAACATGTTTATGCTGTATCTACTCAACTAACTGTGCTGAACATTTCTATTGATAGAGCAGTTTTGAGACACTCTTCTTTTGGAATCTGCAAGTGGATATTTGGATAGATTTGAGGATTTCGTTGGAAACGGGATTATATATAAAAAGTAGACAGCAGCATTCTCAGAAACTTCTTTGTGATGTTTGCATCCAGCTCTCAGAGTTGAACATTCCCTTTCATAGAGTAGGTTTGAAACCCTCTTTTTATAGTGTCTGGAAGCGGGCATTTGGAGCGCTTTCAGGCCTATGCTGAAAAAGGAAATATCTACCTATAGAAACTAGACAGAAGCATTCTGAGAATCACGTTTGTGATGTGGGTACTCAACTAACAGTGTTGATCCATTCTTTTGATACAGCAGTTTTGAACCACACTTTTTGTAGAATCTGCAAGTGGATATTTGGATAGCTGTGAGGATTTCGTTGGAAACGGGAATGTCTTCATAGAAAATTTAGACAGAAGCATTCTCAGAACCTGGATTGTGATGTGTGTTCTCCACTAACAGAGTTGAACCTTCCTTTGGACAGAACTGTTTTGAAACATTCTTTTTATAGAATCTGGAAGTGGATATTTGGAAAGCTTTGAGGATTTCGTTGGAAACGGGAATATCTTCAAATCAAATCTAGCCAGAAGCATTCTAAGAAACATCTTAGGGATGTGTACATTCAAGTCACAGAGTTGAACATTCCCCTTTCTCAGAGCAGGTTTGAAACAATCTTCTCGTACTATCTGGCAGTGGACATTTTGAGCTCCTTGGGGCCTATGCTGAAAAAGGAAATATATTCCGACAAAAACTAGAGAGAGGCATTCGCAGAATCACGTTTGTGATGTGTGCACTCAACTGTCAGAATTGAACCTTGGTTTGGACAGAGCACTTTTGAAACACTCTTTTTGTAGAATCTGCAGGTGGATATTTGGCTAGCTTTGAGGATTTCGTTGGAAACGGTAATGTCTTCAAAGAAAATCTAGACAGAAACATCCTCTGAAACACCTTCGTGATGTTTGCAATCAAGTCACAGAGTTGAACCTTCCGTTTCATAGAGCAGGTTGGAAACACTCATTTTGTAGTATCTGGAAGTGGACATTTGGAGCGCTTTCAGGCCTATGGTGTAAAAGGAAATATCTTCCCATAAAAGCGACATAGAAGCTATCTCAGGAACTTGTTTATGATGCATCTAATCAACTAACAGTGTTGAACCTTTGTACTGACAGAGCAGTTTGAAACACTCTTTTTTTGGAATCTGCAAGTGGATATTTGGATCGCTTTGAGGATTTCGTTGGAAACGGGATGAATATCAAACGTACACAGCAGCATACTCAGAAAATTCTTTGCCATATTTCCATTCAAGTCACAGAGTGGAACATTCCCATTCATAGAGCAGGTTGGAAACACTCTTTTTGGAGTATCTGGAAGTGGACATTTGGAGCGCTTTCTGAACTATGGTGAAAAAGGAAATATCTTCCAATGAAAACAAGACAGAAACATTCTGAGAAACTTATTTGTGATGTGTGTCCTCAACAAACGGACTTGCACCTTTCGTTTCATGCAGTACTTCTGGAACACTCTTTTTGAAGATTCTGCATGCGGATATTTGGATAGCTTTGAGGATTTCGTTGGAAACGGGCTTACATGTAAAAATTAGACAGCAGCATTCTCAGAAACTTCTTTGTGGTGTCTGCATTCAAGTCACAGAATTGAACATCCCCTCACATAGAGCAGTTGTGCAGCACTCTATTTGTAGTATCTGGAAGTGGACATTTGGAGGGCTTTGTAGCCTATGTGGAAAAAGGAAATATCTTCCCATGAATGCGAGATAGAAGTAATCTCAGAAACATGTTTATGCTGTACCTACTCAACTAACTGTGCTGAACATTTCTATTGATAGAGCAGTTTTGAGACACTCTTCTTTTGGAATCTGCAAGTGGATATTTGGATAGATTTGAGGATTTCGTTGGAAACGGGATTATATATAAAAAGTAGACAGCAGCATTCTCAGAAACTTCTTTGTGATGTTTGCATCCAGCTCTCAGAGTTGAACATTCCCTTTCATAGAGTAGGTTTGAAACCCTCTTTTTATAGTGTCTGGAAGCGGGCATTTGGAGCGCTTTCAGGCCTATGCTGAAAAAGGAAATATCTACCTATAGAAACTAGACAGAAGCATTCTGAGAATCACGTTTGTGATGTGGGTACTCAACTAACAGTGTTGATCCATTCTTTTGATACAGCAGTTTTGAACCACACTTTTTGTAGAATCTGCAAGTGGATATTTGGATAGCTGTGAGGATTTCGTTGGAAACGGGAATGTCTTCATAGAAAATTTAGACAGAAGCATTCTCAGAACCTTGATTGTGATGTGTGTTCTCCACTAACAGAGTTGAACCTTTCTTTTGACAGAACTGTTCTGAAACATTCTTTTTATAGAATCTGGAAGTGGATATTTGGAAAGCTTTGAGGATTTCGTTGGAAACGGGAATATCTTCAAATGAAATCTAGCCAGAAGCATTCTAAGAAACATCTTAGGGATGTTTACATTCAAGTCACAGAGTTGAACATTCCCTTTCACAGAGCAGGTTTGAAACAATCTTCTCGTACTATCTGGCAGTGGACATTTTGAGCTCCTTGGGGCCTATGCTGAAAAAGGAAATATCTTCCGACAAAAACTAGACAGAAGCATTCGCAGAATCACGTTTGTGATGTGTGCACTCAACTGTCAGAATTGAACCTTGGTTTGGACAGAGCACTTTTGAAACACTCTTTTTGTAGAATCTGCAGGTGGATATTTGGCTAGCTTTGAGGATTTCGTTGGAAACGGTAATGTCTTCAAAGAAAATCTAGACAGAAGCATTCTCAGAAACACCTTCGTGATGTTTGCAATCAAGTCACAGAGTTGAACCTTCCGTTTCATAGAGCAGGTTGGAAACACTCTTTGTAGTATCTGGAAGTGGACATTTGGAGGGCTTTGTAGCCTATCTGGAAAAAGGAAATATCTTCCCATGAATGCGAGATAGAAGTAATCTCAGAAACATGTTTATGCTGTATCTACTCAACTAACTGTGCTGAACATTTCTATTGATAGAGCAGTTTTCAGACACTCTTCTTTTGGAATCTGCAAGTGGATATTTGGATAGATTTGAGGATTTCGTTGGAAACGGGATTATATATAAAAAGTAGACAGCAGCATTCTCAGAAACTTCTTTGTGATGTTTGCATCCAGCTCTCAGAGTTGAACATTCCCTTTCATAGAGTAGGTTTGAAACCCTCTTTTTATAGTGTCTGGAAGCGGGCATTTGGAGCGCTTTCAGGCCTATGCTGAAAAAGGAAATATCTACCTATAGAAACTAGACAGAAGCATTCTGAGAATCACGTTTGTGATGTGGGTACTCAACTAACAGTGTTGATCCATTCTTTTGATACAGCAGTTTTGAACCACACTTTTTGTAGAATCTGCAAGTGGATATTTGGATAGCTGTGAGGATTTCGTTGGAAACGGGAATGTGCTTCATAGAAAATTTAGACAGAAGCATTCTCAGAACCTTGATTGTGATGTGTGTTCTCCACTAACAGAGTTGAACCTTTCTTTTGACAGAACTGTTCTGAAACATTCTTTTTATAGAATCTGGAAGTGGATATTTGGAAAGCTTTGAGGATTTCGTTGGAAACGGGAATATCTTCAAATCAAATCTAGCCAGAAGCATTCTAAGAAATATCTTAGGGATGTTTACATTCAAGTCACAGAGTTGAACATTCCCTTTCACAGAGCAGGTTTGAAACAATCTTCTCGTACTATCTGGCAGTGGACATTTTGAGCTCCTTGGGGCCTATGCTGAAAAAGGAAATATCTTCCGACAAAAACTAGACAGAAGCATTCGCAGAATCACGTTTGTGATGTGTGCACTCAACTGTCAGAATTGAACCTTGGTTTGGACAGAGCACTTTTGAAACACTCTTTTTGTAGAATCTGCAGGTGGATATTTGGCTAGCTTTGAGGATTTCGTTGGAAACGGTAATGTCTTCAAAGAAAATCTAGACAGAAGCATTCTCAGAAACACCTTCGTGATGTTTGCAATCAAGTCACAGAGTTGAACCTTCCGTTTCATAGAGCAGGTTGGAAACACTCTTTTTGTAGTATCTGGAAGTGGACATTTGGAGGGCTTTGTAGCCTATCTGGAAAAAGGAAATATCTTCCCATGAATGCGAGATAGAAGTAATCTCAGAAACATGTTTATGCTGTATCTACTCAACTAACTGTGCTGAACATTTCTATTGATAGAGCAGTTTTGAGACACTCTTCTTTTGGAATCTGCAAGTGGATATTTGGATAGATTTGAGGATTTCGTTGGAAACGGGATTATATATAAAAAGTAGACAGCAGCATTCTCAGAAACTTCTTTGTGATGTTTGCATCCAGCTCTCAGAGTTGAACATTCCCTTTCATAGAGTAGGTTTGAAACCCTCTTTTTATAGTGTCTGGAAGCGGGCATTTGGAGCGCTTTCAGGCCTATGCTGAAAAAGGAAATATCTACCTATAGAAACTAGACAGAAGCATTCTGAGAATCACGTTTGTGATGTGGGTACTCAACTAACAGTGTTGATCCATTCTTTTGATACAGCAGTTTTGAACCACACTTTTTGTAGAATCTGCAAGTGGATATTTGGATAGCTGTGAGGATTTCGTTGGAAACGGGAATGTCTTCATAGAAAATTTAGACAGAAGCATTCTCAGAACCTTGATTGTGATGTGTGTTCTCCACTAACAGAGTTGAACCTTTCTTTTGACAGAACTGTTCTGAAACATTCTTTTTATAGAATCTGGAAGTGGATATTTGGAAAGCTTTGAGGATTTCGTTGGAAACGGGAATATCTTCAAATCAAATCTAGCCAGAAGCATTCTAAGAAACATCTTAGGGATGTTTACATTCAAGTCACAGAGTTGAACATTCCCTTTCACAGAGCAGGTTTGAAACAATCTTCTCGTACTATCTGGCAGTGGACATTTTGAGCTCCTTGGGGCCTATGCTGAAAAAGGAAATATCTTCCGACAAAAACTAGACAGAAGCATTCGCAGAATCACGTTTGTGATGTGTGCACTCAACTGTCAGAATTGAACCTTGGTTTGGACAGAGCACTTTTGAAACACTCTTTTTGTAGAATCTGCAGGTGGATATTTGGCTAGCTTTGAGGATTTCGTTGGAAACGGTAATGTCTTCAAAGAAAATCTAGACAGAAGCATTCTCAGAAACACCTTCGTGATGTTTGCAATCAAGTCACAGAGTTGAACCTTCCGTTTCATAGAGCAGGTTGGAAACACTCTTTTTGTAGTATCTGGAAGTGGACATTTGGAGGGCTTTGTAGCCTATGTGGAAAAAGGAAATATCTTCCCATGAATGCGAGATAGAAGTAATCTCAGAAACATGTTTATGCTGTATCTACTCAACTAACTGTGCTGAACATTTCTATTGATAGAGCAGTTTTGAGACACTCTTCTTTTGGAATCTGCAAGTGGATATTTGGAGAGATTTGAGGATTTCGTTGGAAACGGGATTATATATAAAAAGTAGACAGCAGCATTCTCAGAAACTTCTTTGTGATGTTTGCATCCAGCTCTCAGAGTTGAACATTCCCTTTCATAGAGTAGGTTTGAAACCCTCTTTTTATAGTGTCTGGAAGCGGGCATTTGGAGCGCTTTCAGGCCTATGCTTAAAATAGGAAATATCTACCTACAGAAACTAGACAGAAGCATTCTGAGAATCTCGTTTGTGATGTGGGTACTCAACTAACAGTGTTGATCCATTCTTTTGATACAGCAGTTTTGAACCACACTTTTTGTAGAATCTGCAAGAGGATATTTGGATAGCTGTGAGGATTTCGTTGGAAACGGGAATGTCTTCAAAGAAAATCTAGACAGAAACATTCTCAGAAACACCTTCGTGATGTTTGCAATCAAGTCACAGAGTTGAACCTTCCGTTTCATAGAGCAGGTTGGAAACACTCTTATTGTAGTATCTGGAAGTGGACATTTGGAGCGCTTTCAGGCCTATGGTGAAAAAGGAAATATCTTCCCATAAAAACGACATAGAAGCTATCTCAGGAACTTGTTTATGAGGCATCTAATCAACTAACAGTGTTGAACCTTTGTACTGACAGAGCAGTTTGAAACACTCTTTTTTTGGAATCTGCAAGTGGATATTTGGATCGCTTTGAGGATTTCGTTGGAAACGGGATGCAATATAAAACGTACACAGCAGCATACTCAGAAAATACTTTGCCATATTTCCATTCAAGTCACAGAGTGGAACATTCCCATTCATAGAGCAGGTTGGAAACACTCTTTTTGGAGTATCTGGAAGTGGACATTTGGAGCGCTTTCTGAACTATGGTGAAAAAGGAAATATCTTCCAATGAAAACAAGACAGAAGCATTCTGAGAAACTTATTTGTGATGTGTGTCCTCAACAAACGGACTTGAACCTTTCGTTTCATGCAGTACTTCTGGAACACTCTTTTTGAAGATTCTGCATGCGGATATTTGGATAGCTTTGAGGATTTCGTTGGAAACGGGCTTACATGTAAAAATTAGACAGCAGCATTCTCAGAAACTTCTTTGTGGTGTCTGCATTCAAGTCACAGAATTGAACATCCCCTCACATAGAGCAGTTGTGCAGCACTCTATTTGTAGTATCTGGAAGTGGACATTTGGAGGGCTTTGTAGCCTATCTGGAAAAAGGAAATATCTTCCCATGAATGCGAGATAGAAGTAATCTCAGAAACATGTTTATGCTGTATCTACTCAACTAACTGTGCTGAACATTTCTATTGATAGAGCAGTTTTGAGACACTCTTCTTTTGGAATCTGCAAGTGGATATTTGGATAGATTTGAGGATTTCGTTGGAAACGGGATTATATATCAAAAGTAGACAGCAGCATTCTCAGAAACTTCTTTGTGATGTTTGCATCCAGCTCTCAGAGTTGAACATTCCCTTTCATAGAGTAGGTTTGAAACCCTCTTTTTATAGTGTCTGGAAGTGGGCATTTGGAGCGCTTTCAGGCCTATGCTGAAAAAGGAAATATCTACCTATAGAAACTAGACAGAAGCATTCTGAGAATCACGTTTGTGATGTGGGTACTCAACTAACAGTGTTGATCCATTCTTTTGATACAGCAGTTTTGAACCACACTTTTTGTAGAATCTGCAAGTGGATGTTTGGATAGCTCTGAGGATTTCGTTGGAAACGGGAATGTCTTCATAGAAAATTTAGACAGAAGCATTCTCAGAACCTTGATTGTGAAGTGTGTTCTCCACTAACAGAGTTGAACCTTTCTTTTGACAGAACTGTTCTGAAACATTCTTTTTATAGAATCTGGAAGTGGATATTTGGAAAGCTTTGAGGATTTCGTTGGAAACGGGAATATCTTCAAATCAAATCTAGCCAGAAGCATTCTAAGAAACATCTTAGGGATGTTTACATTCAAGTCACAGAGTTGAACATTCCCTTTCACAGAGCAGGTTTGAAACAATCTTCTCGTACTATCTGGCAGTGGACATTTTGAGCTCCTTGGGGCCTATGCTGAAAAAGGAAATATCTTCCGACAAAAACTAGACAGAAGCATTCGCAGAATCACGTTTGTGATGTGTGCACTCAACTGTCAGAATTGAACCTTGGTTTGCACAGAGCACTTTTGAAACACTCTTTTTGTAGAATCTGCAGGTGGATATTGGCTAGCTTTGAGGATTTCGTTGGAAACGGTAATGTCTTCAAAGAAAATCTAGACAGAAGCATTCTCAGAAACACCTTCGTGATGTTTGCAATCAAGTCACAGAGTTGAACCTTCCGTTTCATAGAGCAGGTTGGAAACACTCTTTTTGTAGTATCTGGAAGTGGACATTTGGAGGGCTTTGTAGCCTATCTGGAAAAAGGAAATATCTTCCCATGAATGCGAGATAGAAGTAATCTCAGAAACATGTTTATGCTGTATCTACTCAACTAACTGTGCTGAACATTTCTATTGATAGAGCAGTTTTGAGACACTCTTCTTTTGGAATCTGCAAGTGGATATTTGGATAGATTTGAGGATTTCGTTGGAAACGGGATTATATATAAAAAGTAGACAGCAGCATTCTCAGAAACTTCTTTGTGATGTTTGCATCCAGCTCTCAGAGTTGAGCATTCCCTTTCATAGAGTAGGTTTGAAACCCTCTTTTTATAGTGTCTGGAAGCGGGCATTTGGAGCGCTTTCAGGCCTATGCTTAAAATAGGAAATATCTACCTACAGAAACTAGACAGAAGCATTCTGAGAATCACGTTTGTGATGTGGGTACTCAACTAACAGAGTTGATCCATTCTTTTGATACAGCAGTTTTGAACCACACTTTTTGTAGAATCTGCAAGAGGATATTTGGATAGCTGTGAGGATTTCGTTGGAAACGGGAATGTCTTCAAAGAAAATCTAGACAGAAGCATTCTCAGAAACACCTTCGTGATGTTTGCAATCAAGTCACAGAGTTGAACCTTCCGTTTCATAGAGCAGGTTGGAAACACTCTTATTGTAGTATCTGGAAGTGGACATTTGGAGCGCTTTCAGGCCTATGGTGAAAAAGGAAATATGTTCCCATAAAAACGACATAGAAGCTATCTCAGGAACTTGTTTATGATGCATCTAATCAACTAACAGTGTTGAACCTTTGCACTGACAGAGCAGTTTGAAACACTCTTTTTTTGGAATCTGCAAGTGGATATTTGGATCGCTATGAGGATTTCGTTGGAAACGGGATGCAATATAAAACGTACACAGCAGCATACTCAGAAAATACTTTGCCATATTTCCATTCAAGTCACAGAGTGGAACATTCCCATTCATAGAGCAGGTTGGAAACACTCTTTTTGGAGTATCTGGAAGTGGACATTTGGAGCGCTTTCTGAACTATGGTGAAAAAGGAAATATCTTCCAATGAAAACAAGACAGAAGCATTCTGAGAAACTTATTTGTGATGTGTGTCCTCAACAAACGGACTTGAACCTTTCGTTTCATGCAGTACTTCTGGAACACTCTTTTTGAAGATTCTGCATGCGGATATTTGGATAGCTTTGAGGATTTCGTTGGAAACGGGCTTACATGTAAAAATTAGACAGCAGCATTCTCAGAAACTTCTTTGTGGTGTCTGCATTCAAGTCACAGAATTGAACTTCCCCTCACATAGAGCAGTTGTGCAGCACTCTATTTGTAGTATCTGGAAGTGGACATTTGGAGGGCTTTGTAGCCTATCTGGAAAAAGGAAATATCTTCCCATGAATGCGAGATAGAAGTAATCTGAGAAACATGTTTATGCTGTATCTACTCAACTAACTGTGCTGAACATTTCTATTGATAGAGCAGTTTTGAGACACTCTTCTTTTGGAATCTGCAAGTGGATATTTGGATAGATTTGAGGATTTCATTGGAAACGGGATTATATATAAAAAGTAGACAGCAGCATTCTCAGAAACTTCTTTGTGATGTTTGCATCCAGCTCTCAGAGTTGAACATTCCCTTTCATAGAGTAGGTTTGAAACCCTCTTTTTATAGTGTCTGGAAGCGGGCATTTGGAGCGCTTCAGGCCTATGCTTAAAATAGGAAATATCTACCTACAGAAACTAGACAGAAGCATTCTGAGAATGACGTTTTTGATGTGGGTACTCAACTAACAGTGTTGATCCATTCTTTTGATACAGCAGTTTTGAACCACATTTTTTGTAGAATCTGCAAGTGGATATTTGGATAGCTGTGAGGATTTCGTTGGAAACGGGAATGTCTTCATAGAAAATTTAGACAGAAGCATTTTCAGAACTTTGATTGTGATGTGTGTTCTCCACTAACAGAGTTGAACCTTTCTTTTGACAGAACTGTTCTGAAACATTCTTTTTGTAGAATCTGGAAGTGGATATTTGGAAAGCTTTGAGGATTTCGTTGGAAACGGGAATATCTTCAAATCAAATCTAGCCAGAAGCATTCTAAGAAACATCTTAGGGATGTTTACATTCAAGTCACAGAGTTGAACATTCCCTTTCACAGAGCAGGTTTGAAACAATCTTCTCGTACTATCTGGCAGTGGACATTTTGAGCTCCTTGGGGCCTATGCTGAAAAAGGAAATATCTTCCGACAAAAACTAGACAGAAGCATTCGCAGAATCACGTTTGTGATGTGTGCACTCAACTGTCAGAATTGAACCTTGGTTTGGACAGAGCACTTTTGAAACACTCTTTTTGTAGAATCTGCAGGTGGATATTTGGCTAGCTTTGAGGATTTCGTTGGAAACGGTAATGTCTTCAAAGAAAATCTAGACAGAAGCATTCTCAGAAACACCTTCGTGATGTTTGCAATCAAGTCACAGAGTTGAACCTTCCGTTTCATAGAGCAGGTTGGAAACACTCTTTTTGTAGTATCTGGAAGTGGACATTTGGAGGGCTTTGTAGCCTATCTGGAAAAAGGAAATATCTTCCCATGAATGCGAGATAGAAGTAATCTCAGAAACATGTTTATGCTGTATCTACTCAACTAACTGTGCTGAACATTTCTATTGATAGAGCAGTTTTGAGACACTCTTCTTTTGGAATCTGCAAGTGGATATTTGGAGAGATTTGAGGATTTCGTTGGAAACGGGATTATATATAAAAAGTAGACAGCAGCATTCTCAGAAACTTCTTTGTGATGTTTGCATCCAGCTCTCAGAGTTGAACATTCCCTTTCATAGAGTAGGTTTGAAACCCTCTTTTTATAGTGTCTGGAAGCGGGCATTTGGAGTGCTTTCAGACCTATGCTTAAAATAGGAAATATCTACCTACAGAAACTAGACAGAAGCATTATGAGAATCTCGTTTGTGATGTGGGTACTCAACTAACAGTGTTGATCCATTCTTTTGATACAGCAGTTTTGAACCACACTTTTTGTAGAATCTGCAAGAGGATATTTGGATAGCTGTGAGGATTTCGTTGGAAACGGGAATGTCTTCAAAGAAAATCTAGACAGAAGCATTCTCAGAACCTTGATTGTGATGTGTGTTCTCCACTAACAGGGATGAACCTTTCTTTTGACAGAACTGTTCTGAAACATTCTTTGTATAGAATCTGGAAGTGGATATTTGGAAAGCTTTGAGGATTTCGTTGGAAACGGGAATATCTTCAAATCAAATCTAGCCAGAAGCATTCTAAGAAACATCTTAGGGATGTTTACATTCAAGTCACAGAGTTGAACATTCCCTTTCACAGAGCAGGTTTGAAACAATCTTCTCGTAGTATCTGGAAGTGGACATTTTGAGCTCCTTGGGGCCTATGCTGAAAAAGGAAATATCTTCCGACAAAAACTAGACAGAAGCATTCGCAGAATCACGTTTGTGATGTGTGCACTCAACTGTCGGAATTGAACCTTTGTTTGGACAGAGCACTTTTGAAACACTCTTTTTGTAGAATCTGCAGGTGGATATTTGGCTAGCTTTGAGGATTTCGTTGGAAACGGTAATGTCTTCAAAGAAAATCTAGACAGAAACATTCTCAGAAACACCTTCGTGATGTTTGCAATCAAGTCACAGAGTTGAACCTTCCGTTTCATAGAGCAGGTTGGAAACACTCTTTTTGTAGTATCTGGAAGTGGACATTTGGAGCGCTTTCAGGCCTATGGTGAAAAAGGAAATATCTTCCCATAAAAACGACATAGAAGCTATCTCAGGAACTTGTTTATGATGCATCCAATCAACTAACAGTGTTGAACCTTTGTACTGACAGAGCAGTGTGAAACACTCTTTTTTTTGGAATCTGCAAGTGGATATTTGGATCGCTTTGAGGATTTCGTTGGAAACGGGATGCAATATAAAACGTACACAGCAGCATACTCAGAAAATACTTTGCCATATTTCCATTCAAGTCACAGAGTGGAACATTCCCATTCATAAAGCAGTTTGGAAACACTCCTTTTGTAGTATCTGGAAGTGGACATTTGGAGCGCTTTCTGAACTATGGTGAAAAAGGAAATATCTTCCAATGAAAACAAGACAGAAGCATTCTGAGAAACTTATTTGTGATGTGTGTCCTCCACTAACGGACTTGAAACTTTCGTTTCATGCAGTACTTCTGGAACACTCTTTTTGAAGATTCTGCATGCGGATATTTGGATAGCTTTGAGGATTTCTTTGGAAACGGGCTTACATATAAAAATTAGACAGCAGCATTCTCAGAAACTTCTTTGTGGTGTCTGCATTCAAGTCACAGAATTGAACATCCCCTCACATAGAGCAGTTGTGCAGCACTCTATTTGTAGTATCTGGAAGTGGACATTTGGAGGGCTTTGTAGCCTATCTGGAAAAAGGAAATATCTTCCCATGAATGCGAGATAGAAGTAATCTCAGAAACATGTTTATGCTGTATGTACTCAACTAACTGTGCTGAACATTTCTATTGATAGAGCAGTTTTGAGACACTCTTCTTTTGGAATCTGCAAGTGGATATTTGGATAGATTTGAGGATTTCGTTGGAAACGGGATTATATATAAAAAGTAGACAGCAGCATTCTCAGAAACTTCTTTGTGATGTTTGCATCCAGCTCTCAGAGTTGAACATTCCCTTTCATAGAGTAGGTTTGAAACCCTCTTTTTATAGTGTCTGGAAGCGGGCATTTGGAGCGCTTTCAGGCCTATGCTGAAAAAGGAAATATCTACCTATAGAAACTAGACAGAAGCATTCTGAGAATCACGTTTGTGATGTGGGTACTCAACTAACAGTGTTGATCCATTCTTTTGATACAGCAGTTTTGAACCACACTTTTTGTAGAATCTGCAAGTGGATATTTGGATAGCTGTGAGGATTTCGTTGGAAACGGGAATGTCTTCATAGAAAATTTAGACAGAAGCATTCTCAGAACCTTGATTGTGATGTGTGTTCTCCACTAACAGAGTTGAACCTTTCTTTTGACAGAACTGTTCTGAAACATTCTTTTTATAGAATCTGGAAGTGGATATTTGGAAAGCTTTGAGGATTTCGTTGGAAACGGGAATATCTTCAAATCAAATCTACGCCAGAGCATTATAAGAAACATCTTAGGGATGTTTACATTCAAGTCACAGAGTTGAACATTCCCTTTCACAGAGCAGGTTTGAAACAATCTTCTCGTACTATCTGGCAGTGGACATTTTGAGCTCCTTGGGGCCTATGCTGAAAAAGGAAATATCTTCCGACAAAAACTAGACAGAAGCATTCGCAGAATCACGTTTGTGATGTGTGCACTCAACTGTCAGAATTGAACCTTGGTTTGGACAGAGCACTTTTGAAACACTCTTTTTGTAGAATCTGCAGGTGGATATTTGGCTAGCTTTGAGGATTTCGTTGGAAACGGTAATGTCTTCAAAGAAAATCTAGACAGAAGCATTCTCAGAAACACCTTCATGATGTTTGCAATCAAGTCACAGAGTTGAACCTTCCGTTTCATAGAGCAGGTTGGAAACACTCTTTTTGTAGTATCTGGAAGTGGACATTTGGAGGGCTTTGTAGCCTATCTGGAAAAAGGAAATATATTCCCATGAATGCGAGATAGAAGTAATCTCAGAAACATGTTTATGCTGTATCTACTCAACTAACTGTGCTGAACATTTCTATTGATAGAGCAGTTTTGAGACACTCTTCTTTTGGAATCTGCAAGTGGATATTTGGATAGATTTGAGGATTTTCGTTGGAAACGGGATTATATATCAAAAGTAGACAGCAGCATTCTCAGAAACTTCTTTGTGATGTTTGCATCCAGCTCTCAGAGTTGAACATTCCCTTTCATAGAGTAGGTTTGAAACCCTCTTTTTATAGTGTCTGGAAGCGGGCATTTGGAGCGCTTTCAGGCCTATGCTGAAAAAGGAAATATCTACCTATAGAAACTAGACAGAAGCATTCTGAGAATCACGTTTGTGATGTGGGTACTCAACTAACAGTGTTGATCCATTCTTTTGATACAGCAGTTTTGAACCACACTTTTTGTAGAATCTGCAAGTGGATATTTGGATAGCTGTGAGGATTTCGTTGGAAACGGGAATGTCTTCATAGAAAATTTAGACAGAAGCATTCTCAGAACCTTGATTGTGATGTGTGTTCTCCACTAACAGAGTTGAACCTTTCTTTTGACAGAACTGTTCTGAAACATTCTTTTTATAGAATCTGGAAGTGGATATTTGGAAAGCTTTGAGGATTTCGTTGGAAACGGGAATATCTTCAAATAAAATCTAGCCAGAAGCATTCTAAGAAACATCTTAGGGATGTTTACATTCAAGTCACAGAGTTGAACATTCCCTTTCACAGAGCAGGTTTGAAACAATCTTCTCGTACTATCTGGCAGTGGACATTTTGAGCTCCTTGGGGCCTATGCTGAAAAAGGAAATATCTTCCGACAAAAACTAGACAGAAGCATTCGCAGAATCACGTTTGTGATGTGTGCACTCAACTGTCAGAATTGAACCTTGGTTTGGACAGAGCACTTTTGAAACACTCTTTTTGTAGAATCTGCAGGTGGATATTTGGCTAGCTTTGAGGATTTCGTTGGAAACGGTAATGTCTTCAAAGAAAATCTAGACAGAAGCATTCTCAGAAACACCTTCGTGATGTTTGCAATCAAGTCACAGAGTTGAACCTTCCGTTTCATAGAGCAGGTTGGAAACACTCTTTTTGTAGTATCTGGAAGTGGACATTTGGAGCGCTTTCAGGCCTATGGTGAAAAAGGAAATATCTTCCCATAAAAACGACATAGAAGCTATCTCAGGAACTTGTTTATGATGCATCTAATCAACTAACAGTGTTGAACCTTTGTACTGACAGAGCAGTTTGAAACACTCTTTTTTTGGAATCTGCAAGTGGATATTTGGATCGCTTTGAGGATTTCGTTGGAAACGGGATGCAATATAAAACGTACACAGCAGCATACTCAGAAAATACTTTGCCATATTTCCATTCAAGTCACAGAGTGGAACATTCCCATTCATAGAGCAGGTTGGAAACACTCTTTTTGGAGTATCTGGAAGTGGACATTTGGAGCGCTTTCTGAACTATGGTGAAAAAGGAAATATCTTCCAATGAAAACAAGACAGAAGCATTCTGAGAAACTTATTTGTGATGTGTGTCCTCAACAAACGGACTTGAACCTTTCGTTTCATGCAGTACTTCTGGAACACTCTTTTTGAAGATTCTGCATGCGGATATTTGGATAGCTTTGAGGATTTCGTTGGAAACGGGCTTACATGTAAAAATTAGACAGCAGCATTCTCAGAAACTTCTTTGTGGTGTCTGCATTCAAGTCACAGAATTGAACTTCCCCTCACATAGAGCAGTTGTGCAGCACTCTATTTGTAGTATCTGGAAGTGGACATTTGGAGGGCTTTGTAGCCTATCTGGAAAAAGGAAATATCTTCCCATGAATGCGAGATAGAAGTAATCTCAGAAACATGTTTATGCTCTATCTACTCAACTAACTGTGCTGAACATTTCTATTGATAGAGCAGTTTTGAGACACTCTTCTTTTGGAATCTGCAAGTGGATATTTGGATAGATTTGAGGATTTCGTTGGAAATGGGATTATATATAAAAAGTAGACAGCAGCATTCTCAGAAACTTCTTTGTGATGTTTGCATCCAGCTCTCAGAGTTGAGCATTCCCTTTCATAGAGTAGGTTTGAAACCCTCTTTTTATAGTGTCTGGAAGCGGGCATTTGGAGCGCTTTCAGGCCTATGCTTAAAATAGGAAATATCTACCTACAGAAACTAGACAGAAGCATTCTGAGAATCACGTTTGTGATGTGGGTACTCAACTAACAGTGTTGATCCATTCTTTTGATACAGCAGTTTTGAACCACACTTTTTGTAGAATCTGCAAGAGGATATTTGGATAGCTGTGAGGATTTCGTTGGAAACGGGAATGTCTTCAAAGAAAATCTAGACAGAAGCATTCTCAGAAACACCTTCGTGATGTTTGCAATCAAGTCACAGAGTTGAACCTTCCGTTTCATAGAGCAGGTTGGAAACACTCTTATTGTAGTATCTGGAAGTGGACATTTGGAGCGCTTTCAGGCCTATGGTGAAAAAGGAAATATCTTCCCATAAAAACGACATAGAAGCTATCTCAGGAACTTGTTTATGATGCATCTAATCAACTAACAGTGTTGAACCTTTGTACTGACAGAGCAGTTTGAAACACTCTTTTTTTGGAATCTGCAAGTGGATATTTGGATCGCTTTGAGGATTTCGTTGGAAACGGGATGCAATATAAAACGTACACAGCAGCATACTCAGAAAATACTTTGCCATATTTCCATTCAAGTCACAGAGTGGAACATTCCCATTCATAGAGCAGGTTTGAAACACTCTTTTTGGAGTATCTGGAAGTGGACATTTGGAGCGCTTTCTGAACTATGGTGAAAAAGGAAATATCTTCCAATGAAAACAAGACAGAAGCATTCTGAGAAACTTATTTGTGATGTGTGTCCTCAACAAACGGACTTGAACCTTTCGTTTCATGCAGTACTTCTGGAACACTCTTTTTGAAGATTCTGCATGCGGATATTTGGATAGCTTTGAGGATTTCGTTGGAAACGGGCTTACATGTAAAAATTAGACAGCAGCATTCTCAGAAACTTCTTTGTGGTGTCTGCATTCAAGTCACAGAATTGAACTTCCCCTCACATAGAGCAGTTGTGCAGCACTCTATTTGTAGTATCTGGAAGTGGACATTTGGAGGGCTTTGTAGCCTATCTGGAAAAAGGAAATATCTTCCCATGAATGCGGGATAGAAGTAATCTCAGAAACATGTTTATGCTGTATCTACTCAACTAACTGTGCTGAACATTTCTATTGAAAGAGCAGTTTCGAGACACTCTTCTTTTGGAATCTGCAAGTGGATATTTGGATAGATTTGAGGATTTCGTTGGAAACGGGATTATATATAAAAAGTAGACAGCAGCATTCTCAGAAACTTCTTTGTGATGTTTGCATCCAGCTCTCAGAGTTGAACATTCCCTTTCATAGAGTAGGTTTGAAACCCTCTTTTTATAGTGTCTGGAAGCGGGCATTTGGAGCGCTTTCAGGCCTATGCTTAAAATAGGAAATATCTACCTACAGAAACTAGACAGAAGCATTCTGAGAATCACGTTTGTGATGTGGGTACTCAACTAACAGTGTTGATCCATTCTTTTGATACAGCAGTTTTGAACCACACTTTTTGTAGAATCTGCAAGAGGATATTTGGATAGCTGTGAGGATTTCGTTGGAAACGGGAATGTCTTCAAAGAAAATCTAGACAGAAGCATTCTCAGAAACACCTTCGTGATGTTTGCAATCAAGTCACAGAGTTGAACCTTCCGTTTCATAGAGCAGGTTGGAAACACTCTTATTGTAGTATCTGGAAGTGGACATTTGGAGCGCTTTCAGGCCTATGGTGAAAAAGGAAATATCTTCCCATAAAAACGACATAGAAGCTATCTCAGGAACTTGTTTATGATGCATCTAATCAACTAACAGTGTTGAACCTTTGTACTGACAGAGCACTTTGAAACACTCTTTTTTTGGAATCTGCAAGTGGATATTTGGATCGCTTTGAGGATTTCGTTGGAAACGGGATGCAATATAAAACGTACACAGCAGCATACTCAGAAAATACTTTGCCATATTTCCATTCAAGTCACAGAGTGGAACATTCCCATTCATAGAGCAGGTTGGAAACACTCTTTTTGGAGTATCTGGAAGTGGACATTTGGAGCGCTTTCTGAACTATGGTGAAAAAGGAAATATCTTCCAATGAAAACAAGACAGAAGCATTCTGAGAAACTTATTTGTGATGTGTGTCCTCAACAAACGGACTTGAACCTTTCGTTTCATGCAGTACTTCTGGAACACTCTTTTTGAAGATTCTGCATGCGGATATTTGGATAGCTTTGAGGATTTCGTTGGAAACGGGCTTACATGTAAAAATTAGACAGCAGCATTCTCAGAAACTTCTTTGTGGTGTCTGCATTCAAGTCACAGAATTGAACTTCCCCTCACATAGAGCAGTTGTGCAGCACTCTATTTGTAGTATCTGGAAGTGGACATTTGGAGGGCTTTGTAGCCTATCTGGAAAAAGGAAATATCTTCCCATGAATGCGAGATAGAAGTAATCTCAGAAACATGTTTATGCTGTATCTACTCAACTAACTGTGCTGAACATTTCTATTGATAGAGCAGTTTTGAGACACTCTTCTTTTGGAATCTGCAAGTGGATATTTGGATAGATTTGAGGATTTCGTTGGAAACGGGATTATATATCAAAAGTAGACAGCAGCATTCTCAGAAACTTCTTTGTGATGTTTGCATCCAGCTCTCAGAGTTGAACATTCCCTTTCATAGAGTAGGTTTGAAACCCTCTTTTTATAGAGTCTGGAAGCGGGCATTTGGAGCGCTTTCAGGCCTATGCTTAAAATAGGAAATATCTACCTACAGAAACTAGACAGAAGCATTCTGAGAATCACGTTTGTGATGTGGGTACTCAACTAACAGTGTTGATCCATTCTTTTGATACAGCAGTTTTGAACCACACTTTTTGTGGAATCTGCAAGTGGATATTTGGATAGCTGTGAGGATTTCGTTGGAAACGGGAATGTCTTCATAGAAAATTTAGACAGAAGCATTCTCAGAACCTTGATTGTGATGTGTGTTCTCCACTAACAGGGTTGAACCTTTCTTTTGACAGAACTGTTTTGAAACATTCTTTTTATAGAATCTGGAAGTGGATATTTGGAAAGCTTTGAGGATTTCATTGTAAACGGGAATATCTTCAAATCAAATCTAGCCAGAAGCATTCTAAGAAACATCTTAGGGATGTTTACATTCAAGTCACAGAGTTGAACATTCCCTTTCACAGAGCAGGTTTGAAACAATCTTCTCGTACTATCTGGCAGTGGACATTTTGAGCTCCTTGGGGCCTATGCTGAAAAAGGAAATATCTTCCGACAAAAACTAGACAGAAGCATTCGCAGAATCACGTTTGTGATGTGTGCACTCAACTGTCAGAATTGAACCTTGGTTTGGAGAGAGCACTCTTGAAACACTCTTTTTGTAGAATCTGCAGGTGGATATTTGGCTAGCTTTGAGGATTTCGTTGGAAACGGTAATGTCTTCAAAGAAAATCTAGACAGAAGCATTCTCAGAAACACCTTCGTGATGTTTGCAATCAAGTCACAGAGTTGAACCTTCCGTTTCATAGAGCAGGTTGGAAACACTCTTTTTGTAGTATCTGGAAGTGGACATTTGGAGTGCTTTCAGGCCTATGGTGAAAAAGGAAATATCTTCCCATAAAAACGACATAGAAGCTATCTCAGGAACTTGTTTATGATGCATCTAATCAACTAAAAGTGTTGAACCTTTGTACTGACAGAGCAGTTTGAAACACTCTTTTTTTGGAATCTGCAAGTGGATATTTGGATCGCTTTGAGGATTTCGTTGGAAACGGGATGCAATATAAAACGTACACAGCAGCATACTCAGAAAATACTTTGCCATATTTCCATTCAAGTCACAGAGTGGAACATTCCCATTCATAGAGCAGGTTTGAAACACTCTTTTTGGAGTATCTGGAAGTGGACATTTGGAGCGCTTTCTGAACTATGGTGAAAAAGGAAATATCTTCCAATGAAAACAAGACAGAAGCATTCTGAGAAACTTATTTGTGATGTGTGTCCTCAACAAACGGACTTGAACCTTTCGTTTCATGCAGTACTTCTGGAACACTCTTTTTGAAGATTCTGCATGCGGATATTTGGATAGCTTTGAGGATTTCGTTGGAAACGGGCTTACATGTAAAAATTAGACAGCAGCATTCTCAGAAACTTCTTTGTGGTGTCTGCATTCAAGTCACAGAATTGAACATCCCCTCACATAGAGCAGTTGTGCAGCACTCTATTTGTAGTATCTGGAAGTGGACATTTGGAGGGCTTTGTAGCCTATCTGGAAAAAGGAAATATCTTCCCATGAATGCGAGATAGAAGTAATCTCAGAAACATGTTTATGCTGTATCTACTCAACTAACTGTGCTGAACATTTCTATTGATAGAGCAGTTTTGAGACACTCTTCTTTTGGAATCTGCAAGTGGATATTTGGATAGATTTGAGGATTTCGTTGGCAACGGGATTATATACAAAAAGTAGACAGCAGCATTCTCAGAAACTTCTTTGTGATGTTTGCATCCAGCTCTCAGAGTTGAACATTCCCTTTCATAGAGTAGGTTTGAAACCCTCTTTTTATAGTGTCTGGAAGCGGGCATTTGGAGCGCTTTCAGGCCTATGCTGAAAAAGGAAATATCTACCTATAGAAACTAGACAGAAGCATTCTGAGAATCACGTTTGTGATGTGGGTACTCAACTAACAGTGTTGATCCATTCTTTTGATACAGCAGTTTTGAACCACACTTTTTGTAGAATCTGCAAGTGGATATTTGGATAGCTGTGAGGATTTCGTTGGAAACGGGAATGTCTTCATAGAAAATTTAGACAGAAGCATTCTCAGAACCTTGATTGTGATGTGTGTTCTCCACTAACAGAGTTGAACCTTTCTTTTGACAGAACTGTTCTGAAACATTCTTTTTATAGAATCTGGAAGTGGATATTTGGAAAGCTTTGAGGATTTCGTTGGAAACGGGAATATCTTCCAATCAAATCTAGCCAGAAGCATTCTAAGAAACATCTTAGGGATGTTTACATTCAAGTCACAGAGTTGAACATTCCCTTTCACAGAGCAGGTTTGAAACAATCTTCTCGTACTATCTGGCAGTGGACATTTTGAGCTCCTTGGGGCCTATGCTGAAAAAGGAAATATCTTCCGACAAAAACTAGACAGAAGCATTCGCAGAATCACGTTTGTGATGTGTGCACTCAACTGTCAGAATTGAACCTTGGTTTGGACAGAGCACTTTTGAAACACTCTTTTTGTAGAATCTGCAGGTGGATATTTGGCTAGCTTTGAGGATTTCGTTGGAAACGGTAATGTCTTCAAAGAAAATCTAGACAGAAGCATTCTCAGAAACACCTTCGTGATGTTTGCAATCAAGTCACAGAGTTGAACCTTCCGTTTCATAGAGCAGGTTGGAAACACTCTTTGTAGTATCTGGAAGTGGACATTTGGAGGGCTTTGTAGCCTATCTGGAAAAAGGAAATATCTTCCCATGAATGCGAGATAGAAGTAATCTCAGAAACATGTTTATGCTGTATCTACTCAACTAACTGTGCTGAACATTTCTGTTGATAGAGCAGTTTTGAGACACTCTTCTTTTGGAATCTGCAAGTGGATATTTGGATAGATTTGAGGATTTCGTTGGAAACGGGATTATATATCAAAAGTAGACAGCAGCATTCTCAGAAACTTCTTTGTGATGTTTGCATCCAGCTCTCAGAGTTGAACATTCCCTTTCATAGAGTAGGTTTGAAACCCTCTTTTTATAGTGTCTGGAAGCGGGCATTTGGAGCGCTTTCAGGCCTATGCTGAAAAAGGAAATATCTACCTATAGAAACTAGACAGAAGCATTCTGAGAATCACGTTTGTGATGTGGGTACTCAACTAACAGTGTTGATCCATTCTTTTGATACAGCAGTTTTGAACCACACTTTTTGTAGAATCTGCAAGTGGATATTTGGATAGCTGTGAGGATTTCGTTGGAAACGGGAATGTCTTCATAGAAAATTTAGACAGAAGCATTCTCAGAACCTTGATTGTGATGTGTGTTCTCCACTAACAGAGTTGTACCTTTCTTTTGACAGAACTGTTCTGAAACATTCTTTTTATAGAATCTGGAAGTGGATATTTGGAAAGCTTTGAGGATTTCGTTGGAAACGGGAATATCTTCAAATCAAATCTAGCCAGAAGCATTCTAAGAAACATCTTAGGGATGTTTACATTCAAGTCACAGAGTTGAACATTCCCTTTCACAGAGCAGGTTTGAAACAATCTTCTCGTACTATCTGGCAGTGGACATTTTGAGCTCCTTGGGGCCTATGCTGAAAAAGGAAATATCTTCCGACAAAAACTAGACAGAAGCATTCGCAGAATCACGTTTGTGATGTGTGCACTCAACTGTCAGAATTGAACCTTGGTTTGGACAGAGCACTTTTGAAACACTCTTTTTGTAGAATCTGCAGGTGGATATTTGGCTAGCTTTGAGGATTTCGTTGGAAACGGTAATGTCTTCAAAGAAAATCTAGACAGAAGCATTCTCAGAAACACCTTCGTGATGTTTGCAATCAAGTCACAGAGTTGAACCTTCCGTTTCATAGAGCAGGTTGGAAACACTCTTTTTGTAGTATCTGGAAGTGGACATTTGGAGGGCTTTGTAGCCTATGTGGAAAAAGGAAATATCTTCCCATGAATGCGAGATAGAAGTAATCTCAGAAACATGTTTATGCTGTATCTACTCAACTAACTGTGCTGAACATTTCTATTGATAGAGCAGTTTTGAGACACTCTTCTTTTGGAATCTGCAAGTGGATATTTGGATAGATTTGAGGATTTCGTTGGAAACGGGATTATATATAAAAAGTAGACAGCAGCATTCTCAGAAACTTCTTTGTGATGTTTGCATCCAGCTCTCAGAGTTGAACATTCCCTTTCATAGAGTAGGTTTGAAACCCTCTTTTTATAGTGTCTGGAAGCGGGCATTTGGAGCGCTTTCAGGCCTATGCTGAAAAAGGAAATATCTACCTATAGAAACTAGACAGAAGCATTCTGAGAATCACGTTTGTGATGTGGGTACTCAACTAACAGTGTTGATCCATTCTTTTGATACAGCAGTTTTGAACCACACTTTTTGTAGAATCTGCAAGTGGATATTTGGATAGCTGTGAGGATTTCGTTGGAAACGGGAATGTCTTCATAGAAAATTTAGACAGAAGCATTCTCAGAACCTTGATTGTGATGTGTGTTCTCCACTAACAGAGTTGAACCTTTCTTTTGACAGAACTGTTCTGAAACATTCTTTTTATAGAATCTGCAAGTGGATATTTGGAAAGCTTTGAGGATTTCGTTGGAAACGGGAATATCTTCAAATAAAATCTAGCCAGAAGCATTCTAAGAAACATCTTAGGGATGTTTACATTCAAGTCACAGAGTTGAACATTCCCTTTCACAGAGCAGGTTTGAAACAATCTTCTCGTACTATCTGGCAGTGGACATTTTGAGCTCCTTGGGGCCTATGCTGAAAAAGGAAATATCTTCCGACAAAAACTAGACAGAAGCATTCGCAGAATCACGTTTGTGATGTGTGCACTCAACTGTCAGAATTGAACCTTGGTTTGGACAGAGCACTTTTGAAACACTCTTTTTGTAGAATCTGCAGGTGGATATTTGGCTAGCTTTGAGGATTTCATTGGAAACGGTAATGTCTTCAAAGAAAATCTAGACAGAAGCATTCTCAGAAACACCTTCGTGATGTTTGCAATCAAGTCACAGAGTTGAACCTTCCGTTTCATAGAGCAGGTTGGAAACACTCTTATTGTAGTATCTGGAAGTGGACATTTGGAGCGCTTTCAGGCCTATGGTGAAAAAGGAAATATCTTCCCATAAAAACGACATAGAAGCTATCTCAGGAACTTGTTTATGATGCATCTAATCAACTAACAGTGTTGAACCTTTGTACTGACAGAGCAGTTTGAAACACTCTTTTTTTGGAATCTGCAAGTGGATATTTGGATCGCTTTGAGGATTTCGTTGGAAACGGGATGCAATATAAAACGTACACAGCAGCATACTCAGAAAATACTTTGCCATATTTCCATTCAAGTCACAGACTGGAACATTCCCATTCATAGAGCAGGTTGGAAACACTCTTTTTGGAGTATCTGGAAGTGGACATTTGGAGCGCTTTCTGAACTATGGTGAAAAAGGAAATATCTTCCAATGAAAACAAGACAGAAGCATTCTGAGAAACTTATTTGTGATGTGTGTCCTCAACAAACGGACTTGAACCTTTCGTTTCATGCAGTACTTCTGGAACACTCTTTTTGAAGATTCTGCATTCGGATATTTGGATAGCTTTGAGGATTTCGTTGGAAACGGGCTTACATGTAAAAATTAGACAGCAGCATTCTCAGAAACTTCTTTGTGGTGTCTGCATTCAAGTCACAGAATTGAACTTCCCCTCACATAGAGCAGTTGTGCAGCACTCTATTTGTAGTATCTCGAAGTGGACATTTGGAGGGCTTTGTAGCCTATCTGGAAAAAGGAAATATCTTCCCATGAATGCGAGATAGAAGTAATCTCAGAAACATGTTTATGCTGTATCTACTCAACTAACTGTGCTGAACATTTCTATTGATAGAGCAGTTTTGAGACACTCTTCTTTTGGAATCTGCAAGTGGATATTTGGATAGATTTGAGGATTTCGTTGGAAACGGGATTATATATAAAAAGTAGACAGCAGCATTCTCAGAAACTTCTTTGTGATGTTTGCATCCAGCTCTCAGAGTTGAACATTCCCTTTCATAGAGTAGGTTTGAAACCCTCTTTTTATAGTGTCTGGAAGCGGGCATTTGGAGCGCTTTCAGGCCTATGCTTAAAATAGGAAATATCTACCTATAGAAACTAGACAGAAGCATTCTGAGAATCACGTTTGTGATGTGGGTACTCAACTAACAGTGTTGATCCATTCTTTTGATACAGCAGTTTTGAACCACACTTTTTGTAGAATCTGCAAGTGGATATTTGGATAGCTGTGAGGATTTCGTTGGAAACGGGAATGTCTTCATAGAAAATTTAGACAGAAGCATTCTCAGAACCTTGATTGTGATGTGTGTTCTCCACTAACAGAGTTGAACCTTTCTTTTGACAGAACTGTTCTGAAACATTCTTTTTATAGAATCTGGAAGTGGATATTTGGAAAGCTTTGAGGATTTCGTTGGAAACGGGAATATCTTCAAATCAAATCTAGCCAGAAGCATTCTAAGAAACATCTTAGGGATGTTTACATTCAAGTCACAGAGTTGAACATTCCCTTTCACAGAGCAGGTTTGAAACAATCTTCTCGTACTATCTGGCAGTGGACATTTTGAGCTCCTTGGGGCCTATGCTGAAAAAGGAAATATCTTCCGACAAAAACTAGACAGAAGCATTCGCAGAATCACGTTTGTGATGTGTGCACTCAACTGTCAGAATTGAACCTTGGTTTGGACAGAGCACTTTTGAAACACTCTTTTTGTAGAATCTGCAGGTGGATATTTGGCTAGCTTTGAGGATTTCGTTGGAAACGGTAATGTCTTCAAAGAAAATCTAGACAGAAGCATTCTCAGAAACACCTTCGTGATGTTTGCAATCAAGTCACAGAGTTGAACCTTCCGTTTCATAGAGCAGGTTGGAAACACTCTTTTTGTAGTATCTGGAAGTGGACATTTGGAGGGCTTTGTAGCCTATGTGGAAAAAGGAAATATCTTCCCATGAATGCGAGATAGAAGTAATCTCAGAAACATGTTTATGCTGTATCTACTCAACTAACTGTGCTGAACATTTCTATTGATAGAGCAGTTTTGAGACACTCTTCTTTTGGAATCTGCAAGTGGATATTTGGATAGATTTGAGGATTTCGTTGGAAACGGGATTATATATAAAAAGTAGACAGCAGCATTCTCAGAAACTTCTTTGTGATGTTTGCATCCAGCTCTCAGAGTTGAACATTCCCTTTCATAGAGTAGGTTTGAAACCCTCTTTTTATAGTGTCTGGAAGCGGGCATTTGGAGCGCTTTCAGGCCTATGCTTAAAATAGGAAATATCTACCTACAGAAACTAGACAGAAGCATTCTGAGAATCACGTTTGTGATGTGGGTACTCAACTAACAGTGTTGATCCATTCTTTTGATACAGCAGTTTTGAACCACACTTTTTGTAGAATCTGCAAGAGGATATTTGGATAGCTGTGAGGATTTCGTTGGAAACGGGAATGTCTTCAAAGAAAATCTAGACAGAAGCATTCTCAGAAACACCTTCGTGATGTTTGCAATCAAGTCACAGAGTTGAACCTTCCGTTTCATAGAGCAGGTTGGAAACACTCTTATTGTAGTATCTGGAAGTGGACATTTGGAGCGCTTTCAGGCCTATGGTGAAAAAGGAAATATCTTCCCATAAAAACGACATAGAAGCTATCTCAGGAACTTGTTTATGATGCATCTAATCAACTAACAGTGTTGAACCTTTGTACTGACAGAGCACTTTGAAACACTCTTTTTTTGGAATCTGCAAGTGGATATTTGGATCACTTTGAGGATTTCGTTGGAAACGGGATGCAATATAAAACGTACACAGCAGCATACTCAGAAAATACTTTGCCATGTTTCCATTCAAGTCACAGAGTGGAACATTCCCATTCATAGAGCAGGTTGGAAACACTCTTTTTGGAGTATCTGGAAGTGGACATTTGGAGCGCTTTCTGAACTATGGTGAAAAAGGAAATATCTTCCAATGAAAACAAGACAGAAGCATTCTGAGAAACTTATTTGTGATGTGTGTCCTCAACAAACGGACTTGAACCTTTCGTTTCATGCAGTACTTCTGGAACACTCTTTTTGAAGATTCTGCATGCGGATATTTGGATAGCTTTGAGGATTTCGTTGGAAACGGGCTTACATGTAAAAATTAGACAGCAGCATTCTCAGAAACTTCTTTGTGGTGTCTGCATTCAAGTCACAGAATTGAACTTCCCCTCACATAGAGCAGTTGTGCAGCACTCTATTTGTAGTATCTCGAAGTGGACATTTGGAGGGCTTTGTAGCCTATCTGGAAAAAGGAAATATCTTCCCATGAATGCGAGATAGAAGTAATCTCAGAAACATGTTTATGCTGTATCTACTCAACTAACTGTGCTGAACATTTCTATTGATAGAGCAGTTTTGAGACACTCTTCTTTTGGAATCTGCAAGTGGATATTTGGATAGATTTGAGGATTTCGTTGGAAACGGGATTATATATAAAAAGTAGACAGCAGCATTCTCAGAAACTTCTTTGTGATGTTTGCATCCAGCTCTCAGAGTTGAACATTCCCTTTCATAGAGTAGGTTTGAAACCCTCTTTTTATAGTGTCTGCAAGCGGGCATTTGGAGCGCTTTCAGGCCTATGCTTAAAATAGGAAATATCTACCTACAGAAACTAGACAGAAGCATTCTGAGAATCACGTTTGTGATGTGGGTACTCAACTAACAGTGTTGATCCATTCTTTTGATACAGCAGTTTTGAACCACACTTTTTGTAGAATCTGCAAGAGGATATTTGGATAGCTGTGAGGATTTCGTTGGAAACGGGAATGTCTTCAAAGAAAATCTAGACAGAAGCATTCTCAGAAACACCTTCGTGATGTTTGCAATCAAGTCACAGAGTTGAACCTTCCGTTTCATAGAGCAGGTTGGAAACACTCTTATTGTAGTATCTGGAAGTGGACATTTGGAGCGCTTTCAGGCCTATGGTGAAAAAGGAAATATCTTCCCATAAAAACGACATAGAAGCTATCTCAGGAACTTGTTTATGATGCATCTAATCAACTAACAGTGTTGAACCTTTGTACTGACAGAGCAGTTTGAAACACTCTTTTTTTGGAATCTGCAAGTGGATATTTGGATCGCTTTGAGGATTTCGTTGGAAACGGGATGCAATATAAAACGTACACAGCAGCATACTCAGAAAATACTTTGCCATATTTCCATTCAAGTCACAGAGTGGAACATTCCCATTCATAGAGCAGGTTGGAAACACTCTTTTTGGAGTATCTGGAAGTGGACATTTGGAGCGCTTTCTGAACTATGGTGAAAAAGGAAATATCTTCCAATGAAAACAAGACAGAAGCATTCTGAGAAACTTATTTGTGATGTGTGTCCTCAACAAACGGACTTGAACCTTTCGTTTCATGCAGTACTTCTGGAACACTCTTTTTGAAGATTCTGCATTCGGATATTTGGATAGCTTTGAGGATTTCGTTGGAAACGGTCTTACATGTAAAAATTAGACAGCAGCATTCTCAGAAACTTCTTTGTGGTGTCTGCATTCAAGTCACAGAATTGAACTTCCCCTCACATAGAGCAGTTGTGCAGCACTCTATTTGTAGTATCTGGAAGTGGACATTTGGAGGGCTTTGTAGCCTATCTGGAAAAAGGAAATATCTTCCCATGAATGCGAGATAGAAGTAATCTCAGAAACGTGTTTATGCTGTATCTACTCAACTAACTGTGCTGAACATTTCTATTGATAGAGCAGTTTTGAGACACTCTTCTTTTGGAATCTGCAAGTGGATATTTGGATAGATTTGAGGATTTCGTTGGAAACGGGATTATATATAAAAAGTAGACAGCAGCATTCTCAGAAACTTCTTTGTGATGTTTGCATCCAGCTCTCAGAGTTGAACATTCCCTTTCATAGAGTAGGTTTGAAACCCTCTTTTTATAGTGTCTGGAAGCGGGCATTTGGAGCGCTTTCAGGCCTATGCTTAAAATAGGAAATATCTACCTACAGAAACTAGACAGAAGCATTCTGAGAATCACGTTTGTGATGTGGGTACTCAACTAACAGTGTTGATCCATTCTTTTGATACAGCAGTTTTGAACCACACTTTTTGTAGAATCTGCAAGAGGATATTTGGATAGCTGTGAGGATTTCGTTGGAAACGGGAATGTCTTCAAAGAAAATGCTAGACAGAAGCATTCTCAGAACCTTGATTGTGATGTGTGTTCTCCACTAACAGAGTTGAAACTTTCTTTTGACAGAACTGTTCTGAAACATTCTTTTTATAGAATCTGGAAGTGGATATTTGGAAAGCTTTGAGGATTTCGTTGGAAACGGGAATATCTTCAAATCAAATCTAGCCAGAAGCATTCTAAGAAACAGCTTAGGGATGTTTACATTCAAGTCACAGAGTTGAACATTCCCTTTCACAGAGCAGGTTTGAAACAATCTTCTCGTACTATCTGGCAGTGGACATTTTGAGCTCCTTGGGGCCTATGCTGAAAAAGGAAATATCTTCCGACAAAAACTAGACAGAAGCATTCGCAGAATCACGTTTGTGATGTGTGCACTCAACTGTCAGAATTGAACCTTGGTTTGGAGAGAGCACTCTTGAAACACTCTTTTTGTAGAATCTGCAGGTGGATATTTGGCTAGCTTTGAGGATTTCGTTGGAAACGGTAATGTCTTCAAAGAAAATCTAGACAGAAGCATTCTCAGAAACACCTTCGTGATGTTTGCAATCAAGTCACAGAGTTGAACCTTCCGTTTCATAGAGCAGGTTGGAAACACTCTTTTTGTAGTATCTGGAAGTGGACATTTGGAGGGCTTTGTAGCCTATCTGGAAAAAGGAAATATCTTCCCATGAATGCGAGATAGAAGTAATCTCAGAAAGATGTTTATGCTGTATCTACTCAACTAACTGTGCTGAACATTTCTATTGATAGAGCAGTTTTGAGACACTCTTCTTTTGGAATCTGCAAGTGGATATTTGGATAGATTTGAGGATTTCGTTGGAAACGGGATTATATATAAAAAGTAGACAGCAGCATTCTCAGAAACTTCTTTGTGATGTTTGCATCCAGCTCTCAGAGTTGAACATTCCCTTTCATAGAGTAGGTTTGAAACCCTCTTTTTATAGTGTCTGGAAGCGGGCATTTGGAGCGCTTTCAGGCCTATGCTGAAAAAGGAAATATCTACCTATAGAAACTAGACAGAAGCATTCTGAGAATCACGTTTGTGATGTGGGTACTCAACTAACAGTGTTGATCCATTCTTTTGATACAGCAGTTTTGAACCACACTTTTTGTAGAATCTGCAAGTGGATATTTGGATAGCTGTGAGGATTTCGTTGGAAACGGGAATGTCTTCATAGAAAATTTAGACAGAAGCATTCTCAGAACCTTGATTGTGATGTGTGTTCTCCACTAACAGAGTTGAACCTTTCTTTTGACAGAACTGTTCTGAAACATTCTTTTTATAGAATCTGGAAGTGGATATTTGGAAAGCTTTGAGGATTTCGTTGGAAACGGGAATATCTTCAAATCAAATCTAGCCAGAAGCATTCTAAGAAACATCTTAGGGATGTTTACATTCAAGTCACAGAGTTGAACATTCCCTTTCACAGAGCAGGTTTGAAACAATCTTCTCGTACTATCTGGCAGTGGACATTTTGAGCTCCTTGGGGCCTATGCTGAAAAAGGAAATATCTTCCGACAAAAACTAGACAGAAGCATTCGCAGAATCACGTTTGTGATGTGTGCACTCAACTGTCAGAATTGAACCTTGGTTTGGAGAGAGCACTCTTGAAACACTCTTTTTGTAGAATCTGCAGGTGGATATTTGGCTAGCTTTGAGGATTTCGTTGGAAACGGGAATGTCTTCAAAGAAAATCTAGACAGAAGCATTCTCAGAAACACCTTCGTGATGTTTGCAATCAAGTCACAGAGTTGAACCTTCCGTTTCATAGAGCAGGTTGGAAACACTCTTTTTGTAGTATCTGGAAGTGGACATTTGGAGTGCTTTCAGGCCTATGGTGAAAAAGGAAATATCTTCCCATAAAAACGACATAGAAGCTATCTCAGGAACTTGTTTATGATGCATCTAATCAACTAACAGTGTTGAACCTTTGTACTGACAGAGCAGTTTGAAACACTCTTTTTTTGGAATCTGCAAGTGGATATTTGGATCGCTTTGAGGATTTCGTTGGAAACGGGATGCAATATAAAACGTACACAGCAGCATACTCAGAAAATACTTTGCCATATTTCCATTCAAGTCACAGAGTGGAACATTCCCATTCATAGAGCAGGTTTGAAACACTCTTTTTGGAGTATCTGGAAGTGGACATTTGGAGCGCTTTCTGAACTATGGTGAAAAAGGAAATATCTTCCAATGAAAACAAGACAGAAGCATTCTGAGAAACTTATTTGTGATGTGTGTCCTCAACAAACGGACTTGAACCTTTCGTTTCATGCAGTACTTCTGGAACACTCTTTTTGAAGATTCTGCATGCGGATATTTGGATAGCTTTGAGGATTTCGTTGGAAACGGGCTTACATGTAAAAATTAGACAGCAGCATTCTCAGAAACTTCTTTGTGGTGTCTGCATTCAAGTCACAGAATTGAACTTCCCCTCACATAGAGCAGTTGTGCAGCACTCTATTTGTAGTATCTGGAAGTGGACATTTGGAGGGCTTTGTAGCCTATCTGGAAAAAGGAAATATCTTCCCATGAATGCGAGATAGAAGTAATCTCAGAAACATGTTTATGCTGTATCTACTCAACTAACTGTGCTGAACATTTCTATTGATAGAGCAGTTTTGAGACACTCTTCTTTTGGAATCTGCAAGTGGATATTTGGATAGATTTGAGGATTTCGTTGGAAACGGGATTATATATAAAAAGTAGACAGCAGCATTCTCAGAAACTTCTTTGTGATGTTTGCATCCAGCTCTCAGAGTTGAACATTCCCTTTCATAGAGTAGGTTTGAAACCCTCTTTTTATAGTGTCTGGAAGCGGGCATTTGGAGCGCTTTCAGGCCTATGCTTAAAATAGGAAATATCTACCTACAGAAACTAGACAGAAGCATTCTGAGAATCACGTTTGTGATGTGGGTACTCAACTAACAGTGTTGATCCATTCTTTTGATACAGCAGTTTTGAACCACACTTTTTGTAGAATCTGCAAGAGGATATTTGGATAGCTGTGAGGATTTCGTTGGAAACGGGAATGTCTTCAAAGAAAATCTAGACAGAAGCATTCTCAGAAACACCTTCGTGATGTTTGCAATCAAGTCACAGAGTTGAACCTTCCGTTTCATAGAGCAGGTTGGAAACACTCTTATTGTAGTATCTGGAAGTGGACATTTGGAGCGCTTTCAGGCCTATGGTGAAAAAGGAAATATCTTCCCATAAAAACGACATAGAAGCTATCTCAGGAACTTGTTTATGATGCATCTAATCAACTAACAGTGTTGAACCTTTGTACTGACAGAGCACTTTGAAACACTCTTTTTTTGGAATCTGCAAGTGGATATTTGGATCGCTTTGAGGATTTCGTTGGAAACGGGATGCAATATAAAACGTACACAGCAGCATACTCAGAAAATACTTTGCCATATTTCCATTCAAGTCACAGAGTGGAACATTCCCATTACTAGAGCAGGTTGGAAACACTCTTTTTGGAGTATCTGGAAGTGGACATTTGGAGCGCTTTCTGAACTATGGTGAAAAAGGAAATATCTTCCAATGAAAACAAGACAGAAGCATTCTGAGAAACTTATTTGTGATGTGTGTCCTCAACAAACGGACTTGAACCTTTCGTTTCATGCAGTACTTCTGGAACACTCTTTTTGAAGATTCTGCATGCGGATATTTGGATAGCTTTGAGGATTTCGTTGGAAACGGGCTTACATGTAAAAATTAGACAGCAGCATTCTCAGAAACTTCTTTGTGGTGTCTGCATTCAAGTCACAGAATTGAACATCCCCTCACATAGAGCAGTTGTGCAGCACTCTATTTGTAGTATCTGGAAGTGGACATTTGGAGGGCTTTGTAGCCTATGTGGAAAAAGGAAATATCTTCCCATGAATGCGAGATAGAAGTAATCTCAGAAACATGTTTATGCTGTACCTACTCAACTAACTGTGCTGAACATTTCTATTGATAGAGCAGTTTTGAGACACTCTTCTTTTGGAATCTGCAAGTGGATATTTGGATAGATTTGAGGATTTCGTTGGAAACGGGATTATATATCAAAAGTAGACAGCAGCATTCTCAGAAACTTCTTTGTGATGTTTGCATCCAGCTCTCAGAGTTGAACATTCCCTTTCATAGAGTAGGTTTGAAACCCTCTTTTTATAGTGTCTGGAAGCGGGCATTTGGAGCGCTTTCAGGCCTATGCTGAAAAAGGAAATATCTACCTATAGAAACTAGACAGAAGCATTCTGAGAATCACGTTTGTGATGTGGGTACTCAACTAACAGTGTTGATCCATTCTTTTGATACAGCAGTTTTGAACCACACTTTTTGTAGAATCTGCAAGTGGATATTTGGATAGCTGTGAGGATTTCGTTGGAAACGGGAATGTCTTCATAGAAAATTTAGACAGAAGCATTCTCAGAACCTTGATTGTGATGTGTGTTCTCCACTAACAGAGTTGAACCTTTCTTTTGACAGAACTGTTCTGAAACATTCTTTTTGTAGAATCTGGAAGTGGATATTTGGAAAGCTTTGAGGATTTCGTTGGAAACGGGAATATCTTCAAATAAAATCTAGCCAGAAGCATTCTAAGAAACATCTTAGTGATGTTTACATTCAAGTCACAGAGTTGAACATTCCCTTTCACAGAGCAGGTTTGAAACAATCTTCTCGTACTATCTGGCAGTGGACATTTTGAGCTCCTTGGGGCCTATGCTGAAAAAGGAAATATCTTCCGACAAAAACTAGACAGAAGCATTCGCAGAATCACGTTTGTGATGTGTGCACTCAACTGTCAGAATTGAACCTTTGTTTGGACAGAGCACTTTTGAAACACTCTTTTTGTAGAATCTGCAGGTGGATATTTGACTAGCTTTGAGGATTTCGTTGGAAACGGTAATGTCTTCAAAGAAAATCTAGACAGAAACATTCTCAGAAACACCTTCGTGATGTTTGCAATCAAGTCACAGAGTTGAACCTTCCGTTTCGTAGAGCAGGTTGGAAACACTCTTTTTGTAGTATCTGGAAGTGGACATTTGGAGCGCTTTCAGGCCTATGGTGAAGAAGGAAATATCTTCCCATAAAAACGACATAGAAGCTATCTCAGGAACTTGTTTATGATGCATCCAATCAACTAACAGTGTTGAACCTTTGTACTGACAGAGCAGTGTGAAACACTCTTTTTTTTGGAATCTGCAAGTGGATATTTGGATCGCTTTGAGGATTTCGTTGGAAACGGGATGCAATATAAAACGTACACAGCAGCATACTCAGAAAATACTTTGCCATATTTCCATTCAAGTCACAGAGTGTAACATTCCCATTCATAGAGCAGGTTTGACACACTCTTTTTGTAGTATCTGGAAGTGGACATTTGGAGCGCTTTCTGAACTATGGTGAAAAAGGAAATATCTTCCAATGAAAACAAGACAGAAGCATTCTGAGAAACTTATGTGTGATGTGTGTCCTCAACTAACGGACTTGAACCTTTCGTTTCATGCAGTACTTCTGGAACACTCTTTTTGAAGATTCTGCATGCGGATATTTGGATAGCTTTGAGGATTTCGTTGGAAACGGGCTTACATATAAAAATTAGACAGCAGCATTCTCAGAAACTTCTCTGTGGTGTCTGCATCCAAGTCACAGAATTGAACATCCCCTCACATAGAGCAGCTGTGCAGCACTCTATTTGTAGTATCTCGAAGTGGACATTTGGAGGGCTTTGTAGCCTATCTGGAAAAAGGAAATATCTTCCCATGAATGCGAGATAGAAGTAATCTCAGAAACATGTTTATGCTGTATCTACTCAACTAACTGTGCTGAACATTTCTATTGATAGAGCAGTTTTGAGACACTCTTCTTTTGGAATCTGCAAGTGGATATTTGGATAGATTTGAGGATTTCGTTGGCAACGGGATTATATATAAAAAGTAGACAGCCGCATTCTCAGAAACTTCTTTGTGATGTTTGCATCCAGCTCTCAGAGTTGAACATTCCCTTTCATAGAGAAGGTTTGAAACCCTCTTTTTATAGTGTGTGGAAGTGGGCATTTGGAGCGCTTTCAGGCCTATGCTGAAAAAGGAAATATCTACCTATAGAAACTAGACAGAAGCATTCTGAGAATCACGTTTGTGATGTGGGTACTCAACTAACAGTGTTGATCCATTCTTTTGATACTGCAGTTTTGAACCACACGTTTGTAGAATCTGCAAGTGGATATTTGGATAGCTGTGAGGATTTCCTTGGAAACGGGAATGCCTTCATGGAAAATTTAGACAGAAGCATTCTCAGAACCTTGATTGTGATGTGTGTTCTCCACTAACAGAGTTGAACCTTTCTTTTGACAGAACTGTTCTGAAACATTCTTTTTATAGAATCTGGAAGTGGATATTTGGAAAGCTTTGAGGATTTCGTTGGAAACGGGAATATCTTCAAATCAAATCTAGCCAGAAGCATTCTAAGAAACATCTTAGGGATGTTTACATTCAAGTCACAGAGTTGAACATTCCCTTTCACAGAGCAGGTTTGAAACAATCTTCTCGTACTATCTGGAAGTGGACATTTAGAGCTCCTTGTGGCCTATGCTGAAAAAGGAAATATCTTCCGACAAAAACTAGACAGAAGCATTCGCAGAATCACGTTTGTGATGTGTGCACTGAACTGTCAGAATTGAACCTTTGTTTGGACAGAGCACTTTTGAAACACTCTTTTTGTAGAATCTGCAGGTGGATATTTGACTAGCTTTGAGGATTTCGTTGGAAACGGTAATGTCTTCAAAGAAAATCTAGACAGAAACATTCTCAGAAACACCTTCGTGATGTTTGCAATCAAGTCACAGAGTTGAAGCTTCCGTTTCATAGAGCAGGTTGGAAACACTCTTTTTGTAGTATCTGGAAGTGGACATTTGGAGTGCTTTCAGGCCTATGGTGAAGAAGGAAATATCTTCCCATAAAAACGACATAGAAGCTATCTCAGGAACTTGTTTATGATGCATCTAATCAACTAACAGTGTTGAACCTTTGTACTGACAGAGCAGTTTGAAACACTCTTTTTTTGGAATCTGCAAGTGGATATTTGGATCGCTTTGAGGATTTCGTTGGAAACGGGATGCAATATAAAACGTACACAGCAGCATACTCAGAAAATACTTTGCCATATTTCCATTCAAGTCACAGAGTGGAACATTCCCATTCATAGAGCAGGTTGGAAACACTCTTTTTGGAGTATCTGGAAGTGGACATTTGGAGCGCTTTCTGAACTATGGTGAAAAAGGAAATATCTTCCAATGAAAACAAGACAGAAGCATTCTGAGAAACTTATTTGTGATGTGTGTCCTCAACAAACGGACTTGAACCTTTCGTTTCATGCAGTACTTCTGGAACACTCTTTTTGAAGATTCTGCATGCGGATATTTGGATAGCTTTGAGGATTTCGTTGGAAACGGGCTTACATGTAAAAATTAGACAGCAGCATTCTCAGAAACTTCTTTGTGGTGTCTGCATTCAAGTCACAGAATTGAACTTCCCCTCACATAGAGCAGTTGTGCAGCACTCTATTTGTAGTATCTGGAAGTGGACATTTGGAGGGCTTTGTAGCCTATCTGGAAAAAGGAAATATCTTCCCATGAATGCGAGATAGAAGTAATCTCAGAAACATGTTTATGCTGTATCTTCTCAACTAACTGTGCTGAACATTTCTATTGATAGAGCAGTTTTGAGACACTCTTCTTTTGGAATCTGCAAGTGGATATTTGGATAGATTTGAGGATTTCGTTGGAAACGGGATTATATATAAAAAGTAGACAGCAGCATTCTCAGAAACTTCTTTGTGATGTTTGCATCCAGCTCTCAGAGTTGAACATTCCCTTTCATAGAGTAGGTTTGAAACCCTCTTTTTATAGTGTCTGGAAGCGGGCATTTGGAGCGCTTTCAGGCCTATGCTGAAAAAGGAAATATCTACCTATAGAAACTAGACAGAAGCATTCTGAGAATCACGTTTGTGATGTGGGTACTCAACTAACAGTGTTGATCCATTCTTTTGATACAGCAGTTTTGAACCACACTTTTTGTAGAATCTGCAAGTGGATATTTGGATAGCTGTGAGGATTTCGTTGGAAACGGGAATGTCTTCATAGAAAATTTAGACAGAAGCATTCTCAGAACCTTGATTGTGATGTGTGTTCTCCACTAACAGAGTTGAACCTTTCTTTTGACAGAACTGTTCTGAAACATTCTTTTTATAGAATCTGGAAGTGGATATTTGGAAAGCTTTGAGGATTTCGTTGGAAACGGGAATATCTTCAAATCAAATCTAGCCAGAAGCATTCTAAGAAACATCTTAGGGATGTTTACATTCAAGTCACAGAGTTGAACATTCCCTTTCACAGAGCAGGTTTGAAACAATCTTCTCGTACTATCTGGCAGTGGACATTTTGAGCTCCTTGGGGCCTATGCTGAAAAAGGAAATATCTTCCGACAAAAACTAGACAGAAGCATTCGCAGAATCACGTTTGTGATGTGTGCACTCAACTGTCAGAATTGAACCTTGGTTTGGACAGAGCACTTTTGAAACACTCTTTTTGTAGAATCTGCAGGTGGATATTTGGCTAGCTTTGAGGATTTCGTTGGAAACGGTAATGTCTTCAAAGAAAATCTAGACAGAAGCATTCTCAGAAACACCTTCGTGATGTTTGCAATCAAGTCACAGAGTTGAACCTTCCGTTTCATAGAGCAGGTTGGAAACACTCTTTTTGTAGTATCTGGAAGTGGACATTTGGAGGGCTTTGTAGCCTATCTGGAAAAAGGAAATATCTTCCCATGAATGCGAGATAGAAGTAATCTCAGAAACATGTTTATGCTGTATCTACTCAACTAACTGTGCTGAACATTTCTATTGATAGAGCAGTTTTGAGACACTCTTCTTTTGGAATCTGCAAGTGGATATTTGGATAGATTTGAGGATTTCGTTGGAAACGGGATTATATATCAAAAGTAGACAGCAGCATTCTCAGAAACTTCTTTGTGATGTTTGCATCCAGCTCTCAGAGTTGAACATTCCCTTTCATAGAGTAGGTTTGAAACCCTCTTTTTATAGTGTCTGGAAGCGGGCATTTGGAGCGCTTTCAGGCCTATGCTGAAAAAGGAAATATCTACCTATAGAAACTAGACAGAAGCATTCTGAGAATCACGTTTGTGATGTGGGTACTCAACTAACAGTGTTGATCCATTCTTTTGATACAGCAGTTTTGAACCACACTTTTTGTAGAATCTGCAAGTGGATATTTGGATAGCTGTGAGGATTTCGTTGGAAACGGGAATGTCTTCATAGAAAATTTAGACAGAAGCATTCTCAGAACCTTGATTGTGATGTGTGTTCTCCACTAACAGAGTTGAACCTTTCTTTTGACAGAACTGTTCTGAAACATTCTTTTTATAGAATCTGGAAGTGGATATTTGGAAAGCTTTGAGGATTTCGTTGGAAACGGGAATATCTTCAAATCAAATCTAGCCAGAAGCATTCTAAGAAACATCTTAGGGATGTTTACATTCAAGTCACAGAGTTGAACATTCCCTTTCACAGAGCAGGTTTGAAACAATCTTCTCGTACTATCTGGCAGTGGACATTTTGAGCTCCTTGGGGCCTATGCTGAAAAAGGAAATATCTTCCGACAAAAACTAGACAGAAGCATTCGCAGAATCACGTTTGTGATGTGTGCACTCAACTGTCAGAATTGAACCTTGGTTTGGACAGAGCACTTTTGAAACACTCTTTTTGTAGAATCTGCAGGTGGATATTTGGCTAGCTTTGAGGATTTCGTTGGAAACGGTAATGTCTTCAAAGAAAATCTAGACAGAAGCATTCTCAGAAACACCTTCGTGATGTTTACAATCAAGTCACAGAGTTGAACCTTCCGTTTCATAGAGCAGGTTGGAAACACTCTTTTTGTAGTATCTGGAAGTGGACATTTGGAGCGCTTTCAGGCCTATGGTGAAAAAGGAAATATCTTCCCATAAAAACGACATAGAAGCTATCTCAGGAACTTGTTTATGATGCATCTAATCAACTAACAGTGTTGAACCTTTGTACTGACAGAGCAGTTTGAAACACTCTTTTTTTGGAATCTGCAAGTGGATATTTGGATCGCTTTGAGGATTTCGTTGGAAACGGGATGCAATATAAAACGTACACAGCAGCATACTCAGAAAATACTTTGCCATATTTCCATTCAAGTCACAGAGTGGAAGATTCCCATTCATAGAGCAGGTTGGAAACACTCTTTTTGGAGTATCTGGAAGTGGACATTTGGAGCGCTTTCTGAACTATGGTGAAAAAGGAAATATCTTCCAATGAAAACAAGACAGAAGCATTCTGAGAAACTTATTTGTGATGTGTGTCCTCAACAAACGGACTTGAACCTTTCGTTTCATGCAGTACTTCTGGAACACTCTTTTTGAAGATTCTGCATGCGGATATTTGGATAGCTTTGAGGATTTCGTTGGAAACGGGCTTACATGTAAAAATTAGACAGCAGCATTCTCAGAAACTTCTTTGTGGTGTCTGCATTCAAGTCACAGAATTGAACTTCCCCTCACATAGAGCAGTTGTGCAGCACTCTATTTGTAGTATCTGGAAGTGGACATTTGGAGGGCTTTGTAGCCTATCTGGAAAAAGGAAATATCTTCCCATGAATGCGAGATAGAAGTAATCTCAGAAACATGTTTATGCTGTATCTACTCAACTAACTGTGCTGAACATTTCTATTGATAGAGCAGTTTTGAGACACTCTTCTTTTGGAATCTGCAAGTGGATATTTGGATAGATTTGAGGATTTCGTTGGAAACGGGATTATATATAAAAAGTAGACAGCAGCATTCTCAGAAACTTCTTTGTGATGTTTGCATCCAGCTCTCAGAGTTGAACATTCCCTTTCATAGAGTAGGTTTGAAACCCTCTTTTTATAGTGTCTGGAAGCGGGCATTTGGAGCGCTTTCAGGCCTATGCTTAAAATAGGAAATATCTACCTACAGAAACTAGACAGAAGCATTCTGAGAATCACGTTTGTGATGTGGGTACTCAACTAACAGTGTTGATCCATTCTTTTGATACAGCAGTTTTGAACCACACTTTTTGTAGAATCTGCAAGAGGATATTTGGATAGCTGTGAGGATTTCGTTGGAAACGGGAATGTCTTCAAAGAAAATCTAGACAGAAGCATTCTCAGAAACACCTTCGTGATGTTTGCAATCAAGTCACAAAGTTGAACCTTCCGTTTCATAGAGCAGGTTGGAAACACTCTTATTGTAGTATCTGGATGTGGACATTTGGAGCGCTTTCAGGCCTATGGTGAAAAAGGAAATATCTTCCCATAAAAACGACATAGAAGCTATCTCAGGAACTTGTTTATGATGCATCTAATCAACTAACAGTGTTGAACCTTTGTACTGACAGAGCAGTTTGAAACACTCTTTTTTTGGAATCTGCAAGTGGATATTTGGATCGCTTTGAGGATTTCGTTGGAAACGGGATGCAATATAAAACGTACACAGCAGCATACTCAGAAAATACTTTGCCATATTTCCATTCAAGTCACAGAGTGGAACATTCCCATTCATAGAGCAGGTTTGAAACACTCTTTTTGGAGTATCTGGAAGTGGACATTTGGAGCGCTTTCTGAACTATGGTGAAAAAGGAAATATCTTCCAATGAAAACAAGACAGAAGCATTCTGAGAAACTTATTTGTGATGTGTGTCCTCAACAAACGGACTTGAACCTTTCGTTTCATGCAGTACTTCTGGAACACTCTTTTTGAAGATTCTGCATGCGGATATTTGGATAGCTTTGAGGATTTCGTTGGAAACGGGCTTACATGTAAAAATTAGACAGCAGCATTCTCAGAAACTTCTTTGTGGTGTCTGCATTCAAGTCACAGAATTGAACATCCCCTCACATAGAGCAGTTGTGCAGCACTCTATTTGAAGTATCTGGAAGTGGACATTTGGAGGGCTTTGTAGCCTATCTGGAAAAAGGAAATATCTTCCCATGAATGCGAGATAGAAGTAATCTCAGAAACATGTTTATGCTGTATCTACTCAACTAACTGTGCTGAACATTTCTATTGATAGAGCAGTTTTGAGACACTCTTCTTTTGGAATCTGCAAGTGGATATTTGGATAGATTTGAGGATTTCGTTGGAAACGGGATTATATATCAAAAGTAGACAGCAGCATTCTCAGAAACTTCTTTGTGATGTTTGCATCCAGCTCTCAGAGTTGAACATTCCCTTTCATAGAGTAGGTTTGAAACCCTCTTTTTATAGTGTCTGGAAGCGGGCATTTGGAGCGCTTTCAGGCCTATGCTGAAAAAGGAAATATCTACCTATAGAAACTAGACAGAAGCATTCTGAGAATCACGTTTGTGATGTGGGTACTCAACTAACAGTGTTGATCCATTCTTTTGATACAGCAGTTTTGAACCACACTTTTTGTAGAATCTGCAAGTGGATATTTGGATAGCTGTGAGGATTTCGTTGGAAACGGGAATGTCTTCATAGAAAATTTAGACAGAAGCATTCTCAGAACCTTGATTGTGATGTGTGTTCTCCACTAACAGAGTTGAACCTTTCTTTTGACAGAACTGTTATGAAACATTCTTTTTATAGAATCTGGAAGTGGATATTTGGAAAGCTTTGAGGATTTCGTTGGAAACGGGAATATCTTCAAATAAAATCTAGCCAGAAGCATTCTAAGAAACATCTTAGGGATGTTTACATTCAAGTCACAGAGTTGAACATTCCCTTTCACAGAGCAGGTTTGAAACAATCTTCTCGTACTATCTGGCAGTGGACATTTTGAGCTCCTTGGGGCCTATGCTGAAAAAGGAAATATCTTCCGACAAAAACTAGACAGAAGCATTCGCAGAATCACGTTTGTGATGTGTGCACTCAACTGTCAGAATTGAACCTTGGTTTGGACAGAGCACTTTTGAAACACTCTTTTTGTAGAATCTGCAGGTGGATATTTGGCTAGCTTTGAGGATTTCGTTGGAAACGGTAATGTCTTCAAAGAAAATCTAGACAGAAGCATTCTCAGAAACAACTTCGTGATGTTTGCAATCAAGTCACAGAGTTGAACCTTCCGTTTCATAGAGCAGGTTGGAAACACTCTTTTGTAGTATCTGGAAGTGGACATTTGGAGGGCTTTGTAGCCTATCTGGAAAAAGGAAATATCTTCCCATGAATGCGAGATAGAAGTAATCTCAGAAACATGTTTATGCTGTATCTACTCAACTAACTGTGCTGAACATTTCTATTGATAGAGCAGTTTTGAGACACTCTTCTTTTGGAATCTGCAAGTGGATATTTGGATAGATTTGAGGATTTCGTTGGAAACGCGATTATATATAAAAAGTAGACAGCAGCATTCTCAGAAACTTCTTTGTGATGTTTGCATCCAGCTCTCAGAGTTGAGCATTCCCTTTCATAGAGTAGGTTTGAAACCCTCTTTTTATAGTGTCTGGAAGCGGGCATTTGGAGCGCTTTCAGGCCTATGCTTAAAATAGGAAATATCTACCTACAGAAACTAGACAGAAGCATTCTGAGAATCACGTTTGTGATGTGGGTACTCAACTAACAGTGTTGATCCATTCTTTTGATACAGCAGTTTTGAACCACACTTTTTGTAGAATCTGCAAGTGGATATTTGGATAGCTGTGAGGATTTCGTTGGAAACGGGAATGTCTTCATAGAAAATTTAGACAGAAGCATTCTCAGAACCTTGATTGTGATGTGTGTTCTCCACTAACAGAGTTGAACCTTTCTTTTGACAGAACTGTTCTGAAACATTCTTTTTATAGAATCTGGAAGTGGATATTTGGAAAGCTTTGAGGATTTCATTGGAAACGGGAATATCTTCAAATAAAATCTAGCCAGAAGCATTCTAAGAAACATCGTAGGGATGTTTAGATTCAAGTCACAGAGTTGAACATTCCCTTTCACAGAGCAGGTTTGAAACAATCTTCTCGTACTATCTGGCAGTGGACATTTTGAGCTCCTTGGGGCCTATGCTGAAAAAGGAAATATCTTCCGACAAAAACTAGACAGAAGCATTCGCAGAATCACGTTTGTGATGTGTGCACTCAACTGTCAGAATTGAACCTTGGTTTGGACAGAGCACTTTTGAAACACTCTTTTTGTAGAATCTGCAGGTGGATATTTGGCTAGCTTTGAGGATTTCGTTGGAAACGGTAATGTCTTCAAAGAAAATCTAGACAGAAGCATTCTCAGAAACACCTTCATGATGTTTGCAATCAAGTCACAGAGTTGAACCTTCCGTTTCATAGAGCAGGTTGGAAACACTCTTTTTGTAGTATCTGGAAGTGGACATTTGGAAGGCTTTGTAGCCTATGTGGAAAAAGGAAATATCTTCCCATGAATGCGAGATAGAAGTAATCTCAGAAACATGTTTATGCTGTATCTACTCAACTAACTGTGCTGAACATTTCTATTGATAGAGCAGTTTTGAGACACTCTTCTTTTGGAATCTGCAAGTGGATATTTGGATAGATTTGAGGATTTCGTTGGAAACGGGATTATATATAAAAAGTAGACAGCAGCATTCTCAGAAACTTCTTTGTGATGTTTGCATCCAGCTCTCAGAGTTGAACATTCCCTTTCATAGAGTAGGTTTGAAACCCTCTTTTTATAGTGTCTGGAAGCGGGCATTTGGAGCGCTTTCAGGCCTATGCTGAAAAAGGAAATATCTACCTATAGAAACTAGACAGAAGCATTCTGAGAATCACGTTTGTGATGTGGGTACTCAACTAACAGTGTTGATCCATTCTTTTGATACAGCAGTTTTGAACCACACTTTTTGTAGAATCTGCAAGTGGATATTTGGATAGCTGTGAGGATTTCGTTGGAAACGGGAATGTCTTCATAGAAAATTTAGACAGAAGCATTCTCAGAACCTTGATTGTGATGTGTGTTCTCCACTAACAGAGTTGAACCTTTCTTTTGACAGAACTGTTCTGAAACATTCTTTTTATAGAATCTGGAAGTGGATATTTGGAAAGCTTTGAGGATTTCGTTGGAAACGGGAATATCTTCAAATAAAATCTAGCCAGAAGCATTCTAAGAAACATCTTAGGGATGTTTACATTCAAGTCACAGAGTTGAACATTCCCTTTCACAGAGCAGGTTTGAAACAATCTTCTCGTACTATCTGGCAGTGGACATTTTGAGCTCCTTGGGGCCTATGCTGAAAAAGGAAATATCTTCCGACAAAAACTAGACAGAAGCATTCGCAGAATCACGTTTGTGATGTGTGCACTCAACTGTCAGAATTGAACCTTGGTTTGGACAGAGCACTTTTGAAACACTCTTTTTGTAGAATCTGCAGGTGGATATTTAGCTAGCTTTGAGGATTTCGTTGGAAACGGTAATGTCTTCAAAGAAAATCTAGACAGAAGCATTCTCAGAAACACCTTCGTGATGTTTGCAATCAAGTCACAGAGTTCAACCTTCCGTTTCATAGAGCAGGTTGGAAACACTCTTTTTGTAGTATCTGGAAGTGGACATTTGGAGGGCTTTGTAGCCTATCTGGAAAAAGGAAATATCTTCCCATGAATGCGAGATAGAAGCTATCTCAGGAACTTGTTTATGATGCATCTAATCAACTAACAGTGTTGAACCTTTGTACTGACAGAGCAGTTTGAAACACTCTTTTTTTGGAATCTGCAAGTGGATATTTGGATCGCTTTGAGGATTTCGTTGGAAACGGGATGCAATATAAAACGTACACAGCAGCATACTCAGAAAATACTTTGCCATATTTCCATTCAAGTCACAGAGTGGAACATTCCCATTCATAGAGCAGGTTGGAAACACTCTTTTTGGAGTATCTGGAAGTGGACATTTGGAGCGCTTTCTGAACTATGGTGAAAAAGGAAATATCTTCCAATGAAAACAAGACAGAAGCATTCTGAGAAACTTATTTGTGATGTGTGTCCTCAACAAACGGACTTGAACCTTTCGTTTCATGCAGTACTTCTGGAACACTCTTTTTGAAGATTCTGCATGCGGATATTTGGATAGCTTTGAGGATTTCGTTGGAAACGGGCTTACATGTAAAAATTAGACAGCAGCATTCTCAGAAACTTCTTTGTGGTGTCTGCATTCAAGTCACAGAATTGAACTTCCCCTCACATAGAGCAGTTGTGCAGCACTCTATTTGTAGTATCTGGAAGTGGACATTTGGAGGGCTTTGTAGCCTATCTGGAAAAAGGAAATATCTTCCCATGAATGCGAGATAGAAGTAATCTCAGAAACATGTTTATGCTGTATCTACTCAACTAACTGTGCTGAACATTTCTGTTGATAGAGCAGTTTTGAGACACTCTTCTTTTGGAATCTGCAAGTGGATATTTGGATAGATTTGAGGATTTCGTTGGAAACGGGATTATATATAAAAAGTAGACAGCAGCATTCTCAGAAACTTCTTTGTGATGTTTGCATCCAGCTCTCAGAGTTGAACATTCCCTTTCATAGAGTAGGTTTGAAACCCTCTTTTTATAGTGTCTGGAAGCGGGCATTTGGAGCGCTTTCAGGCCTATGCTGAAAAAGGAAATATCTACCTATAGAAACTAGACAGAAGCATTCTGAGAATCACGTTTGTGATGTGGGTACTCAACTAACAGTGTTGATCCATTCTTTTGATACAGCAGTTTTGAACCACACTTTTTGTAGAATCTGCAAGTGGATATTTGGATAGCTGTGAGGATTTCGTTGGAAACGGGAATGTCTTCATAGAAAATTTAGACAGAAGCATTCTCAGAACCTTGATTGTGATGTGTGTTCTCCACTAACAGAGTTGAACCTTTCTTTTGACAGAACTGTTCTGAAACATTCTTTTTATAGAATCTGGAAGTGGATATTTGGAAAGCTTTGAGGATTTCGTTGGAAACGGGAATATCTTCAAATAAAATCTAGCCAGAAGCATTCTAAGAAACATCTTAGGGATGTTTACATTCAAGTCACAGAGTTGAACATTCCCTTTCACAGAGCAGGTTTGAAACAATCTTCTCGTACTATCTGGCAGTGGACATTTTGAGCTCCTTGGGGCCTATGCTGAAAAAGGAAATATCTTCCGACAAAAACTAGACAGAAGCATTCGCAGAATCACGTTTGTGATGTGTGCACTCAACTGTCAGAATTGAACCTTGGTTTGGACAGAGCACTTTTGAAACACTCTTTTTGTAGAATCTGCAGGTGGATATTTGGCTACTTTGAGGATTTCGTTGGAAACGGTAATGTCTTCAAAGAAAATCTAGACAGAAGCATTCTCAGAAACACCTTCGTGATGTTTGCAATCAAGTCACAGAGTTGAACCTTCCGTTTCATAGAGCAGGTTGGAAACACTCTTATTGTAGTATCTGGAAGTGGACATTTGGAGCGCTTTCAGGCCTATGGTGAAAAAGGAAATATCTTCCCATAAAAACGACATAGAAGGTATCTCAGGAACTTGTTTATGATGCATCTAATCAACTAACAGTGTTGAACCTTTGTACTGACAGAGCACTTTGAAACACTCTTTTTTTGGAATCTGCAAGTGGATATTTGGATCGCTTTGAGGATTTCGTTGGAAACGGGATGCAATATAAAACGTACACAGCAGCATACTCAGAAAATACTTTGCCATATTTCCATTCAAGTCACAGAGTGGAACATTCCCATTCATAGAGCAGGTTGGAAACACTCTTTTTGGAGTATCTGGAAGTGGACATTTGGAGCGCTTTCTGAACTATGGTGAAAAAGGAAATATCTTCCAATGAAAACAAGACAGAAGCATTCTGAGAAACTTATTTGTGATGTGTGACCTCAACAAACGGACTTGAACCTTTCGTTTCATGCAGTACTTCTGGAACACTCTTTTTGAAGATTCTGCATGCGGATATTTGGATAGCTTTGAGGATTTCGTTGGAAACGGGCTTACATGTAAAAATTAGACAGCAGCATTCTCAGAAACTTCTTTGTGGTGTCTGCATTCAAGTCACAGAATTGAACTTCCCCTCACATAGAGCAGTTGTGCAGCACTCTATTTGTAGTATCTGGAAGTGGACATTTGGAGGGCTTTGTAGCCTATCTGGAAAAAGGAAATATCTTCCCATGAATGCGAGATAGAAGTAATCTCAGAAACATGTTTATGCTGTATCTACTCAACTAACTGTGCTGAACATTTCTATTGATAGAGCAGTTTTGAGACCCTCTTCTTTTGGAATCTGCAAGTGGATATTTGGATAGATTTGAGGATTTCGTTGGAAACGGGATTATATATAAAAAGTAGACAGCAGCATTCTCAGAAACTTCTTTGTGATGTTTGCATCCAGCTCTCAGAGTTGAACATTCCCTTTCATAGAGTAGGTTTGAAACCCTCTTTTTATAGTGTCTGGAAGCGGGCATTTGGAGCGCTTTCAGGCCTATGCTGAAAAAGGAGATATCTACCTATAGAAACTAGACAGAAGCATTCTGAGAATCACGTTTGTGATGTGGGTACTCAACTAACAGTGTTGATCCATTCTTTTGATACAGCAGTTTTGAACCACACTTTTTGTAGAATCTGCAAGTGGATATTTGGATAGCTGTGAGGATTTCGTTGGAAACGGGAATGTCTTCATAGAAAATTTAGACAGAAGCATTCTCAGAACCTTGATTGTGATGTGTGTTCTCCACTAACAGAGTTGAACCTTTCTTTTGACAGAACTGTTCTGAAACATTCTTTTTATAGAATCTGGAAGTGGATATTTGGAAAGCTTTGAGGATTTCGTTGGAAACGGGAATATCTTCAAATAAAATCTAGCCAGAAGCATTCTAAGAAACATCTTAGGGATGTTTACATTCAAGTCACAGAGTTGAACATTCCCTTTCACAGAGCAGGTTTGAAACAATCTTCTCGTACTATCTGGCAGTGGACATTTTGAGCTCCTTGGGGCCTATGCTGAAAAAGGAAATATCTTCCGACAAAAACTAGACAGAAGCATTCGCAGAATCACGTTTGTGATGTGTGCACTCAACTGTCAGAATTGAACCTTGGTTTGGACAGAGCACTTTTGAAACACTCTTTTTGTAGAATCTGCAGGTGGATATTTGGCTAGCTTTGAGGATTTCGTTGGAAACGGTAATGTCTTCAAAGAAAATCTAGACAGAAGCATTCTCAGAAACACCTTCGTGATGTTTGCAATCAAGTCACAGAGTTGAACCTTCCGTTTCATAGAGCAGGTTGGAAACACTCTTTTTGTAGTATCTGGAAGTGGACATTTGGAGGGCTTTGTAGCCTATCTGGAAAAAGGAAATATCTTCCCATGAATGCGAGATAGAAGTAATCTCAGAAACATGTTTATGCTGTATCTACTCAACTAACTGTGCTGAACATTTCTATTGATAGAGCAGTTTTGAGACACTCTTCTTTTGGAATCTGCAAGTGGATATTTGGATAGATTTGAGGATTTCGTTGGAAACGGGATTATATATAAAAAGTAGACAGCAGCATTCTCAGAAACTTCTTTGTGATGTTTGCATCCAGCTCTCAGAGTTGAACATTCCCTTTCATAGAGTAGGTTTGAAACCCTCTTTTTATAGTGTCTGGAAGCGGGCATTTGGAGCGCTTTCAGGCCTATGCTGAAAAAGGAAATATCTACCTATAGAAACTAGACAGAAGCATTCTGAGAATCACGTTTGTGATGTGGGTACTCAACTAACAGTGTTGATCCATTCTTTTGATACAGCAGTTTTGAACCACACTTTTTGTAGAATCTGCAAGTGGATATTTGGATAGCTGTGAGGATTTCGTTGGAAACGGGAATGTCTTCATAGAAAATTTAGACAGAAGCATTCTCAGAACCTTGATTGTGATGTGTGTTCTCCACTAACAGAGTTGAACCTTTCTTTTGACAGAACTGTTCTGAAACATTCTTTTTATAGAATCTGGAAGTGGATATTTGGAAAGCTTTGAGGATTTCGTTGGAAACGGGAATATCTTCAAATCAAATCTAGCCAGAAGCATTCTAAGAAACATCTTAGGGATGTTTACATTCAAGTCACAGAGTTGAACATTCCCTTTCACAGAGCAGGTTTGAAACAATCTTCTCGTACTATCTGGCAGTGGACATTTTGAGCTCCTTGGGGCCTATGCTGAAAAAGGAAATATCTTCCGACAAAAACTAGACAGAAGCATTCGCAGAATCACGTTTGTGATGTGTGCACTCAACTGTCAGAATTGAACCTTGGTTTGGACAGAGCACTTTTGAAACACTCTTTTTGTAGAATCTGCAGGTGGATATTTGGCTAGCTTTGAGGATTTCGTTGGAAACGGTAATGTCTTCAAAGAAAATCTAGACAGAAGCATTCTCAGAAACACCTTCGTGATGTTTGCAATCAAGTCACAGAGTTGAACCTTCCGTTTCATAGAGCAGGTTGGAAACACTCTTTTTGTAGTATCTGGAAGTGGACATTTGGAGGGCTTTGTAGCCTATCTGGAAAAAGGAAATATCTTCCCATGAATGCGAGATAGAAGTAATCTCAGAAACATGTTTATGCTGTATCTACTCAACTAACTGTGCTGAACATTTCTATTGATAGAGCAGTTTTGAGACACTCTTCTTTTGGAATCTGCAAGTGGATATTTGGATAGATTTGAGGATTTCGTTGGAAACGGGATTATATATAAAAAGTAGACAGCAGCATTCTCAGAAACTTCTTTGTGATGTTTGCATCCAGCTCTCAGAGTTGAACATTCCCTTTCATAGAGTAGGTTTGAAACCCTCTTTTTATAGTGTCTGGAAGCGGGCATTTGGAGCGCTTTCAGGCCTATGCTTAAAATAGGAAATATCTACCTACAGAAACTAGACAGAAGCATTCTGAGAATCACGTTTGTGATGTGGGTACTCAACTAACAGTGTTGATCCATTCTTTTGATACAGCAGTTTTGAACCACACTTTTTGTAGAATCTGCAAGAGGATATTTGGATAGCTGTGAGGATTTCGTTGGAAACGGGAATGTCTTCAAAGAAAATCTAGACAGAAGCATTCTCAGAAACACCTTCGTGATGTTTGCAATCAAGTCACAGAGTTGAACCTTCCGTTTCATAGAGCAGGTTGGAAACACTCTTATTGTAGTATCTGGAAGTGGACATTTGGAGCGCTTTCAGGCCTATGGTGAAAAAGGAAATATCTTCCCATAAAAACGACATAGAAGCTATCTCAGGAACTTGTTTATGATGCATCTAATCAACTAACAGTGTTGAACCTTTGTACTGACAGAGCACTTTGAAACACTCTTTTTTTGGAATCTGCAAGTGGATATTTGGATCGCTTTGAGGATTTCGTTGGAAACGGGATGCAATATAAAACGTACACAGCAGCATACTCAGAAAATACTTTGCCATATTTCCATTCAAGTCACAGAGTGGAACATTCCCATTCATAGAGCAGGTTGGAAACACTCTTTTTGGAGTATCTGGAAGTGGACATTTGGAGCGCTTTCTGAACTATGGTGAAAAAGGAAATATCTTCCAATGAAAACAAGACAGAAGCATTCTGAGAAACTTATTTGTGATGTGTGTCCTCAACAAACGGACTTGAACCTTTCGTTTCATGCAGTACTTCTGGAACACTCTTTTTGAAGATTCTGCATGCGGATATTTGGATAGCTTTGAGGATTTCGTTGGAAACGGGCTTACATGTAAAAATTAGACAGCAGCATTCTCAGAAACTTCTTTGTGGTGTCTGCATTCAAGTCACAGAATTGAACATCCCCTCACATAGAGCAGTTGTGCAGCACTCTATTTGTAGTATCTGGAAGTGGACATTTGGAGGGCTTTGTAGCCTATCTGGAAAAAGGAAATATCTTCCCATGAATGCGAGATAGAAGTAATCTCAGAAACATGTTTATGCTGTATCTACTCAACTAACTGTGCTGAACATTTCTATTGATAGAGCAGTTTTGAGACACTCTTCTTTTGGAATCTGCAAGTGGATATTTGGATAGATTTGAGGATTTCGTTGGAAACGGGATTATATATAAAAAGTAGACAGCAGCATTCTCAGAAACTTCTTTGTGATGTTTGCATCCAGCTCTCAGAGTTGAACATTCCCTTTCATAGAGTAGGTTTGAAACCCTCTTTTTATAGTGTCTGGAAGCGGGCATTTGGAGCGCTTTCAGGCCTATGCTGAAAAAGGAAATATCTACCTATAGAAACTAGACAGAAGCATTCTGAGAATCACGTTTGTGATGTGGGTACTCAACTAACAGTGTTGATCCATTCTTTTGATACAGCAGTTTTGAACCACACTTTTTGTAGAATCTGCAAGTGGATATTTGGATAGCTGTGAGGATTTCGTTGGAAACGGGAATGTCTTCATAGAAAATTTAGACAGAAGCATTCTCAGAACCTTGATTGTGATGTGTGTTCTCCACTAACAGAGTTGAACCTTTCTTTTGACAGAACTGTTCTGAAACATTCTTTTTATAGAATCTGGAAGTGGATATTTGGAAAGCTTTGAGGATTTCGTTGGAAACGGGAATATCTTCAAATAAAATCTAGCCAGAAGCATTCTAAGAAACATCTTAGGGATGTTTACATTCAAGTCACAGAGTTGAACATTCCCTTTCACAGAGCAGGTTTGAAACAATCTTCTCGTACTATCTGGCAGTGGACATTTTGAGCTCCTTGGGGCCTATGCTGAAAAAGGAAATATCTTCCGACAAAAACTAGACAGAAGCATTCGCAGAATCACGTTTGTGATGTGTGCACTCAACTGTCAGAATTGAACCTTGGTTTGGACAGAGCACTTTTGAAACACTCTTTTTGTAGAATCTGCAGGTGGATATTTGGCTAGCTTTGAGGATTTCGTTGGAAACGGTAATGTCTTCAAAGAAAATCTAGACAGAAGCATTCTCAGAAACACCTTCGTGATGTTTGCAATCAAGTCACAGAGTTGAACCTTCCGTTTCATAGAGCAGGTTGGAAACACTCTTTTTGTAGTATCTGGAAGTGGACATTTGGAGGGCTTTGTAGCCTATGTGGAAAAAGGAAATATCTTCCCATGAATGCGAGATAGAAGTAATCTCAGAAACATGTTTATGCTGTATCTACTCAACTAACTGTGCTGAACATTTCTATTGATAGAGCAGTTTTGAGACACTCTTCTTTTGGAATCCGCAAGTGGATATTTGGATAGATTTGAGGATTTCGTTGGAAACGGGATTATATATCAAAAGTAGACAGCAGCATTCTCAGAAACTTCTTTGTGATGTTTGCATCCAGCTCTCAGAGTTGAACATTCCCTTTCATAGAGTAGGTTTGAAACCCTCTTTTTATAGTGTCTGGAAGCGGGCATTTGGAGCGCTTTCAGGCCTATGCTTAAAATAGGAAATATCTACCTACAGAAACTAGACAGAAGCATTCTGAGAATCACGTTTGTGATGTGGGTACTCAACTAACAGTGTTGATCCATTCTTTTGATACAGCAGTTTTGAACCACACTTTTTGTAGAATCTGCAAGAGGATATTTGGATAGCTGTGAGGATTTCGTTGGAAACGGGAATGTCTTCAAAGAAAATCTAGACAGAAGCATTCTCAGAAACACCTTCGTGATGTTTGCAATCAAGTCACAGAGTTGAACCTTCCGTTTCATAGAGCAGGTTGGAAACACTCTTATTGTAGTATCTGGAAGTGGACATTTGGAGCGCTTTCAGGCCTATGGTGAAAAAGGAAATATCTTCCCATAAAAACGACATAGAAGCTATCTCAGGAACTTGTTTATGATGCATCTAATCAACTAACAGTGTTGAACCTTTGTACTGACAGAGCAGTTTGAAACACTCTTTTTTTGGAATCTGCAAGTGGATATTTGGATCGCTTTGAGGATTTCGTTGGAAACGGGATGCAATATAAAACGTACACAGCAGCATACTCAGAAAATACTTTGCCATATTTCCATTCAAGTCACAGAGTGGAACATTCCCATTCATAGAGCAGGTTTGAAACACTCTTTTTGGAGTATCTGGAAGTGGACATTTGGAGCGCTTTCTGAACTATGGTGAAAAAGGAAATATCTTCCAATGAAAACAAGACAGAAGCATTCTGAGAAACTTATTTGTGATATGTGTCCTCAACAAACGGACTTGAACCTTTCGTTTCATGCAGTACTTCTGGAACACTCTTTTTGAAGATTCTGCATGCGGATATTTGGATAGCTTTGAGGATTTCGTTGGAAACGGGCTTACATGTAAAAATTAGACAGCAGCATTCTCAGAAACTTCTTTGTGGTGTCTGCATTCAAGTCACAGAATTGAACTTCCCCTCACATAGAGCAGTTGTGCAGCACTCTATTTGTAGTATCTCGAAGTGGACATTTGGAGGGCTTTGTAGCCTATCCTGGAAAAAGGAAATATCTTCCCATGAATGCGAGATAGAAGTAATCTCAGAAACATGTTTATGCTGTATCTACTCAACTAACTGTGCTGAACATTTCTATTGATAGAGCAGTTTTGAGACACTCTTCTTTTGGAATCTGCAAGTGGATATTTGGATAGATTTGAGGATTTCGTTGGAAACGGGATTATATATCAAAAGTAGACAGCAGCATTCTCAGAAACTTCTTTGTGATGTTTGCATCCAGCTCTCAGAGTTGAGCATTCCCTTTCATAGAGTAGGTTTGAAACCCTCTTTTTATAGTGTCTGGAAGCGGGCATTTGGAGCGCTTTCAGGCCTATGCTTAAAATAGGAAATATCTACCTACAGAAACTAGACAGAAGCATTCTGAGAATCACGTTTGTGATGTGGGTACTCAACTAACAGTGTTGATCCATTCTTTTGATACAGCAGTTTTGAACCACACTTTTTGTAGAATCTGCAAGAGGATATTTGGATAGCTGTGAGGATTTCGTTGGAAACGGGAATGTCTTCAAAGAAAATCTAGACAGAAGCATTCTCAGAAACACCTTCGTGATGTTTGCAATCAAGTCACAGAGTTGAACCTTCCGTTTCATAGAGCAGGTTGGAAACACTCTTTTTGTAGTTTGTGGAAGTGGACATTTGGAGCGCTTTCAGGCCTATGGTGAAAAAGGAAATATCTTCCCATAAAAACGACATAGAAGCTATCTCAGGAACTTGTTTATGATGCATCTAATCAACTAACAGTGTTGAACCTTTGTACTGACAGAGCAGTTTGAAACACTCTTTTTTTGGAATCTGCAAGTGGATATTTGGATCGCTTTGAGGATTTCGTTGGAAACGGGATGCAATATAAAACGTACACAGCAGCATACTCAGAAAATACTTTGCCATATTTCCATTCAAGTCACAGAGTGGAACATTCCCATTCATAGAGCAGGTTTGAAACACTCTTTTTGGAGTATCTGGAAGTGGACATTTGGAGCGCTTTCTGAACTATGGTGAAAAAGGAAATATCTTCCAATGAAAACAAGACAGAAGCATTCTGAGAAACTTATTTGTGATGTGTGTCCTCAACAAACGGACTTGAACCTTTCGTTTCATGCAGTACTTCTGGAACACTCTTTTTGAAGATTCTGCATGCGGATATTTGGATAGCTTTGAGGATTTCGTTGGAAACGGGCTTACATGTAAAAATTAGACAGCAGCATTCTCAGAAACTTCTTTGTGGTGTCTGCATTCAAGTCACAGAATTGAACTTCCCCTCACATAGAGCAGTTGTGCAGCACTCTATTTGTAGTATCTGGAAGTGGACATTTGGAGGGCTTTGTAGCCTATCTGGAAAAAGGAAATATCTTCCCATGAATGCGAGATAGAAGTAATCTCAGAAACATGTTTATGCTGTATCTACTCAACTAACTGTGCTGAACATTTCTATTGATAGAGCAGTTTTGAGACACTCTTCTTTTGGAATCTGCAAGTGGATATTTGGATAGATTTGAGGATTTCGTTGGAAACGGGATTATATATAAAAAGTAGACAGCAGCATTCTCAGAAACTTCTTTGTGATGTTTGCATCCAGCTCTCAGAGTTGAACATTCCCTTTCATAGAGTAGGTTTGAAACCCTCTTTTTATAGTGTCTGCAAGCGGGCATTTGGAGCGCTTTCAGGCCTATGCTTAAAATAGGAAATATCTACCTACAGAAACTAGACAGAAGCATTCTGAGAATCACGTTTGTGATGTGGGTACTCAACTAACAGTGTTGATCCATTCTTTTGATACAGCAGTTTTGAACCACACTTTTTGTAGAATCTGCAAGAGGATATTTGGATAGCTGTGAGGATTTCGTTGGAAACGGGAATGTCTTCAAAGAAAATCTAGACAGAAGCATTCTCAGAAACACCTTCGTGATGTTTGCAATCAAGTCACAGAGTTGAACCTTCCGTTTCATAGAGCAGGTTGGAAACACTCTTATTGTAGTATCTGGAAGTGGACATTTGGAGCGCTTTCAGGCCTATGGTGAAAAAGGAAATATCTTCCCATAAAAACGACATAGAAGCTATCTCAGGAACTTGTTTATGATGCATCTAATCAACTAACAGTGTTGAACCTTTGTACTGACAGAGCAGTTTGAAACACTCCTTTTTTGGAATCTGCAAGTGGATATTTGGATCGCTTTGAGGATTTCGTTGGAAACGGGATGCAATATAAAACGTACACAGCAGCATACTCAGAAAATACTTTGCCATATTTCCATTCAAGTCACAGAGTGGAACATTCCCATTCATAGAGCAGGTTTGAAACACTCTTTTTGGAGTATCTGGAAGTGGACATTTGGAGCGCTTTCTGAACTATGGTGAAAAAGGAAATATCTTCCAATGAAAACAAGACAGAAGCATTCTGAGAAACTTATTTGTGATGTGTGTCCTCAACAAACGGACTTGAACCTTTCGTTTCATGCAGTACTTCTGGAACACTCTTTTTGAAGATTCTGCATGCGGATATTTGGATAGCTTTGAGGATTTCGTTGGAAACGGGCTTACATGTAAAAATTAGACAGCAGCATTCTCAGAAACTTTTTTGTGGTGTCTGCATTCAAGTCACAGAATTGAACTTCCCCTCACATAGAGCAGTTGTGCAGCAATCTATTTGTAGTATCTGGAAGTGGACATTTGGAGGGCTTTGTAGCCTATCTGGAAAAGGAAATATCTTCCCATGAATGCGAGATAGAAGTAATCTCAGAAACATGTTCATGCTGTATCTACTCAACTAACTGTGCTGAACATTTCTATTGATAGAGCAGTTTTGAGACACTCTTCTTTTGGAATCTGCAAGTGGATATTTGGATAGATTTGAGGATTTCGTTGGAAACGGGATTATATATAAAAAGTAGACAGCAGCATTCTCAGAAACTTCTTTGTGATGTTTGCATCCAGCTCTCAGAGTTGAACATTCCCTTTCATAGAGTAGGTTTGAAACCCTCTTTTTATAGTGTCTGGAAGCGGGCATTTGGAGCGCTTTCAGGCCTATGCTTAAAATAGGAAATATCTACCTACAGAAACTAGACAGAAGCATTCTGAGAATCACGTTTGTGATGTGGGTACTCAACTAACAGTGTTGATCCATTCTTTTGATACAGCAGTTTTGAACCACACTTTTTGTAGAATCTGCAAGTGGATATTTGGATAGCTGTGAGGATTTCGTTGGAAACGGGAATGTCTTCATAGAAAATTTAGACAGAAGCATTCTCAGAACCTTGATTGTGATGTGTGTTCTCCACTAACAGAGTTGAACCTTTCTTTTGACAGAACTGTTCTGAAACATTCTTTTTATAGAATCTGGAAGTGGATATTTGGAAAGCTTTGAGGATTTCGTTGGAAACGGGAATATCTTCAAATCAAATCTAGCCAGAAGCATTCTAAGAAACATCTTAGGGATGTTTACATTCAAGTCACAGAGTTGAACATTCCCTTTCACAGAGCAGGTTTGAAACAATCTTCTCGTACTATCTGGCAGTGGACATTTTGAGCTCCTTGGGGCCTATGCTGAAAAAGGAAATATCTTCCGACAAAAACTAGACAGAAGCATTCGCAGAATCACGTTTGTGATGTGTGCACTCAACTGTCAGAATTGAACCTTGGTTTGGACAGAGCACTTTTGAAACACTCTTTTTGTAGAATCTGCAGGTGGATATTTGGCTAGCTTTGAGGATTTCGTTGGAAACGGTAATGTCTTCAAAGAAAATCTAGACAGAAGCATTCTCAGAAACACCTTCGTGATGTTTGCAATCAAGTCACAGAGTTGAACCTTCCGTTTCATAGAGCAGGTTGGAAACACTCTTTTTGTAGTATCTGGAAGTGGACATTTGGAGGGCTTTGTAGCCTATCTGGAAAAAGGAAATATCTTCCCATGAATGCGAGATAGAAGTAATCTCAGAAACATGTTTATGCTGTATCTACTCAACTAACTGTGCTGAACATTTCTATTGATAGAGCAGTTTTGAGACACTCTTCTTTTGGAATCTGCAAGTGGATATTTGGATAGATTTGAGGATTTCGTTGGAAACGGGATTATATATCAAAAGTAGACAGCAGCATTCTCAGAAACTTCTTTGTGATGTTTGCATCCAGCTCTCAGAGTTGAACATTCCCTTTCATAGAGTAGGTTTGAAACCCTCTTTTTATAGTGTCTGGAAGCGGGCATTTGGAGCGCTTTCAGGCCTATGCTGAAAAAGGAAATATCTACCTATAGAAACTAGACAGAAGCATTCTGAGAATCACGTTTGTGATGTGGGTACTCAACTAACAGTGTTGATCCATTCTTTTGATACAGCAGTTTTGAACCACCCTTTTTGTAGAATCTGCAAGTGGATATTTGGATAGCTGTGAGGATTTCGTTGGAAACGGGAATGTCTTCATAGAAAAATTTAGACAGAAGCATTCTCAGAACCTTGATTGTGATGTGTGTTCTCCACTAACAGAGTTGAACCTTTCTTTTGACAGAACTGTTCTGAAACATTCTTTTTATAGAATCTGGAAGTGGATATTTGGAAAGCTTTGAGGATTTCGTTGGAAACGGGAATATCTTCAAATAAAATCTAGCCAGAAGCATTCTAAGAAACATCTTAGGGATGTTTACATTCAAGTCACAGAGTTGAACATTCCCTTTCACAGAGCAGGTTTGAAACAATCTTCTCGTAGTATCTGGAAGTGGACATTTTGAGCTCCTTGGGGCCTATGCTGAAAAAGGAAATATCTTCCGACAAAAACTAGACAGAAGCATTCGCAGAATCACGTTTGTGATGTGTGCACTCAACTGTCAGAATTGAACCTTTGTTTGGACAGAGCACTTTTGAAACACTCTTTTTGTAGAATCTGCAGGTGGATATTTGGCTAGCTTTGAGGATTTCGTTGGAAACGGTAATGTCTTCAAAGAAAATCTAGACAGAAGCATTCTCAGAAACACCTTCGTGATGTTTGCAATCAAGTCACAGAGTTGAACCTTCCGTTTCATAGAGCAGGTAGGAAACACTCATTTTGTAGTATCTGGAAGTGGACATTTGGAGCGCTTTCAGGCCTATGGTGTAAAAGGAAATATCTTCCCATAAAAGCGACATAGAAGCTATCTCAGGAACTTGTTTATGATGCATCTAATCAACTAACAGTGTTGAACCTTTGTACTGACAGAGCAGTTTGAAACACTCTTTTTTTGGAATCTGCAAGTGGATATTTGGATCGCTTTGAGGATTTCGTTGGAAACGGGATGCAATATAAAACGTACTCAGCAGCATACTCAGAAAATACTTTGCCATATTTCCATTCAAGTCACAGAGTGGAACATTCCCTTTCATAGAGCAGGTTTGAAACACTCTTTTTGGAGTATCTGGAAGTGGACATTTGGAGCGCTTTCTGAACTATGGTGAAAAAGGAAATATGTTCCAATGAAAACAAGACAGAAGCATTCTGAGAAACTTATTTGTGATGTGTGTCCTCAACAAACGGACTTGAACCTTTCGTTTCATGCAGTACTTCTGGAACACTCTTTTTGAAGATTCTGCATGCGGATATTTGGATAGCTTTGAGGATTTCGTTGGAAACGGGCTTACATGTAAAAATTAGACAGCAGCATTCTCAGAAACTTCTTTGTGGTGTCTGCATTCAAGTCACAGAATTGAACTTCCCCTCACATAGAGCAGTTGTGCAGCACTCTATTTGTAGTATCTGGAAGTGGACATTTGGAGGGCTTTGTAGCCTATCTGGAAAAAGGAAATATCTTCCCATGAATGCGAGATAGAAGTAATCTCAGAAACATGTTTATGCTGTATCTACTCAACTAACTGTGCTGAACATTTCTATTGATAGAGCAGTTTTGAGACACTCTTCTTTTGGAATCTGCAAGTGGATATTTGGATAGATTTGAGGATTTCGTTGGAAACGGGATTATATATAAAAAGTAGACAGCAGCATTCTCAGAAACTTCTTTGTGATGTTTGCATCCAGCTCTCAGAGTTGAACATTCCCTTTCATAGAGTAGGTTTGAAACCCTCTTTTTATAGTGTCTGGAAGCGGGCATTTGGAGCGCTTTCAGGCCTATGCTTAAAATAGGAAATATCTACCTACAGAAACTAGACAGAAGCCTTCTGAGAATCACGTTTGTGATGTGGGTACTCAACTAACAGTGTTGATCCATTCTTTTGATACAGCAGTTTTGAACCACACTTTTTGTAGAATCTGCAAGAGGATATTTGGATAGCTGTGAGGATTTCGTTGGAAACGGGAATGTCTTCAAAGAAAATCTAGACAGAAGCATTCTCAGAAACACCTTCGTGATGTTTGCAATCAAGTCACAGAGTTGAACCTTCCGTTTCATAGAGCAGGTTGGAAACACTCTTTTTGTAGTATCTGGAAGTGGACATTTGGAGCGCTTTCAGGCCTATGGTGAAAAAGGAAATATCTTCCCATAAAAACGACATAGAAGTTATCTCAGGAACTTGTTTATGATGCATCTAATCAACTAACAGTGTTGAACCTTTGTACTGACAGAGCACTTTGAAACACTCTTTTTTTGGAATCTGCAAGTGGATATTTGGATCGCTTTGAGGATTTCGTTGGAAACGGGATGCAATATAAAACGTACACAGCAGCATACTCAGAAAATACTTTGCCATATTTCCATTCAAGTCACAGAGTGGAACATTCCCATTCATAGAGCAGGTTTGAAACACTCTTTTTGGAGTATCTGGAAGTGGACATTTGGAGCGCTTTCTGAACTATGGTGAAAAAGGAAATATCTTCCAATGAAAACAAGACAGAAGCATTCTGAGAAACTTATTTGTGATGTGTGTCCTCAACAAACGGACTTGAACCTTTCGTTTCATGCAGTACTTCTGGAACACTCTTTTAGAAGATTCTGCATGCGGATATTTGGATAGCTTTGAGGATTTCGTTGGAAACGGGCTTACATGTAAAAATTAGACAGCAGCATTCTCAGAAACTTCTTTGTGGTGTCTGCATTCAAGTCACAGAATTGAACTTCCCCTCACATAGAGCAGTTGTGCAGCACTCTATTTGTAGTATCTCGAAGTGGACATTTGGAGGGCTTTGTAGCCTATCTGGAAAAAGGAAATATCTTCCCATGAATGCGAGATAGAAGTAATCTCAGAAACATGTTTATGCTGTATCTACTCAACTAACTGTGCTGAACATTTCTATTGATAGAGCAGTTTTGAGACACTCTTCTTTTGGAATCTGCAAGTGGATATTTGGATAGATTTGAGGATTTCGTTGGAAACGGGATTATATATCAAAAGTAGACAGCAGCATTCTCAGAAACTTCTTTGTGATGTTTGCATCCAGCTCTCAGAGTTGAACATTCCCTTTCATAGAGTAGGTTTGAAACCCTCTTTTTATAGTGTCTGGAAGCGGGCATTTGGAGCGCTTTCAGGCCTATGCTGAAAAAGGAAATATCTACCTACAGAAACTAGACAGAAGCATTCTGAGAATCACGTTTGTGATGTGGGTACTCAACTAACAGTGTTGATCCATTCTTTTGATACAGCAGTTTTGAACCACACTTTTTGTAGAATCTGCAAGTGGATATTTGGATAGCTGTGAGGATTTCGTTGGAAACGGGAATGTCTTCATAGAAAATTTAGACAGAAGCATTCTCAGAACCTTGATTGTGATGTGTGTTCTCCACTAACAGAGTTGAACCTTTCTTTTGACAGAACTGTTCTGAAACATTCTTTTTATAGAATCTGGAAGTGGATATTTGGAAAGCTTTGAGGATTTCGTTGGAAACGGGAATATCTTCAAATAAAATCTAGCCAGAAGCATTCTAAGAAACATCTTAGGGATGTTTACATTCAAGTCACAGAGTTGAACATTCCCTTTCACAGAGCAGGTTTGAAACAATCTTCTCGTACTATCTGGCAGTGGACATTTTGAGCTCCTTGGGGCCTATGCTGAAAAAGGAAATATCTTCCGACAAAAACTAGACAGAAGCATTCGCAGGAATCACGTTTGTGATGTGTGCACTCAATTGTCAGCAATTGAACCTTGGTTTGGACAGAGCACTTTTGAAACACTCTTTTTGTAGAATCTGCAGGTGGATATTTGGCTAGCTTTGAGGATTTCGTTGGAAACGGTAATGTCTTCAAAGAAAATCTACACAGAAGCATTCTCAGAAACACCTTCGTGATGTTTGCAATCAAGTCACAGAGTTGAACCTTCCGTTTCATAGAGCAGGTTGGAAACACTCTTTTTGTAGTATCTGGAAGTGGACATTTGGAGGGCTTTGTAGCCTATCTGGAAAAAGGAAATATCTTCCCATGAATGCGAGATAGAAGTAATCTCAGAAACATGTTTATGCTGTATCTACTCAACTAACTGTGCTGAACATTTCTATTGATAGAGCAGTTTTGAGACACTCTTCTTTTGGAATCTGCAAGTGGATATTTGGATAGATTTGAGGATTTCGTTGGAAACGGGATTATATATCAAAAGTAGACAGCAGCATTCTCAGAAACTTCTTTGTGATGTTTGCATCCAGCTCTCAGAGTTGAACATTCCCTTTCATAGAGTAGGTTTGAAACCCTCTTTTTATAGTGTCTGGAAGCGGGCATTTGGAGCGCTTTCAGGCCTATGCTGAAAAAGGAAATATCTACCTATAGAAACTAGACAGAAGCATTCTGAGAATCACGTTTGTGATGTGGGTACTCAACTAACAGTGTTGATCCATTCTTTTGATACAGCAGTTTTGAACCACACTTTTTGTAGAATCTGCAAGTGGATATTTGGATAGCTGTGAGGATTTCGTTGGAAACGGGAATGTCTTCATAGAAAATTTAGACAGAAGCATTCTCAGAACCTTGATTGTGATGTGTGTTCTCCACTAACAGAGTTGAACCTTTCTTTTGACAGAACTGTTCTGAAACATTCTTTTTATAGAATCTGGAAGTGGATATTTGGAAAGCTTTGAGGATTTCGTTGGAAACGGGAATATCTTCAAATCAAATCTAGCCAGAAGCATTCTAAGAAACATCTTAGGGATGTTTACATTCAAGTCACAGAGTTGAACATTCCCTTTCACAGAGCAGGTTTGAAACAATCTTCTCGTACTATCTGGCAGTGGACATTTTGAGCTCCTTGGGGCCTATGCTGAAAAAGGAAATATCTTCCGACAAAAACTAGACAGAAGCATTCGCAGAATCACGTTTGTGATGTGTGCACTCAACTGTCAGAATTGAACCTTGGTTTGGACAGAGCACTTTTGAAACACTCTTTTTGTAGAATCTGCAGGTGGATATTTGGCTAGCTTTGAGGATTTCGTTGGAAACGGTAATGTCTTCAAAGAAAATCTAGACAGAAGCATTCTCAGAAACACCTTCGTGATGTTTGCAATCAAGTCACAGAGTTGAACCTTCCGTTTCATAGAGCAGGTTGGAAACACTCTTTTTGTAGTATCTGGAAGTGGACATTTGGAGGGCTTTGTAGCCTATCTGGAAAAAGGAAATATCTTCCCATGAATGCGAGATAGAAGTAATCTCAGAAACATGTTTATGCTGTATCTACTCAACTAACTGTGCTGAACATTTCTATTGATAGAGCAGTTTTGAGACACTCTTCTTTTGGAATCTGCAAGTGGATATTTGGATAGATTTGAGGATTTCGTTGGAAACGGGATTATATATCAAAAGTAGACAGCAGCATTCTCAGAAACTTCTTTGTGATGTTTGCATCCAGCTCTCAGAGTTGAACATTCCCTTTCATAGAGTAGGTTTGAAACCCTCTTTTTATAGTGTCTGGAAGCGGGCATTTGGAGCGCTTTCAGGCCTATGCTGAAAAAGGAAATATCTACCTATAGAAACTAGACAGAAGCATTCTGAGAATCACGTTTGTGATGTGGGTACTCAACTAACAGTGTTGATCCATTCTTTTGATACAGCAGTTTTGAACCACACTTTTTGTAGAATCTGCAAGTGGATATTTGGATAGCTGTGAGGATTTCGTTGGAAACGGGAATGTCTTCATAGAAAATTTAGACAGAAGCATTCTCAGAACCTTGATTGTGATGTGTGTTCTCCACTAACAGAGTTGAACCTTTCTTTTGACAGAACTGTTGTGAAACATTCTTTTTATAGAATCTGGAAGTGGATATTTGGAAAGCTTTGAGGATTTCGTTGGAAACGGGAATATCTTCAAATAAAATCTAGCCAGAAGCATTCTAAGAAACATCTTAGGGATGTTTACATTCAAGTCACAGAGTTGAACATTCCCTTTCACAGAGCAGGTTTGAAACAATCTTCTCGTACTATCTGGCAGTGGACATTTTGAGCTCCTTGGGGCCTATGCTGAAAAAGGAAATATCTTCCGACAAAAACTAGACAGAAGCATTCGCAGAATCACGTTTGTGATGTGTGCACTCAACTGTCAGAATTGAACCTTGGTTTGGACAGAGCACTTTTGAAACACTCTTTTTGTAGAATCTGCAGGTGGATATTTGGCTAGCTTTGAGGATTTCGTTGGAAACGGTAATGTCTTCAAAGAAAATCTAGACAGAAGCATTCTCAGAAACACCTTCGTGATGTTTGCAATCAAGTCACAGAGTTGAACCTTCCGTTTCATAGAGCAGGTTGGAAACACTCTTTTTGTAGTATCTGGAAGTGGACATTTGGAGCGCTTTCAGGCCTATGGTGAAAAAGGAAATATCTTCCCATAAAAACGACATAGAAGCTATCTCAGGAACTTGTTTATGATGCATCTAATCAACTAACAGTGTTGAACCTTTGTACTGACAGAGCAGTTTGAAACACTCTTTTTTTGGAATCTGCAAGTGGATATTTGGATCACTTTGAGGATTTCGTTGGAAACGGGATGCAATATAAAACGTACACAGCAGCATACTCAGAAAATACTTTGCCATGTTTCCATTCAAGTCACAGAGTGGAACATTCCCATTCATAGAGCAGGTTGGAAACACTCTTTTTGGAGTATCTGGAAGTGGACATTTGGAGCGCTTTCTGAACTATGGTGAAAAAGGAAATATCTTCCAATGAAAACAAGACAGAAGCATTCTGAGAAACTTATTTGTGATGTGTGTCCTCAACAAACGGACTTGAACCTTTCGTTTCATGCAGTACTTCTGGAACACTCTTTTTGAAGATTCTGCATGCGGATATTTGGATAGCTTTGGGGGATTTCGTTGGAAACGGCCTTACATGTAAAAATTAGACAGCAGCATTCTCAGAAACTTCTTTGTGGTGTCTGCATTCAAGTCACAGAATTGAACTTCCCCTCACATAGAGCAGTTGTGCAGCACTCTATTTGTAGTATCTGGAAGTGGACATTTGGAGGGCTTTGTAGCCTATCTGGAAAAAGGAAATATCTTCCCATGAATGCGAGATAGAAGTAATCTCAGAAACGTGTTTATGCTGTATCTACTCAACTAACTGTGCTGAACATTTCTATTGATAGAGCAGTTTTGAGACACTCTTCTTTTGGAATCTGCAAGTGGATATTTGGATAGATTTGAGGATTTCGTTGGAAACGGGATTATATATAAAAAGTAGACAGCAGCATTCTCAGAAACTTCTTTGTGATGTTTGCATCCAGCTCTCAGAGTTGAACATTCCCTTTCATAGAGTAGGTTTGAAACCCTCTTTTTATAGTGTCTGGAAGCGGGCATTTGGAGCGCTTTCAGGCCTATGCTTAAAATAGGAAATATCTACCTACAGAAACTAGACAGAAGCATTCTGAGAATCACGTTTGTGATGTGGGTACTCAACTAACAGTGTTGATCCATTCTTTTGATACAGCAGTTTTGAACCACACTTTTTGTAGAATCTGCAAGTGGATATTTGGATAGCTGTGAGGATTTCGTTGGAAACGGGAATGTCTTCATAGAAAATTTAGACAGAAGCATTCTCAGAACCTTGATTGTGATGTGTGTTCTCCACTAACAGAGTTGAACCTTTCTTTTGACAGAACTGTTCTGAAACATTCTTTTTATAGAATCTGGAAGTGGATATTTGGAAAGCTTTGAGGATTTCGTTGGAAACGGGAATATCTTCAAATCAAATCTAGCCAGAAGCATTCTAAGAAACATCTTAGGGATGTTTACATTCAAGTCACAGAGTTGAACATTCCCTTTCACAGAGCAGGTTTGAAACAATCTTCTCGTACTATCTGGCAGTGGACATTTTGAGCTCCTTGGGGCCTATGCTGAAAAAGGAAATATCTTCCGACAAAAACTAGACAGAAGCATTCGCAGAATCACGTTTGTGATGTGTGCACTCAACTGTCAGAATTGAACCTTGGTTTGGACAGAGCACTTTTGAAACACTCTTTTTGTAGAATCTGCAGGTGGATATTTGGCTAGCTTTGAGGATTTCGTTGGAAACGGTAATGACTTCAAAGAAAATCTACACAGAAGCATTCTCAGAAACACCTTCGTGATGTTTGCAATCAAGTCACAGAGTTGAACCTTCCGTTTCATAGAGCAGGTTGGAAACACTCTTTTTGTAGTATCTGGAAGTGGACATTTGGAGGGCTTTGTAGCCTATCTGGAAAAAGGAAATATCTTCCCATGAATGCGAGATAGAAGTAATCTCAGAAACATGTTTATGCTGTATCTACTCAACTAACTGTGCTGAACATTTCTATTGATAGAGCAGTTTTGAGACACTCTTCTTTTGGAATCTGCAAGTGGATATTTGGATAGATTTGAGGATTTCGTTGGAAACGGGATTATATATAAAAAGTAGACAGCAGCATTCTCAGAAACTTCTTTGTGATGTTTGCATCCAGCTCTCAGAGTTGAACATTCCCTTTCATAGAGTAGGTTTGAAACCCTCTTTTTATAGTGTCTGGAAGCGGGCATTTGGAGCGCTTTCAGGCCTATGCTGAAAAAGGAAATATCTACCTATAGAAACTAGACAGAAGCATTCTGAGAATCACGTTTGTGATGTGGGTACTCAACTAACAGTGTTGATCCATTCTTTTGATACAGCAGTTTTGAACCACACTTTTTGTAGAATCTGCAAGTGGATATTTGGATAGCTGTGAGGATTTCCTTGGAAACGGGAATGTCTTCATAGAAAATTTAGACAGAAGCATTCTCAGAACCTTGATTGTGATGTGTGTTCTCCACTAACAGAGTTGAACCTTTCTTTTGACAGAACTGTTCTGAAACATTCTTTTTATAGAATCTGGAAGTGGATATTTGGAAAGCTTTGAGGATTTCGTTGGAAACGGGAATATCTTCAAATAAAATCTAGCCAGAAGCATTCTAAGAAACATCTTAGGGATGTTTACATTCAAGTCACAGAGTTGAACATTCCCTTTCACAGAGCAGGTTTGAAACAATCTTCTCGTACTATCTGGCAGTGGACATTTTGAGCTCCTTGGGGCCTATGCTGAAAAAGGAAATATCTTCCGACAAAAACTAGACAGAAGCATTCGCAGAATCACGTTTGTGATGTGTGCACTCAACTGTCAGAATTGAACCTTGGTTTGGACAGAGCACTTTTGAAACACTCTTTTTGTAGAATCTGCAGGTGGATATTTGGCTAGCTTTGAGGATTTCGTTGGAAACGGTAATGTCTTCAAAGAAAATCTAGACGGAAGCATTCTCAGAAACACCTTCGTGATGTTTGCAATCAAGTCACAGAGTTGAACCTTCCGTTTCATAGAGCAGGTTGGAAACACTCTTTTTGTAGTATCTGGAAGTGGACATTTGGAGGGCTTTGTAGCCTATCTGGAAAAAGGAAATATCTTCCCATGAATGCGAGATAGAAGTAATCTCAGAAAAATGTTTATGCTGTATCTACTCAACTAACTGTGCTGAACATTTCTATTGATAGAGCAGTTTTGAGACACTCTTCTTTTGGAATCTGCAAGTGGATATTTGGATAGATTTGAGGATTTCGTTGGAAACGGGATTATATATAAAAAGTAGACAGCAGCATTCTCAGAAACTTCTTTGTGATGTTTGCATCCAGCTCTCAGAGTTGAGCATTCCCTTTCATAGAGTAGGTTTGAAACCCTCTTTTTATAGTGTCTGGAAGCGGGCATTTGGAGCGCTTTCAGGCCTATGCTTAAAATAGGAAATATCTACCTACAGAAACTAGACAGAAGCATTCTGAGAATCACGTTTGTGATGTGGGTACTCAACTAACAGTGTTGATCCATTCTTTTGATACAGCAGTTTTGAACCACACTTTTTGTAGAATCTGCAAGAGGATATTTGGATAGCTGTGAGGATTTCGTTGGAAACGGGAATGTCTTCAAAGAAAATCTAGACAGAAGCATTCTCAGAAACACCTTCGTGATGTTTGCAATCAAGTCACAGAGTTGAACCTTCCGTTTCATAGAGTAGGTTGGAAACACTCTTATTGTAGTATCTGGAAGTGGACATTTGGAGCGCTTTCAGGCCTATGGTGAAAAAGGAAATATCTTCCCATAAAAACGACATAGAAGCTATCTCAGGAACTTGTTTATGATGCATCTAATCAACTAACAGTGTTGAACCTTTGTACTGACAGAGCAGTTTGAAACACTCTTTTTTTGGAATCTGCAAGTGGATATTTGGATCGCTTTGAGGATTTCGTTGGAAACGGGATGCAATATAAAACGTACACAGCAGCATACTCAGAAAATACTTTGCCATATTTCCATTCAAGTCACAGAGTGGAACATTCCCATTCATAGAGCAGGTTTGAAACACTCTTTTTGGAGTATCTGGAAGTGGACATTTGGAGCGCTTTCTGAACTATGGTGAAAAAGGAAATATCTTCCAATGAAAACAAGACAGAAGCATTCTGAGAAACTTATTTGTGATGTGTGTCCTCAACAAACGGACTTGAACCTTTCGTTTCATGCAGTACTTCTGGAACACTCTTTTTGAAGATTCTGCATGCGGATATTTGGATAGCTTTGAGGATTTCGTTGGAAACGGGCTTACATGTAAAAATTAGACAGCAGCATTCTCAGAAACTTCTTTGTGGTGTCTGCATTCAAGTCACAGAATTGAACTTCCCCTCACATAGAGCAGTTGTGCAGCACTCTATTTGTAGTATCTGGAAGTGGACATTTGGAGGGCTTTGTAGCCTATCTGGAAAAAGGAAATATCTTCCCATGAATGCGAGATAGAAGTAATCTCAGAAACATGTTTATGCTGTATCTACTCAACTAACTGTGCTGAACATTTCTATTGATAGAGCAGTTTTGAGACACTCTTCTTTTGGAATCTGCAAGTGGATATTTGGATAGATTTGAGGATTTCGTTGGAAACGGGATTATATATAAAAAGTAGACAGCCAGCATTCTCAGAAACTTCTTTGTGATGTTTGCATCCAGCTCTCAGAGTTGAACATTCCCTTTCATAGAGTAGGTTTGAAACCCTCTTTTTATAGTGTCTGGAAGCGGGCATTTGGAGCGCTTTCAGGCCTATGCTTAAAATAGGAAATATCTACGTACAGAAACTAGACAGAGCATTCTGAGAATCACGTTTGTGATGTGGGTACTCAACTAACAGTGTTGATCCATTCTTTTGATACAGCAGTTTTGAACCACACTTTTTGTAGAATCTGCAAGAGGATATTTGGATAGCTGTGAGGATTTCGTTGGAAACGGGAATGTCTTCAAAGAAAATCTAGACAGAAGCATTCTCAGAAACACCTTCGTGATGTTTGCAATCAAGTCACAGAGTTGAACCTTCCGTTTCATAGAGCAGGTTGGAAACACTCTTATTGTAGTATCTGGAAGGGGACATTTGGAGCGCTTTCAGGCCTATGGTGAAAAAGGAAATATCTTCCCATAAAAACGACATAGAAGCTATCTCAGGAACTTGTTTATGATGCATCTAATCAACTAACAGTGTTGAACCTTTGTACTGACAGAGCAGTTTGAAACACTCTTTTTTTGGAATCTGCAAGTGGATATTTGGATCGCTTTGAGGATTTCGTTGGAAACGGGATGCAATATAAAACGTACACAGCAGCATACTCAGAAAATACTTTGCCATATTTCCATTCAAGTCACAGAGTGGAACATTCCCATTCATAGAGCAGGTTGGAAACACTCTTTTTGGAGTATCTGGAAGTGGACATTTGGAGCGCTTTCTGAACTATGGTGAAAAAGGAAATATCTTCCAATGAAAACAAGACAGAAGCATTCTGAGAAACTTATTTGTGATGTGTGTCCTCAACAAACGGACTTGAACCTTTCGTTTCATGCAGTACTTCTGGAACACTCTTTTTGAAGATTCTGCATGCGGATATTTGGATAGCTTTGAGGATTTCGTTGGAAACGGGCTTACATGTAAAAATTAGACAGCAGCATTCTCAGAAACTTCTTTGTGGTGTCTGCATTCAAGTCACAGAATTGAACTTCCCCTCACATAGAGCAGTTGTGCAGCACTCTATTTGTAGTATCTGGAAGTGGACATTTGGAGGGCTTTGTAGCCTATCTGGAAAAAGGAAATATCTTCCCATGAATGCGAGATAGAAGTAATCTCAGAAACATGTTTATGCTGTATCTACTCAACTAACTGTGCTGAACATTTCTATTGATAGAGCAGTTTTGAGACACTCTTCTTTTGGAATCTGCAAGTGGATATTTGGATAGATTTGAGGATTTCGTTGGAAACGGGATTATATATCAAAAGTAGACAGCAGCATTCTCAGAAACTTCTTTGTGATGTTTGCATCCAGCTCTCAGAGTTGAACATTCCCTTTCATAGAGTAGGTTTGAAACCCTCTTTTTATAGTGTCTGCAAGCGGGCATTTGGAGCGCTTTCAGGCCTATGCTTAAAATAGGAAATATCTAACTACAGAAACTAGACAGAAGCATTCTGAGAATCACGTTTGTGATGTGGGTACTCAACTAACAGTGTTGATCCATTCTTTTGATACAGCAGTTTTGAACCACACTTTTTGTAGAATCTGCAAGAGGATATTTGGATAGCTGTGAGGATTTCGTTGGAAACGGGAATGTCTTCAAAGAAAATCTAGACAGAAGCATTCTCAGAAACACCTTTCGTGATGTTTGCAATCAAGTCACAGAGTTGAACCTTCCGTTTCATAGAGCAGGTTGGAAACACTCTTATTGTAGTATCTGGAAGTGGACATTTGGAGCGCTTTCAGGCCTATGGTGAAAAAGGAAATATCTTCCCATAAAAACGACATAGAAGCTATCTCAGGAACTTGTTTATGATGCATCTAATCAACTAACAGTGTTGAACCTTTGTACTGACAGAGCAGTTTGAAACACTCTTTTTTTGGAATCTGCAAGTGGATATTTGGATCGCTTTGAGGATTTCGTTGGAAACGGGATGCAATAAAAAACGTACACAGCAGCATACTCAGAAAATACTTTGCCATATTTCCATTCAAGTCACAGAGTGGAACATTCCCATTCATAGAGCAGGTTTGAAACACTCTTTTTGGAGTATCTGGAAGTGGACATTTGGAGCGCTTTCTGAACTATGGTGAAAAAGGAAATATCTTCCAATGAAAACAAGACAGAAGCATTCTGAGAAACTTATTTGTGATGTGTGTCCTCAACAAACGGACTTGAACCTTTCATTTCATGCAGTACTTCTGGAACACTCTTTTTGAAGATTCTGCATGCGGATATTTGGATAGCTTTGAGGATTTCGTTGGAAACGGGCTTACATGTAAAAATTAGACAGCAGCATTCTCAGAAACTTCTTTGTGGTGTCTGCATTCAAGTCACAGAATTGAACTTCCCCTCACATAGAGCAGTTGTGCAGCACTCTATTTGTAGTATCTCGAAGTGGACATTTGGAGGGCTTTGTAGCCTATCTGGAAAAAGGAAATATCTTCCCATGAATGCGAGATAGAAGTAATCTCAGAAACATGTTTATGCTGTATCTACTCAACTAACTGTGCTGAACATTTCTATTGATAGAGCAGTTTTGAGACACTCTTCTTTTGGAATCTGCAAGTGGATATTTGGATAGATTTGAGGATTTCGTTGGAAACGGGATTATATATAAAAAGTAGACAGCAGCATTCTCAGAAACTTCTTTGTGATGTTTGCATCCAGCTCTCAGAGTTGAACATTCCCTTTCATAGAGTAGGTTTGAAACCCTCTTTTTATAGTGTCTGGAAGCGGGCATTTGGAGCGCTTTCAGGCCTATGCTGAAAAAGGAAATATCTACCTATAGAAACTAGACAGAAGCATTCTGAGAATCACGTTTGTGATGTGGGTACTCAACTAACAGTGTTGATCCATTCTTTTGATACAGCAGTTTTGAACCACACTTTTTGTAGAATCTGCAAGTGGATATTTGGATAGCTGTGAGGATTTCGTTGGAAACGGGAATGTCTTCATAGAAAATTTAGACAGAAGCATTCTCAGAACCTTGATTGTGATGTGTGTTCTCCACTAACAGAGTTGAACCTTTCTTTTGACAGAACTGTTCTGAAACATTCTTTTTATAGAATCTGGAAGTGGATATTTGGAAAGCTTTGAGGATTTCGTTGGAAACGGGAATATCTTCAAATAAAATCTAGCCAGAAGCATTCTAAGAAACATCTTAGGGATGTTTACATTCAAGTCACAGAGTTGAACATTCCCTTTCACAGAGCAGGTTTGAAACAATCTTCTCGTACTATCTGGCAGTGGACATTTTGAGCTCCTTGGGGCCTATGCTGAAAAAGGAAATATCTTCCGACAAAAACTAGACAGAAGCATTCGCAGAATCACGTTTGTGATGTGTGCACCCAACTGTCAGAATTGAACCTTGGTTTGGACAGAGCACTTTTGAAACACTCTTTTTGTAGAATCTGCAGGTGGATATTTGGCTAGCTTTGAGGATTTCGTTGGAAACGGTAATGTCTTCAAAGAAAATCTAGACAGAAAACATTCTCAGAAACACCTTCGTGATGTTTGCAATCAAGTCACAGAGTTGAACCTTCCGTTTCATAGAGCAGGTTGGAAACACTCTTATTGTAGTATCTGGAAGTGGACATTTGGAGCGCTTTCAGGCCTATGGTGAAAAAGGAAATATCTTCCCATAAAAACGACATAGAAGCTATCTCAGGAACTTGTTTATGATGCATCTAATCAACTAACAGTGTTGAACCTTTGTACTGACAGAGCAGTTTGAAACACTCTTTTTTTGGAATCTGCAAGTGGATATTTGGATCGCTTTGAGGATTTCGTTGGAAACGGGATGCAATATAAAACGTACACAGCAGCATACTCAGAAAATACTTTGCCATATTTCCATTCAAGTCACAGAGTGGAACATTCCCATTCATAGAGCAGGTTGGAAACACTCTTTTTGGAGTATCTGGAAGTGGACATTTGGAGCGCTTTCTGAACTATGGTGAAAAAGGAAATATCTTCCAATGAAAACAAGACAGAAGCATTCTGAGAAACTTATTTGTGATGTGTGTCCTCAACAAACGGACTTGAACCTTTCGTTTCATGCAGTACTTCTGGAACACTCTTTTTGAAGATTCTGCATGCGGATATTTGGATAGCTTTGAGGATTTCGTTGGAAACGGGCTTACATGTAAAAATTAGACAGCAGCATTCTCAGAAACTTCTTTGTGGTGTCTGCATTCAAGTCACAGAATTGAACTTCCCCTCACATAGAGCAGTTGTGCAGCACTCTATTTGTAGTATCTGGAAGTGGACATTTGGAGGGCTTTGTAGCCTATCTGGAAAAAGGAAATATCTTCCCATGAATGCGAGATAGAAGTAATCTCAGAAACATGTTTATGCTGTATCTACTCAACTAACTGTGCTGAACATTTCTATTGATAGAGCAGTTTTGAGACACTCTTCTTTTGGAATCTGCAAGTGGATATTTGGATAGATTTGAGGATTTCGTTGGAAACGGGATGATATATAAAAAGTAGACAGCAGCATTCTCAGAAACTTCTTTGTGATGTTTGCATCCAGCTCCCAGAGTTGAACATTCCCTTTCATAGAGTAGGTTTGAAACCCTCTTTTTATAGTGTCTGGAAGCGGGCATTTGGAGCGCTTTCAGGCCTATGCTGAAAAAGGAAATATCTACCTATAGAAACTAGACAGAAGCATTCTGAGAATCACGTTTGTGATGTGGGTACTCAACTAACAGTGTTGATCCATTCTTTTGATACAGCAGTTTTGAACCACACTTTTTGTAGAATCTGCAAGAGGATATTTGGATAGCTGTGAGGATTTCGTTGGAAACGGGAATGTCTTCAAAGAAAATCTAGACAGAAGCATTCTCAGAAACACCTTCGTGATGTTTGCAATCAAGTCACAGAGTTGAACCTTCCGTTTCATAGAGCAGGTTGGAAACACTCTTATTGTAGTATCTGGAAGTGGACATTTGGAGCGCTTTCAGGCCTATGGTGAAAAAGGAAATATCTTCCCATAAAAACGACATAGAAGCTATCTCAGGAACTTGTTTATGATGCATCTAATCAACTAACAGTGTTGAACCTTTGTACTGACAGAGCACTTTGAAACACTCTTTTTTTGGAATCTGCAAGTGGATATTTGGATCGCTTTGAGGATTTCGTTGGAAACGGGATGCAATATTAAACGTACACAGCAGCATACTCAGAAAATACTTTGCCATGTTTCCATTCAAGTCACAGAGTGGAACATTCCCATTCATAGAGCAGGTTGGAAACACTCTTTTTGGAGTATCTGGAAGTGGACATTTGGAGCGCTTTCTGAACTATGGTGAAAAAGGAAATATCTTCCAATGAAAACAAGACAGAAGCATTCTGAGAAACTTATTTGTGATGTGTGTCCTCAACAAACGGACTTGAACCTTTCGTTTCATGCAGTACTTCTGGAACACTCTTTTTGAAGATTCTGCATGCGGATATTTGGATAGCTTTGAGGATTTCGTTGGAAACGGGCTTACATGTAAAAATTAGACAGCAGCATTCTCAGAAACTTCTTTGTGGTGTCTGCATTCAAGTCACAGAATTGAACATCCCCTCACATAGAGCAGTTGTGCAGCACTCTATTTGTAGTATCTGGAAGTGGACATTTGGAGGGCTTTGTAGCCTATCTGGAAAAAGGAAATATCTTCCCATGAATGCGAGATAGAAGTAATCTCAGAAACATGTTTATGCTGTATCTACTCAACTAACTGTGCTGAACATTTCTATTGATAGAGCAGTTTTGAGACACTCTTCTTTTGGAATCTGCAAGTGGATATTTGGATAGATTTGAGGATTTCGTTGGAAACGGGATTATATATAAAAAGTAGACAGCAGCATTCTCAGAAACTTCTTTGTGATGTTTGCATCCAGCTCTCAGAGTTGAACATTCCCTTTCATAGAGTAGGTTTGAAACCCTCTTTTTATAGTGTCTGGAAGCGGGCATTTGGAGCGCTTTCAGGCCTATGCTTAAAATAGGAAATATCTACCTACAGAAACTAGACAGAAGCATTCTGAGAATCACGTTTGTGATGTGGGTACTCAACTAACAGTGTTGATCCATTCTTTTGATACAGCAGTTTTGAACCACACTTTTTGTAGAATCTGCAAGAGGATATTTGGATAGCTGTGAGGATTTCGTTGGAAACGGGAATGTCTTCAAAGAAAATCTAGACAGAAGCATTCTCAGAAACACCTTCGTGATGTTTGCAATCAAGTCACAGAGTTGAACCTTCCGTTTCATAGAGCAGGTTGGAAACACTCTTATTGTAGTATCTGGAAGTGGACATTTGGAGCGCTTTCAGGCCTATGGTGAAAAAGGAAATATCTTCCCATAAAAAGGACATAGAAGCTATCTCAGGAACTTGTTTATGATGCATCCAATCAACTAACAGTGTTGAACTTTGTACTGACAGAGCAGTGTGAAACACTCTTTTTTTTGGAATCTGCAAGTGGATATTTGGATCGCTTTGAGGATTTCGTTGGAAACGGGATGTAATATAAAACGTACACAGCAGCATACTCAGAAAATACTTTGCCATATTTCCATTCAAGTCACAGAGTGGAACATTCCCATTCATAGAGCAGGTTGGAAACACTCTTTTTGTAGTATCTGGAAGTGGACATTTGGAGCGCTTTCTGAACTATGGTGAAAAAGGAAATATCTTCCAGTGAAAACAAGACAGAAGCATTCTGAGAAACTTATTTGTGATGTGTGTCCTCAACTAACGGACTTGAACCTTTCGTTTCATGCAGTACTTCTGGAACACTCTTTTTGAAGATTCTGCATGAGGATATTTGGATAGCTTTGAGGATTTCGTTGGAAACGGGCTTACATATAAAAATTAGACAGCAGCATTCTCAGAAACTTCTTTGTGGTGTCTGCATTCAAGTCACAGAATTGAACATCCCCTCACATAGAGCAGTTGTGCAGCACTCTATTTGTAGTATCTCGAAGTGGACATTTGGAGGGCTTTGTAGCCTATCTGGAAAAAGGAAATATCTTCCCATGAATGCGAGATAGAAGTAATCTCAGAAACATGTTTATGCTGTATCTACTCAACTAACTGTGCTGAACATTTCTATTGATAGAGCAGTTTTGAGACACTCTTCTTTTGGAATCTGCAAGTGGATATTTGGCTAGATTTGAGGATTTCGTTGGAAACGGGATTATATATAAAAAGTAGACAGCAGCATTCTCAGAAACTTCTTTGTGATGTTTGCATCCAGCTCTCAGAGTTGAACATTCCGTTTCATAGAGTAGGTTTGAAACCCCCTTTTTATAGTGTCTGGAAGCGGGCATTTGCAGTGCTTTGAGGCCTAAGCTGAAAAAGGAAATATCTACCTACAGAAACTAGACAGAAGCATTCTGAGAATCACGTTTGTGATGTGGGTACTCAACTAACAGTGTTGATCCATTCTTTTGATACAGCAGTTTTGAACCACCCTTTTTGTAGAATCTGCAAGTGGATATTTGGATAGCTGTGAGGATTTCGTTGGAAACGGGAATGTCTTCATAGAAAATTTAGACAGAAGCATTCTCAGAACCTTGATTGTGATGTGTGTTCTCCACTAACAGAGTTGAACCTTTCTTTTGACAGAACTGTTCTGAAACATTCTTTTTATAGAATCTGGAAGTGGATATTTGGAAAGCTTTGAGGATTTCGTTGGAAACGGGAATATCTTCAAATCAAATCTAGCCAGAAGCATTCTAAGAAACATCTTAGGGATGTTTACATTCAAGTCACAGAGTTGAACATTCCCTTTCACAGAGCAGGTTTGAAACAATCTTCTCGTACTATCTGGCAGTGGACATTTTGAGCTCCTTGGGGCCTATGCTGAAAAAGGAAATATCTTCCGACAAAAACTAGACAGAAGCATTCGCAGAATCACGTTTGTGATGTGTGCACTCAACTGTCAGAATTGAACCTTGGTTTGGACAGAGCACTTTTGAAACACTCTTTTTGTAGAATCTGCAGGTGGATATTTGGCTAGCTTTGAGGATTTCGTTGGAAACGGTAATGTCTTCAAAGAAAATCTAGACAGAAGCATTCTCAGAAACACCTTCGTGATGTTTGCAATCAAGTCACAGAGTTGAACCTTCCGTTTCATAGAGCAGGTTGGAAACACTCTTTTTGTAGTATCTGGAAGTGGACATTTGGAGGGCTTTGTAGCCTATCTGGAAAAAGGAAATATCTTCCCATGAATGCGAGATAGAAGTAATCTCAGAAACATGTTTATGCTGTATCTACTCAACTAACTGTGCTGAACATTTCTATTGATAGAGCAGTTTTGAGACACTCTTCTTTTGGAATCTGCAAGTGGATATTTGGATAGATTTGAGGATTTCGTTGGAAACGGGATTATATATAAAAAGTAGACAGCAGCATTCTCAGAAACTTCTTTGTGATGTTTGCATCCAGCTCTCAGAGTTGAACATTCCCTTTCATAGAGTAGGTTTGAAACCCTCTTTTTATAGTGTCTGGAAGCGGGCATTTGGAGCGCTTTCAGGCCTATGCTGAAAAAGGAAATATCTACCTATAGAAACTAGACAGAAGCATTCTGAGAATCACGTTTGTGATGTGGGTACTCAACTAACAGTGTTGATCCATTCTTTTGATACAGCAGTTTTGAACCACACTTTTTGTAGAATCTGCAAGTGGATATTTGGATAGCTGTGAGGATTTCGTTGGAAACGGGAATGTCTTCATAGAAAATTTAGACAGAAGCATTCTCAGAACCTTGATTGTGATGTGTGTTCTCCACTAACAGAGTTGAACCTTTCTTTTGACAGAACTGTTCTGAAACATTCTTTTTATAGAATCTGGAAGTGGATATTTGGAAAGCTTTGAGGATTTCGTTGGAAACGGGAATATCTTCAAATAAAATCTAGCCAGAAGCATTCTAAGAAACATCTTAGGGATGTTTACATTCAAGTCACAGAGTTGAACATTCCCTTTCACAGAGCAGGTTTGAAACAATCTTCTCGTACTATCTGGCAGTGGACATTTTGAGCTCCTTGGGGCCTATGCTGAAAAAGGAAATATCTTCCGACAAAAACTAGACAGAAGCATTTGCAGAATCACGTTTGTGATGTGTGCACTCAACTGTCAGAATTGAACCTTGGTTTGGACAGAGCACTTTTGAAACACTCTTTTTGTAGAATCTGCAGGTGGATATTTGGCTAGCTTTGAGGATTTCGTTGGAAACGGTAATGTCTTCAAAGAAAATCTAGACAGAAGCATTCTCAGAAACACCTTCGTGATGTTTGCAATCAAGTCACAGAGTTGAACCTTCCGTTTCATAGAGCAGGTTGGAAACACTCTTTTTGTAGTATCTGGAAGTGGACATTTGGAGGGCTTTGTAGCCTATGTGGAAAAAGGAAATATCTTCCCATGAATGCGAGATAGAAGTAATCTCAGAAACATGTTTATGCTGTATCTACTCAACTAACTGTGCTGAACATTTCTATTGATAGAGCAGTTTTGAGACACTCTTCTTTTGGAATCTGCAAGTGGATATTTGGAGAGATTTGAGGATTTCGTTGGAAACGGGATTATATATAAAAAGTAGACAGCAGCATTCTCAGAAACTTCTTTGTGATGTTTGCATCCAGCTCTCAGAGTTGAACATTCCCTTTCATAGAGTAGGTTTGAAACCCTCTTTTTATAGTGTCTGGAAGCGGGCATTTGGAGCGCTTTCAGGCCTATGCTTAAAATAGGAAATATCTACCTACAGAAACTAGACAGAAGCATTCTGAGAATCACGTTTGTGATGTGGGTACTCAACTAACAGTGTTGATCCATTCTTTTGATACAGCAGTTTTGAACCACACTTTTTGTAGAATCTGCAAGTGGATATTTGGATAGCTGTGAGGATTTCGTTGGAAACGGGAATGTCTTCATAGAAAATTTAGACAGAAGCATTCTCAGAACCTTGATTGTGATGTGTGTTCTCCACTAACAGAGTTGAACCTTTCTTTTGACAGAACTGTTCTGAAACATTCTTTTTATAGAATCTGGAAGTGGATATTTGGAAAGCTTTGAGGATTTCGTTGGAAACGGGAATATCTTCAAATCAAATCTAGCCAGAAGCATTCTAAGAAACATCTTAGGGATGTTTACATTCAAGTCACAGAGTTGAACATTCCCTTTCACAGAGCAGGTTTGAAACAATCTTCTCGTACTATCTGGAAGTGGACATTTTGAGCTCCTTGGGGCCTATGCTGAAAAAGGAAATATCTTCCGACAAAAACTAGACAGAAGCATTCGCAGAATCACGTTTGTGATGTGTGCACTCAACTGTCAGAATTGAACCTTGGTTTGGACAGAGCACTGTTGAAACACTCTTTTTGTAGAATCCGCAGGTGGATATTTGGCTAGCTTTGAGGATTTCGTTGGAAACGGTAATGTCTTCAAAGAAAATCTAGACAGAAACATTCTCAGAAACACCTTCGTGATGTTTGCAATCAAGTCACAGAGTTGAACCTTCCGTTTCATAGAGCAGGTTGGAAACACTCTTATTGTAGTATCTGGAAGTGGACATTTGGAGCGCTTTCAGGCCTATGGTGAAAAAGGAAATATCTTCCCATAAAAACGACATAGAAGCTATCTCAGGAACTTGTTTATGATGCATCCAATCAACTAACAGTGTTGAACCTTTGTACTGACAGAGCAGTTTGAAACACTCTTTTTTTGGAATCTGCAAGTGGATATTTGTATCGCTTTGAGAATTTCGTTGGAAACGGGATTACATATAAAAAGTAGACAGCAGCATACTCAGAAAATACTTTGCCATATTTCCATTCAAGTCAGAGAGTGGAACATTCCCATTCATAGAGCAGGTTTGAAACACTCTTTTTGGAGTATCTGGAAGTGGACATTTGGAGCGCTTTCTGAACTATGGTGAAAAAGGAAATATCTTCCAATGAAAACAAGACAGAAGCATTCTGAGAAACTTATTTGTGATGTGTGTCCTCAACAAACGGACTTGAACCTTTCGTTTCATGCAGTACTTCTGGAACACTCTTTTTGAAGATTCTGCATGCGGATATTTGGATAGCTTTGAGGATTTCGTTGGAAACGGGCTTACATGTAAAAATTAGACAGCAGCATTCTCAGAAACTTCTTTGTGGTGTCTGCATTCAAGTCACAGAATTGAACTTCCCCTCACATAGAGCAGTTGTGCAGCACTCTATTTGTAGTATCTGGAAGTGGACATTTGGAGGGCTTTGTAGCCTATCTGGAAAAAGGAAATATCTTCCCATGAATGCGAGATAGAAGTAATCTCAGAAACATGTTTATGCTGTATCTACTCAACTAACTGTGCTGAACATTTCTATTGATAGAGCAGTTTTGAGACACTCTTCTTTTGGAATCTGCAAGTGGATATTTGGATAGATTTGAGGATTTCGTTGGAAACGGGATTATATATAAAAAGTAGACAGCAGCATTCTCAGAAACTTCTTTGTGATGTTTGCATCCAGCTCTCAGAGTTGAACATTCCCTTTCATAGAGTAGGTTTGAAACCCTCTTTTTATAGTGTCTGGAAGTGGGCATTTGGAGCGCTTTCAGGCCTATGCTGAAAAAGGAAATATCTACCTATAGAAACTAGACAGAAGCATTCTGAGAATCACGTTTGTGATGTGGGTACTCAACTAACAGTGTTGATCCATTCTTTTGATACAGAAGTTTTGAACCACACTTTTTGTAGAATCTGCAAGTGGATATTTGGATAGCTGTGAGGATTTCGTTGGAAACGGGAATGTCTTCATAGAAAATTTAGACAGAAGCATTCTCAGAACCTTGATTGTGATGTGTGTTCTCCACTAACAGAGTTGAACCTTTCTTTTGACAGAACTGTTCTGAAACATTCTTTTTATAGA